>NC_000002.12:100216890-100519921 GCF_000001405.40 Homo sapiens
CCCTCTTCCTTTACGCCCAGAAGACCGTCAGCCAAATTCCACAGTGACCTCAGATGACTCAGAACTTTCGCAGCCAGGAATGATGGTTCATGCCTGTAATCCCAGCACTTTGGGAGGCCGAGGCAGGTGGATTGCTTGAGGCCAGGAGTTCAAGACCAGCCTGGACAACATGGTGAAACCCTGTCTCCACCAAAAATACAAAGATCAGCCAGTCTCATAACCCAGTCTCAAGAAAATAAATAAGTAAAAATTTAAAAGTAAAATTAAAATATTAACCAAGAAGAACCGACCTGCCTTGTAGCTATGCTGGAGTCAAGACCACAAGGATTTCCTTCTAAGGCAGCTGCTCTCCCTTAGTGGTTGGGTGAATGGTCCTGGAGCTTGCTAAAAATGCAGGTCAGTGGGGCTGGCCAAGGCAGCGCTCAGGAATCTGTCATATTAGTTAGCAGTCCAGACCCCCTTGAGGTTGTGAATACAGACTTAGCATCACAGCCTCAGGACACCTCAGTGGTCATCCAGTCCAACCTCTTCCTTTTTGTCTGATCCGCAATCCCATCTCCGCTGTTGGAGTTCCTCTGGGCTCTCAGGATCAACACTGGAGAAGGAGGTGGGATTGGGAGGGTGAGAAGTTGGGCTGTGATGCCCAGCGAAGGCCTCAGCCAACCTCGCAGGAAGCTCTGGAGCCGGGATGGTCCCTCAGATGTGTCCACGCCAGCTCTGCCCCAAGAGCTGCTCACAAGTGTTAGACACATTCACTTTGAGAGCTGGGTCTTGGTCCCATTGGTGAAAGGTAAACCAGGTGTAGTGAACTAAGGTCTTCTTTAGGAATTGGTGTTAGAAAAGCCCATTCCCCGTGGCCAGGGCTTCAGCAGCCCTGCTGGGATGCAGAGTCCTTACTGCGGTCGTCTATCAGCCTTAGCACAAGGTCTTGACCAGTATCTCTCTAACATCCTTATATTCCAGGCTTTCCTAAGCAGAATAGTGTCCTTAAGGGATCCTCCAGTCATTATATCAGCAAGCACAAATATCCTTGTTGAGTTCAACAGTTCATCAGTTGATGAAGAAATTGAGGTCAGGGAAAAGAAGTTGCATGGTCAAGGTCACTTCACACGCTTGTTCTTTTTCAGGCCTTGGAAGTATGACTCTTTTAAGGTGTATGTTTCAAAGCATCCCCAGATGTCTCAATACAAATACGATGACACACCTCCCTTTGTTTCCCAGAAAGGCTTTTCTCTAACTGGAGTGTTTTAATAGAAGCAGGCAAGAAACCCCAATATCATAGAAAAACTAATTAGCAAGAGTGGAGGTGATCCTTCAATCCCATCTGTTGTCCCCAGTGCCAGAGTCCTAAACAGGGTGGGGCACCCCAGGTTTTGTGTCAGGGCTACAAGATACAGAAGGTGCAAAGATTCCAAATCTCATTGTTAATGCAACTGATTGAACAATGTGCAGTTCCTGCCTCAGCAGCACCCCCAACTCAATGCACACCTCATCAGACTCAAGGCAGGCCTGCTCCTGGTCCCCCAGCTAGCCAGAGGAGAAGGACAGAGGGGTGACCAAGGCCTCCTGTGATCTGGGGGTGCCGTTCATGTTTGCTCATGAGGGTTGAAGGTTTCTTTTCTATCAAAGTGCCCTGCCTTGGAGACCCCATGCTTGTCCTGCTTTACCTTCCAAGGTCTCTGATTCTCAGAGAGGAGATCTGAGGCTGGCATGCTCTTCCTTCCTCTCTTTTCCCATTCATCTCCACTGCACCCCACCTACTGCATCAAAAACAACCACTTGCTCAGCCACCACAACCCTGTGTAGCAGAAAGATGTACAATTCTGACTCTTTCAGCTTCAACGTCAACTGAGCCCTTTGGTACGCAATGACCTACATACTGTTTAATATGGAAATAGAAGAATGTTTATCTTAAAAAAAATCTCTGACCCACTTTCAGGCCACCAACACAGGTACTCTTGGGTAAGGCAGATTCCTGTTGACTCCGAGCAGCACAAATGCTAATATCACTAGCATGTCTCCTAGGATTTAGAATAATTCAATCAAACCCCTCCTCCCTCCAGCAAAGGCCAGTTCTGAAACTCTCCTTAATTCATTTGTCAGAACCCAATCGCTGCATCAAGGGCCTGAATTAAAACAGCAAATTCTCAAACACAGGCTCATGGCATAGCAATTTACACATCCTCTATAGGGTGCAGTCTTTCGGGGCAAGAGATCAACTTAAGCATTCTAATGATGAATTTATAAAAGGAGTGCTTGTCACTCTTCTTCTCCTCAGTTTTCAGTCGATCTAAGAAACTCCTTGAAAATTATTTTTTAAACAATTGTTGTCTCATATTAAAGGGTATCAGCTGTGATTTAAAACCTCTATCTGGGGAAAAATAGACAAATTCCTTCCACATCAGGGTAGTTGAAAGAATCCATGATTTGGAATTTAGAGACCTGGGCTTAGGTCCTAGCTCTACTGTTTAATAGCAGGGTGGCCTTGGGTGATCATTATCTTTATGTTCTACTTTCTTTCCCTGAAAATGGGAATCACATTCATGTTTACTTCTATGAGCTACTTATAAAGACCAAATGAGATCATGCACAGGCATTATCAACTGAAAAGCTTTATCCAAGGATAAGGGATCTTCCTTTATTTTTGATTGACTATTAGAGGGGCCAAAGCCAACACTGAGAATCAAAAACTCTTCCTTTTCATCACCCTTTGCTTCCTAGATTATCTTTAGGTCCTCAGAGGTACCCAACCTCTCTCCATTTTCATCCATGTATAGCATGAAATGGGTATAACTTTATTCATTACCAAAGTGTAAATGTCTCTCGTGGGGACATTTTCTTAGTTACAGGAAACAAAACTTTGATCTGATTTGCTAAAGTTCTTTGAATGAGGGATTAGGGGACTCATTTGAGGCTGGGGAGGCATTTTGGTTTCCCCAAATTCAATTGCTAGGGAGCTGTTTGCTTGTGGATCCTTAAGGACAACCCTGTGGCAAAGGGATGTGGTCTGAAAGGAGCGGTTTCCCACAAGAACCCAGGGTAACTTGCATGGATCTGTGAACCTGCTGGGAGTAATCACATCACTATCTTTAATGGGGCCACTTGTAGTTGTAATCTTGACCAGAGGCTCCTCCCCTTAAAGCAGATGGCCCTCCCCACTGTGGGGGGGCCTCATCCAATCTGCTGAAGGCCTAAATAGAACAAAAGGCTGAGTAAGAGGGAATTCTCTCTCTCTCTCTCTCTCTTTTTTTTTTTTTTAAGACAGAGTCTTGCACTGTTGCACAGGCTGGAGTGCAGTGGCGCAACCTTGGCTCACTGCAACTTTTACCTCCTGGGTTCAAGTGATTTTCATGCCTCAGCCTCCCGAGTAGCTGAGATTACAGGCATACACCACCATGCCTGGCTAATGTTTGTATTTTCAGTAGAGACAGGGCTTCACCATGTTGGCCAATCTGGTCTCAAACTCCTGGCCTCAAGTGACCCACTTGCCTCAGCCTCCCAAAGTGCCTTGAATTACAGGTGCAAGGCACCATGCCCAGCAGAGAATTCTCTCTTCTGCCTCACTGTCTTTGAGCTGGGACATCTGGACTAAGACTCAAACTGGATCTATCCCATTAGCTTTCCTGGGTCTGGGCTTCTTGGCCTCCAGAACCACCTGAGTTAATTCCTTATAATAAATATCTTTTTACGTATACATACAGATGTATATATACACATCCTATTGACTCTGTTTCTCTGGAGAACACCAACTAATACAACACTACTTGATCATGGTTCATAATCCTTTTTACATGTTGCTGGATTCAGTTTGCTAGTATTTTGCAGAGAATTTTTGCATCTGTATTCATAAGAGATATTGGTCTGTAGCTTTTTTTCTTGTGATGTCTTTGTCTGGCCTTAGTATTAGGGTTATACTGGCCTCATAGTATGAGTTGGGAAGTGTTCCCTCCTTTCCTGTCTTTTGGAAAAGTGTTTAAAGAATTGGCATTCATTTTTCTTCAAATGTTCGGTAGAATTCACCAGTAAGAGTTTGGACTTGGATATTTCTCAGTGGGTAGCTTTTTGATTAATAACTCAATCTCTCTTCTTGTTATTAGTCTATTTAGATTTTTTCTATTTCTTCTTGACTGGGAAGCTCTTAAGAGAATCAAGTCACCTTTAAGAGTGAACACTGTTGGAGGTAAAAGTCAAAAACTCTATTGAGTTGATACCTGTGGCTCAGTCTTTTCTTCTTCTAAGCAACTAGATTGTGGTTGGGTCATCTAGAAACTTTTCTTGAGTGAGCTGAACTCCCTGAACCATTTGATCCAAAATATGAGCTTGTGAATTAGCAAAAGTGTGATGAAATTAAATTCCCATCATTTTGCAGCCCAACACAAAGTGCAACAGGTGTTAATTCAGATGCTGGTGGCACTTCTCTGAAGATGGAGATGGCTAGGTGATATTATGTGGCTTCTTGGAGATAGTCATCTTTCAGGAAAAGCATTAAACAATGTCCTTGTTTTCTGTCACTTTTGGATAGCTCAGAGGCCTCTAGAAAGTTGTCATCAACAATAAGCACCTTCCCCACCCCATTGCATCAGAGCCTTCCAGAGTTGTCACCATGGTCCCAGTTCCTTGTGAGTTATTTTCCACTCCAGCCTGGCTGCAAAGAAAGTTTCCACTTGCTTGACTTCCCAATCTCTTCCTATCTCTGTGAGGCATTTCATTGTTATTGCTAATCACCGCAAATGCACTGAGGGTGTCAAACTAATAAATATGGGGAAGTTGCAAGGATCAAGAAATCCAACCAAGTTCTCCCATTCTTGGACTATGGTTATTGACTTCTTTCCTGCCTGGAACGCAGAAACTCTTTGTTGTTGTTGTTGTTGTTGTTTTCTTGTTCTCCAAGTTAGTTCTCAAGGGAGGCCTTGTCAAACTTCCTCAATTATTTAGACTTTCCTTGTCTCAAAGTCCTATAGGTCTCTTCCCTGAGGGGGTCTGCAAAGGTAGAATGAGAACTGACAGTGAAGGGCCATGATGGCATCCCCCACTGACCACGCCCCCATAGCCTCTCACCTGGGTGACTGCAGGGATCACCTTGCAGCTCTCTCTGCTTGTTCTCTCACCTCCAACTTTATCCTCATCACACAGACCAGAGGAGAGCTCCACCTCTCCACCTGCTCCGGTTTCAGTGGTCTCCTTAAAAACACCAGGGACGCTCCTCCCTTCGCATTTGCTGTTCCTTCTGCCTGGAATACTCTTCCCTAGATATTCACAGGCTCACCCCTTTACTTTCTTCAGATATTTATATGTCACTTTCAAAGTGAGGCTGTCCATGACTACTCCATTTACAGCGTAATCCCCAACCCCAACCCCTAAAGCACTCTATCCTCTTACTTGCCTTGTATCTTACTTCTCAATTCTGTTATTGCCTCCTTCCCCATTAGACTGTAAGCTACATGAGGGCAGGAGCTTTGCTATTTGTTCACTGAAGGGATTGGAGGTTGAGTAAGAATGTCATTTACACCACCTGACAGCTCATCACTCAAGCAGCTGCCAGTGGTACCTAAAAACCTCATTAACTGCATAACAGAATCTCTCCTGGATCCAGTTTATGGGCTGAGTGAGGCCCAGGCCACCATGTTAGTTAAGCAGCTTGAAGAGAAAATGTACCTTCTTCTTTCCCCAAGCCGGAGTTTTATTACTCTCCTTTTTAAATGCATTATTCCTAGAAGATGCCTTAGCAAAGTTCAGACTTTCCTGAATCAAGTTAGTAAGAAGTTAACTAGGAGCTAATTAATAAGGCAGTTAGCTTTTCAACTTATCTCTCTTAGACTTTTAGCATTGTACATTTGTGCTTCTATAGGTCACTCATTGAAGCACATTGTACATTTGTGCTTCTATTGCTGTCACTCTTTTGTCTAAAGATGGGAATATGAAAGAAGCTATGTTCATGAAGAACATCGTAGTAGATCCTTTAAATTTTAGCCTCCTTTTTGTCCAGGGTTAGATTCCAGTGTGATCCATCATTCCTGTGCTTATCCCTTAGAATTTCTGGCCCTCTTTCCCTGCACTACACTTGCATGCAAATCCCCAATCATGATGAAACCCAACCCTCTTCACACCTGCAACTGAGCAGCTGAATGGGGCTGACTATAACCACACAGCCAGCCAGCAGGTCTGAATGAAAAATCCTGCCCACTTGTTTCAAGTGGTGCCTAAGCACTCCTGAACTCCCCTCATCCATTCACGTGCCCGCTCTGCTCTCCTTGACAGCTATTTTCACCCTCCTTGCCTCCAACCATCCTCTCAGCCAATGAACTTGCTTCTTATTCCAGTGAAAAGACAGAAGAAACCAGAAAAGAACTTCTGCAAGCTTCCACCAACAAATCTAGGAACTCACCTAAATCTAGACCTAGGTACTCTGCCTGTTCCTGCTTACCATGGAGGAATTGATCATATGCCTACTGTAGCCCACACTTCCACTTGGGCATTGGTCCTGTCCCCTCTTGCCTATTCAAGGGCTTCACACCAGCAGTTGTCCCCTCTTTTTCTCAAATCATAATTTCTCCCCTCTCTACAGGAGCAAGCAGACATAATGAAATATCTCCCAGTTTACAAAAAAGGAAGAGAAACCCTCTTGTTATTCATTCCCTGTGAACTACAGCCCCATTTGTCAGCTCTTCTTTATGGTAAAACTCCTCGAAATGGTGGTCTGTAGTCTCCATCTCCACTTTCTCTTTGAATCTCTTTTCAGTTCACTCCAACCTGACCTTCATTTGCATCTACGTCAACTTCTGTCAAGGTCCCCATGCTTAGCCACATGCTCGGTTTCCAGCCCTCCTCCAACGCACCATCTCTTCCTTGAAACAGTTTCGTTCACCTAGCTTCCTGGGCACCACATCTCTTGGCTCTCCTCCTACCTCAGTGCTGCTTCCTAGCCTGCTTCCTCTTCATCAGTCCTACATGGAGGTTGATGGAGTGCCCTGGGCATGGTTCTCAGCTCTCAGCTCTTCCTCCCCTCCGAACCCGTTCCCTAGGACGTACTATGACTTTCAGTTGCTCGTGACCACTGGGTTTGGATTTGCAACACAGGCCTCTTACAGGAGTGGCAGGCTCCCACCAACTGCCCACTTCACAGCTGCCCTTGGCTCAAGGATCGTCTCAAAATTCCTAGATCCAAAAATAGAGTTCTGGAGCCAACGTGCCATTTTCTACTTCTACATGGTAGTACTTTAAGCCAAAAAAATTTTGAGTTGTCCTTGGCTTCTCTTTTTCTCTCACATGTGACAATCAACCCATCGGCCAATTCTTCAAACTATGTCTAGAATCCAACCATTTTTCACCACCTCCAGCATAACCTCACCAGGAATACTGCAGTGGCCTCACTGGGCTCTGCTTCCCCTGTGCCCCTCTATCATCTTTCCCTACACAGCAGCCAGAGGAGGCTTTTACAAAAAGCCATGTCATTGGTATCAACCACTTCCATGCCTTAAGCCTCAAGATGGCTTTCCATCTGCTTACAGTCAAATCGGATCCTTTCCATGTCTCTGACCTCATCCTAAATTGCTGCATAGCAGCCCATGGGCCTCCTGTCCTTTCTCTAATATCTGCCTCAGGGCCTTTGCACTGTCTATATCCTCAGACTATAGTACTTTCTCCCCAGATATCTGCTGGCTTGCTCCCCTATCTCTTTCTAGTCTCCTATAAATCAGACCCTCTCTAAATACTCTCCATAAAACAGCTTGGACTCCACCTCCCCACCACCCTTGATTCCCCTTAGCCTGTTTATTTTTCTTCACAGCACTGCTAGGAGCTTCACAGCTCCTGCTGACATATCATGTGCTTCTCTGTTTAGGGTCTGTTTCTTCTGCCTACAGGGGAGTGTGAACTCCTTGAGGGCAGTCCCTCTGTCTAATCGGTTCACTGCTATAGGAACAGTGACTGACACACAAAAGCCACCCTTTTAACATCCACTGCATGAATACAAGAGTCTATTGATAATAGTGGAATTCATAAACAACCCATATCCAACAGCAGAAAAAGGATGAAGTAAATTACATTTTGGCTCCTCAGTGGAATTTTAGAGTCAATAAAATAGATGAAATCATTCATAGGTATTAGTTAAAGGACACAAACAATTTTCAAAAACGACTTTAAATTGTTAACAGATGCACAGGGCAAAAGTTTCACCCACCTAACAAACAAGAAAAAGCAAATTAAAAGAACTATGGGATATCACATTCCTGTTACTAAATTAGCACATGTTTCTCTTTAAGCATACACCACTAGATTCTGGAAAGGCTTTCCTGGGGTAAACTCTCTCCTAAGGGATGTAAATTTACACAACACCTTTGGAAAAAAAATCTAGACAAAAATACACCATATTACATCAAGATGTTCATTCTTTCTCATCTGGTATTTCTCCTGGGACTATCACATAAGAACATAATAAACACCATGAATATAAAAAAAAAAAAACAAAATAAGAAAGCCTACATACCTAATGGTTAAGAAGATAATGATGCCTCTACTCCATTAAGCATTATAAAGGCACTCAAATTATGTGTATTAAGAGTTTTATTGACTCGGAGAAATGTTTATACTATAATCTGATACTAAGTTAAAAAAAAAATCAGCCCTGGGAGGATGCCAGGTTATCCACATAGGAAGCAAAAGACATCACAGATTTCCTTTAGGAGCCTGGAGAATTTGGACTCCTGCTCACAATTACTGACTCGATGTTTTCTGTTGTGTTTCCAATGGTCTAATTAAGTTTCTCTTCAGATAATGCTTTGGCCAAGCTCTTTTTTGTTACAAATACACAATATAAAGATTTCACTCTGCATTCCCCGTTACCATCCTTCTGCATCAGTACCACACACAATTAAGTTGATCATGTTAGAGGTTCTATGCTTAATTTTTACACGCTGAAGAATTATTAGGATTTTAATAAGTCACAGCACTTAACATCTATTAACGAGTATTGAAACTCATAAACTATTCAATTTTCTACCACAGTGTAGCCATTTTTCCCATTAAAAAGCAAGAACAACAGAAATCAAGTCAAAGAACAACAGAAAAGTGCTATTGACAGGAAAAGCCTCACCTAGACCACATCTCGCTTTTTAGAATTGATGCAGATAGCTGTGTGAAATGTTGGAATCAGTAGTGTTTGGCAGGGGAGAAGTGACAAAGAGGACTTCTTCTAAGTGTCCTCATTCTCCAGAATCCAGGAAGGGTTGAGGCTAACAATTGAGTTGCCAGTTAACCCCATGGGACCCCAAAATCACAAATACTAAACCTGAGGCTCTGTTCTCTGTTGCATACATGTGCACCTGCACACACACACCCCAGCTTCAGTTCACCCAAAGAAGTAAATTACCTACTGATTGTTTTTAAAGCAATTTAAAAATTTTGAAATAGTTATAGATTCAAGTTCAGAATAACACAGAGACACCTTTATCCAGTTTTCTCCTATGGTAATGTTTTGCAATACTAAAGCACAATACCATAACCAGGATATTCACATTGATAAAAATCCACTGATTTTAGATTGCTCCAGTTTTACTGGTACTTGTGTGTGTGTGTGCGTGTGTGCGTGTGTGCATGCACGTGAGTGCATGTGTGTATTCTACTCAATTTTATCACATGTGTAAGGCTGTGTGTGTGTATGCACATACCACAGTTAAAATACAGAACAGTTCCCTCAACACTGGGATCCCCCTGTTGATGTTTTATAGCCACACACTTCCTTCCCCAGACTCCTGTCTGTCCCTAGTCCCTGGCAACCACTCATCTGTTTTCCACTTCTATAATTTTTACTTCTATTAAATTACATAAATTGAATTATGTAACATGTACCTTTGTGGAACATCTTGTCATATGCTTATTCGCCATCTGAATATTTCCTTTGGTTAGGTGTCTGTTTGGGCCTTTTGCCCATTTTTAAATTGAGTTGTGTGTTTTTTCGCTGTTGAGTTTTAGGAGTTCTTTGCATGTTTTTGATAACAGTCCTTTATCAGATGTGTCTCTTGCAACTGTTTTTTCCATTCTGTGGCTTGTCTTCTCATTCTCTTGATTCTATTGAGTTTTAAGATACTACCACCTTCATTGGATATGTGGCTTGGAAATATTTCCTCCCTGTCTGTAGCTTGCCTTTATATCTTCTTCATAGAATTTTTCATAGAGGAGTTTTTAATTTTGATGAGGTCCAAATTATCAATTGAATTGTGGTTTTGTGTCAAGCCTAAGAATTGTTTGCCTGGCCCTAAGTCCCAAAGAATTTCTCTTTAATGTAAAAGGTAACCAAAGGAGTGCTCTGAAAGGTGAAAAGAGGAAGGTGAACTGATTGGAAACTAAGGAGTGGAGGAACACCTTGGCAGCATGGCTATGCTGTGTGTACAACCTTCCACCCACTTGAAGAAAGAGACTCACATCTGTGATTCCCAACACCGAAGTTGCAATAGGAAGTGGCCCAGGAAGGCTCATTCCTCTGCTGGATGAAACAAGAGTTCCCTGGACAATGCCAAGAGAGACGGGTCGCGAGATCCACTGGCAAAAATCTATAAGGGAAGTACTCTCTTTCCCTGCAGGCTTGAGACCTTTCTCCTCCACTGAGAGACACCAGAAGCTGGGCAGTACTGGCAAGGAGGGTTTTGCCATGGGAAGCTCCGTCTTCTCTGTCTTCTAGTCTCCATGGATGTGAGATTCCTCTCTCCCACCCAGACACATGGGTGGCAGGGGGGCCCCAGCAAGAGGGATCCTGCCCAGGAAGCGCTCTTTATTTCCAAGGCATAGAAGGGTCCCTTTCCACCTTTAGAGGCACCAGCCTAGGGAAATTCTTCATGTCCCCTCAGGTAGCACCAGGAGGGTCCAGTGGGAGCCTCAGCAGCTCCAGAAAAACCAGGAAGGCCACAGTAGTACCACAAAGGCTGTGAAAATGAAATTAGCATTGCACTCACAGCTCACAAAACTAGCATGCACACAGAACCTAAAAAGATAATCTCCAAACCTAATAGCCAGGCTGTTCAGGATATAATGTAAAAAGTTACCCATTGTACCAAGAATCAGGAAAATCACAACTTGAAAGAAAAAAGACCATCAGTGGATGCCAATACTGACACGAATCAGATGTTGAAAGTATTTAACAAGTATTTAAAAGTAGTCACTGTAAAACTGCTTTAACAATGAATTACAAATTCTGTTGACACAAATGGAAAAATTAAAATCTCAGAAAATAAGTAGAAGCTATAAAAAAGAAACAATCAGAAATTATAGAAGTGAAAAATCCAATAACTGAAAAATATTAAAGGTATTACATGGGCTCAATAGTACAGTGGAGCTGAGTGAGGCTAGAACTGATAAACTTGAGGAAGGACTCGTAGGCTTCACCCAATCTGAGCAACAGAGAGAAAATAAACTGAAAAACAAAAGAACAGAGCTTCAGGGACCTGTGTGAAAATAACAACAAAAAAAATCCAACATTTGTAACATCAGGGTCCCAGAGGATTCTGTGGCTGAAAGAGAATTCAAAGAAAGAACGGCTGAAAACTTCTCAAATTTGGCAAAAAGACATAAACCTACAAATTCAAGAAGTTGAGTGAATCCCAAACAGGATACATCCAAAATAATCCATGCCAAGACACATCAAATTAAAGTTCTGAAAACATAAAGACCAAAAAGAATTCTTGAAAGCAGCCAGAGGATAATGACACATTACCTATGGGGAAACACCAGTTTGCGTGACAGTGAATTTCTCTTCCTCTGAAACCCTGGAGACCAGAAGAAAGTGACACATTTTTCAAGCTCTGAAAGGAAAAAAAAAAATACCTGCCAGCCACAAATTCTACATTTGGCAAAACTATCCTTCAGGAATAAATAGTAAATAAATCTATTGTCAGATGACAGGACACCAAAAGATTGTGCGGTTAACAGACCTAATTTCAGAGAATGGCTAGAGCAAGTTTTCAAACAGAAGGGTAATGATGAAAGAAAGAATCTTGAGCATCAGGAAGCAAATACAATGGAAAGAGAAAATATATGGGTACATACGATAGGCTATCCTATTCCTTATGAGTGTCATCAATCATATTTGATTGAGGGAATCAAAATTACAAGACCAGTTCTCACTTGAGTCAATGAGGGGAAGGTAAAGGGGCCTGAATGGCAGTAAGGTTTTCACATGCCACTTGCAGTGGTAAAATGTTGATAGTAGTAGACAGCAATAAGTCACATATGTTCACTGTAATACCCAGAGCAACCACTGAACAGGCTATTCAAAGAGATACACTCAAACACATTATAAACACATCAAGATGGAATTCTAAAACTTGTGCAAGTAATCTATAGGAAGGTAAAAAAAAGAAACAGAAATGAGAATCATAGGAAAGTTACAAGAAACAGAAAATAAAATCGCAGGCTTAAGCTCTAACATATCAATAATTACCTTACATGTAAGTAGTCTAAACATACTAATTAAAAGGCAGAGATTAGTTTAGTAGATTAAAAACTGTGTGTCAACTATATGTTGCTTTTAATAAATTATTTCAAATTCAATGACAGGTACATCGAAAGCAAAAGTATAGAAAAAGATAGATGCAAGCAATAATACAAAAACAGAGGTAGCTGTATTGATATATGATTAAGTGGATCTCAAAGAAAATTACTTGGGACAAACAGGGATATTACATAATAATAAAAGAATCAATCCACTAGGAAAAATAACAATCCTAAATGTGTGCACACCGAGTAACGGAGCCTCAAAATCCATGAAGCAAAACTAATAAAACTGAAAGGAAAAATAAACAATTCCACAGTTGTAGTTGGATATTTCATCAGCTTCCTCTCAGCAACTGATAGAATTTCTAGAAAGAAAATTAGCTAGAAGACAGAAGATCTAAACAATGCAATTAGCCAATAGGATCTAATTGATACATATAGAACATTCCACCCCATAACAACAGAATATCAATTTTTTTCAAGGGCGTTCTGAAAACATACACTATCCTGGACCATAAAACAAACCTCAAAAAGTTTAAAGAGATTTGGCCAGGTGCAGTGGCTCACACCTGTAATCCCAGCACTTTGGGTGGCCGAGGTGGGCGGATCAAAAGGTCAAGAGATCGAGACCATCCTGGCCAACATGGTGAAATCCTGTCTCTGCTAAAAATACAAAAAATTAGCTGGGCGTGGTGGCGGGCACCTGTAGTCCCGGCTACTCAGGAGGCTGAGGCAGGAGGATCGCTTGAACATGGGAAGTGGAGGTTGCAGTGAGCCAAGATCATGCCACTGCACTCCAGCCTGGCGACAGAGCTAGACTCCATCTCAAAAAAAAAAAAAAAAAAGAAAGAAAGAAAAAAGTAAAGGGATTCAAATCATACAGATTATGTTCTCTGACCATAATAAAATCAAACCAGAACTCAGTAAGGTAAGGAAGTCAGGAAAATCTCTAAACACTTGTAAATTAAACAACACACTTCTAAATAATCCATTGGTCAAGAAGTAAGTTCCAAAGGAAATTTTAAAATATACACAGAACTGTGTAAAAATGCCACCACATTTTAAAAGCAGCCCTTGAAAATAAAAGTTTTTATAATGTGGACCTATAAAATAATTTAAATATGTTTTATTGTGTGATTTAAATATTGGATTGTCAATACACAGCTTGTCATCTTTTAAATCAAAATTGTAGAATGCTGCTTTGACTTCCACAGTTTTAAGAGGTTATAGAATACTACATATTCCTTTATAAAAATGGCATAATTTATTGAGAAGAGCCTATCTCTTATTTCACATATCCCAGGGACTGTGGTGGCAGGCAGGGAGCATGTGGTTGGGGTATAGGCCATGTTGCTCCTTTTCCTCTGCTCAGCTTTTAAAAGTCAGGGCCTTCCTCTTCTCCATTCACACTCTCTCCCCAAGGTCTCCTCCAGTTCCACAGCTTTAAATGCTGCCATGTGTCAACAAGTCTCCATTAGATGACTTTGGCTCTGGACTCCAGAGGCACTCATCCAACTGCAAGCTTGATGTGTCCTCCTGGATGGGCATCTCGCCCACCCACAGCAGGGCTCTCCATTTCTCCTCAAACCTGTATCTCCCTCATTCAGCCAGTCATTCAAGCTAGAATCCTGGCAGCCATCCTAGATTCCTCCTGTTTCCTTACATCCGTTTCATATCCATAACACACATCAGCAAGCTCTGTGGCCCCCACTGCTGTCCATTCCTCTCCTCTCCACCTCCCTCCATCCCTTCCAGCCAAACTGCCTGATACTGTTTGGCTCTGAGTCCCCACCCAAATCTCATCTTGAATTTTACTCCCATAATTTCCACGTGTTGTGGGAGGGACCCGATGGGAGATAATTGAATCATGGGGGTGGTTTTCCCCAAACTGTTCTCGTGGTAGTGAGTAAGTCTCACGAGATCTGATGGTTGGATAAGGGGAAACCCGTTTTGCCTGGTTCTCAATCTCTTTTTGCCTGTCCCCATCTATGTAGGATGTGGCTTGCTCCTACTTGCCTTCTGCCATAATTGTGAGGCCTCCCCAGCCAAGTGGAACTGTGAGTCCAGTTAAACCTCTTTCTTTTGTAAATTGCCCAGTCTCAGGTATGTCTTTATCAGCAGCGTGAAAACGGACTAACACACCGCCATCTTTCTGGTCTCCAGGAACGCAGCAGCCTCCCACCTGCCCTCCTTGCTGCTGCTCTCCTCTCCCTGCAATCCACCCTCCACACAGAAGGAAACCTTTTAAAACATGTAAAGCAGATGACGCTACTCCCTGCTTACAAATTTCCAGTAGCTTCCCATCACACTTAACACTTGTTTATTCATTTATTGTGTTTCCTTCACCAAGAATGTGTATTCCATCAGAGCTGATTCCTTTCTGTCTGGTTCACTCCAGTCCTCTCAGGACCTGGCCCTTAATGAGGGATTCCATAAGTATTTGTTGAATAAACAAATAAATAAACAGGGTTTGAGGAGGGCAGCAACAGCCAGGATCATGAAATAAACTATTTTGGGAACCTGTATCAATGTACAATGACATGACTGTTATTCACGTATATAATCTGATCACAACAATGTAAAAATAATGTGTGTATAGAAAGTGCCTGGAAATTAATAAAAATGTCAGCAACGTTTTCTTTAGATGGTGGGCTTATGAGTGATTTTCCTTTGTCTTTCCTCTAAAATTGTATTCTCTAGGATTAGCATGAATATGTGGCCAAGTGTGGTGGCTCACATCTGTAATCCCAGCACTTTGGGAGGCTGAGAAAGGATTGAGGCCAGGAGCTTGAGACCAGCTTGGGCATCATCCCTGTCTCTACAAAGAAAAAAAAAAGTGGCATAAATAATTTTATGATGGAGAGAACTTAATGAGCTTTCTTTCCCCCTAAGTTACTTATTGGGGTTTTCCCCAGGCTGAATTATTCCAACATCTTTTAACTATTTCATTTCCTTACTCCTTAATCATCTTCTGGGCCCTTTGCAAGAGAATCTCTCTCACTCATCACAACCCTCAACAAGTTTTCATTCATACTTTAGTCCACAATATTCTGCAGGTTTGAATATTCAAGGAAAAGAATTTTTCTTTTCATAGACGGTGTCATGGAGCAAATGTGCTCAAAAGTAATAATAAAGAACTGATTTTAGGAATATCTCCTAAAGAGAGCTGGGAAGATTCTGATGGGATATAAAAACACTGGTAATTAATTTTTAAATTAATACCTAAGAAACCCTAACGAGCCTCGCATGTTTCCTCTTTTTATAAGTGGGGTTGAATGAGTTATGTTATTCACACTCTTCAAGTGTGAATCTTAAAGTAGGCTTAATTGTGTTTAGGCCGAGTACTATGAAAGCAACATGGTACTCAAAAACTAATCTAGGGAAATTAAAGAAACATATGTAGTGCTACAAATGTGAGCATTTTTCTTAAAAAAATAAATCAGATATCGTTGCCAGGTACATGAGTATACATAGCCTTGCCCTCCATCAGGCAGTGACCCCAGTGAAGGTGGTGACATATTAATTTCAGAAATGTGTGTCTGAGAGGAGAAACACAGAACATGTTTTATGAGCAGTTCCACTCAGGGGCAGAGGTCCAAGCTGGCTTTGGGGGTGGTCTTGTGGCCACCTGGACAAGTCAGGTTTCTTGCCAGTTCTGGAACTGGCTCATTTCCAGCTATCATTAGATGAGGTTAAAATAGAAAGGGTGGGAGGAAGGGCAGGTCAAGTTGTCTGGGGAATCCAAACAGAGCAGACCCCCATGAACACCAGAGCCAATCAGATCCAGGGTAGAGTCAGAACCTATCCACCCAGCAACTTCCTTCTCATGGCCATCGGCACCTGCCATACATGAGGTCTATTGGAGACCAGCCAGCATATGCCCCATGCTGAGACAAGAAATAGCTCAACAGGCCAGAGTGGAAAATGATTAAAGTCTGAGGTGGTGCAGGCCAGCAGGGGCGAGGTTCATTTCTCACTGTTGGTCCTGCAAGTTTTACCTTATGTGAGGCATCACCCTTGGAGTGATTGTAGAGGTGGCTGCCTGATTGGTTGGAGAAGACACCTGTCTGTGAAACAGAATTGTTCTTCAGCGCTCTCATCCAGCTAATATCATCCCTGTTGTGTCAAGGCAGCCAGAAAATGTCTTGGTTATGAGTTTTGAATATGGTAACAGACACGTAGCTGGGCTAATGGAGGCGCGTGATGGTACCGCTTGTCTGAAAGTCACTTACTCTCCGCTCTGAACTTTAGGGTGTGAATTTGCCACTTATTGCCTTCTGGCTATGTTTTGCTAACTAAAACATCGACTAAAAATGTGTGGATACTTCCCATGTATATATGCATTAAGGGGTGAGAAAAGTCAAGAAGCAGTGACTGGCCAGGAAGAGGAAACAAGGGCTAATCAAGATGTGCTCATTAAACTGCAATGACATATTGTTCCACTTATCAAATTGACCAACGTAAAAATGGGCTGATGAAGTTCAGCATTGGTGAGGGTATAGGAAGTAACTGGCACCCAGGTACATTGTTGGTGCAAGTGTAAATCAGTACACCTTCTTGGCTTGCAACCTAGCAATATCTACTGAAATGTTTAAAGTTCTAATCTTTTAACTCTGTATTTCTACTTCTAACATTTAAGCCTCTAAAGCCTCAAGAATGTTCCTTGGGGCTTTGTTTAAAGACTTTAAAGTATTAAAAACGTAAAAGTAACCCAAATGAACTCTGAAGAAGAAGATTAAATAAATGCTGGTACAGCCGAAAGATGAAATACCACACACGTCTTAAGAATGGGTTAGACCTTCCTGTCCCTACTGATATGTAAAGTGAAAAACGCAAGCTCCGAACTGCATTGGTGGTATGAGTCCACATCCAAAGTAATCAACAGCAACAGTAAGAGGGTTAGTATCAGTGTGAAAAAAGAAGACGGAGAATTATGCACCAATTTTTGGCAGCATGTCCCTAGAAATGAGATTACTTACATTCTTGTAAGGTTTGGAATTTTACATAACTTTGCACCATGTCATCAGAAGAAAAAGGCAGGGCACATCTTAGTGTAGGCTGAAACACATTTCCATTCAGTGGCTATCTGGAGGGGTTATTCATGAAATTTGTAAACATGTGGGCATTCAAAGTGATATTTCATAGAGGCTCTAAGAGACAAATTTCCCACATGAATAAACAAAGGAAGGTATGGGGAAGTCTATGTGGCAAAGTTTATTTAGATCCTCGAATCAAGAGTTGCAATTGGTTACGTGTCTTTGAACAACTAATTTGTAAGCTTCCCAGAGTCCTGGTTTTCTCATCTGCAACGTGTGGTTGGGCAAGGCAACCTTCTTAAGGACTTCTCCAGTTGAAATGGGCTCAGCCTGCAAGTAAGTGGAATTTAGGTAAATGATAATCCTAGCAATGGAAGGTGCTGCTCATGTCTGCTAGGACGAGTGCCTGAGAGCTAGCGGACTTCAAAGTCAGCTAAACAGACTTTCCCAGCTTAATGTAGCTAGGTGGCCTTTTCCCCTTCAGCACTTTCTCTCCTTCATCCCAGGTGGTCTGCTTCCCCATCTCTAGTTGACTGAAGAAATTAAAGAGAAAAAGAGAGAGAGAGCAAGACTGAGATGGAGAGCGTAAAGAAAATCAAATGTATTAGGAAGAAGAAAAGATGAATGGTGTGCGAACTGGGTCAGATAGGAGGGAGGGCAGTTAAAGATGAGTTACTGGAGGTGCAAGTCACACTAACAAAACTTTGAAAAACAAACGAAGGCCTGGTGAGGCGATGACTAACACAGCTATAGATCCGGGCATTGCAGGCCGTCCCAGAGGGCCGGCTTTACAACGTGGCCATTGATCCAGCCCAGGTGTGCACAGCCTCGGCCACTCTCATTTCCCCTTCCTGCCCACAGCCTCCCCGCTGCTCAGGAAGCTGTGCAGCCCTGGCTGTGCATGTAGAACTCAACCGCAGGTCAGGGAGCCTGGGGAGCTGGGGGCTCCAGGCCCTGTTCTCACTGTAAGAGCAGCTTTTGTGTCAAAGGCAAGTTCACAGCCGCTGAGTCTTCCGAGGCATTGCAGAGCTTACGCCTTTACCGCCAGCCGGTGCTAGGCCCAGGGAGAATGATGAAGTCGTCGAGGATATTAGAACCACCATAACGTATTTCCTGGGCATTTTGTGGCCTTACCTGCAGGTAGGTATGACGATAAGCACATCAAGCAGACGGGGAGGTCAGGTGACTTGTCCAAGTCACCCAGCCAGAAGTAACAGAGCCAAGACTCAAACCCAGATCCGCTCAGTTTCTCCTGCTCTGATATTGCTGCCTTTGATTTTTGCCTTTGGATCTTTCCAGACCTATCTCCCACCCCTTGCTCCATCCCACTGAGTGTGCCCCATGGCTTTCTTGTATGCTGCGGGCCTTCCAGCCAGAAAGCTGGACCTGGCAGTGAAGGTGTGGACACACCTTAACACATGGAGGTTAAAAGCCACGACAGTCGGGAGCTCACTGAAATGGCTTATTGCTGCCTCTCCTGGGCATAACTGCAATCTGGGTGAGATCCCAGGAGACCAAGCCAACTTTAAGATGCAAAGGGACAAGTCTCTAAGGGTTTTCAGATATTGGTGGGTGAAGGATAGGGAAAGAGCCCAGAGGGGCAGGGAGGAGAGGAGCGAGGGGAGAACGAGAGGCCTTCCACAGTCTCTCAATGTATCAGAGTCAGCTGTTGCCACAGCTGTTATGAGTTGAAGTGTGGCCCCCAAAATTCACAGATTGAAGTCCTAACTCCTGTACCTCAGAATGTGACCACATTTGGAAATAGGCCTGTTGAGATCACATTGGATTAGGATGGGCCCCTAATCCGTATGACTTTATACAAAGGGGAAATTTGGACACAGACCCACATACAGAGGGAATGCCGTGTGAACATGAAGACGGCTACCTACAAGCCAAAGAGAAGGGCCTGGAGCAGATTCTCCATCACAGCCCTCAGAAGGACACCTGCTGACGCCTTGGTCTCGGGCTTCCAGCCTGCAGAGCTGCAAGAGAACACCTCTCTGTAGTTTATGTTGCTCAGATTGTGGTACTTTGTAAAGGCAGCCTTAGCAAACGAATGCAATAGCTCATTTTCAAAGCCCTTCTCAGAGAAACCTATGCCATGGACAACAGTTCTCAGGTGTGAGAGAACTGTTAGGGCAAGATTCTAGATGGCTTCAGAATGATTTCTAATTATTACACATTATAATACGGCAAAGGCAGAGTTAGTGATTTCAGCTCAAAATCACCATGGCTTTTCTGTGACATTTCCCTCACTTCTCAGGAAACCTTCCAAGAACCATCCATGGAGAGTGGTGTTGTGCATTCTGTAGGAAGTACTTGTCTTTACTGACAGATTTCAAATAAGCACACAAACAAACACCTTGGGGAGAGGATACCCAAAGCACAAGGTCCCGAACTATTAGATGATAATTAGAATGAATGCATATTGATTACACTTAACCATGTTTTAGTCTTCTATATAATTGCCAATTGGAAAATCTATGCATCTGACAAAATGATCTAATTTTTCCACTTAGCATTCTTACATTTTTGTATCATACTGGGAAAGAATGTATCTGTAGAATATGGGCTTCAAAACAAATGGAATCAAACAAAGATGTTCTTTGTTTAAGGAACATATTCTAAATTAGGGCCATGAGAACATGCACAGTTTTGTGGCAATTTTGCAAAACATGGTTTACTTTGATGACTTGATAAAACCCTGCACTCTATCTACAGACATTTCTGATTTTTCTGTAATCAGATATGCATTTTGCTGGGTGGAAGTATAAACACAAATTCCTTTCTGTATGTTTTCTCATGTCACCCAGCAGCCAGCAGGCGGTGAGAAGGACATGAGCTCACCAAAGGTGAGGCTTGTGTTTAATTTGCTTCGTGCAGCACTAACATGGTACAGTGTGTCACACACACAGATGCTGAATATTTCATTCATTCATTCAACAAATGCACACTGCCCTCCCGTTGGCTGCGTTCAGCACTCAACGGTGAGGAATCCCACCGGGTAGACAAGCAACTCCTAGGAGGAAAGGAATGCAGCGCTATCTTCCCTCTCTAGGTAGACGTAGTCTAGATATGCGAACTTTCACAGCTTCACTTAAGATTATGGGAGGCAAAACTCAACAGGTCCGTTTTCTATTTGTTCTCTGGGGACCTGGAAGGTCTGAGTTGATGACAACTGTAAACGGTCAGGTCTTGTTGGGCCTCTCCTAAAAACCTTAGCCATGGAACAGAGAGGAAAGCTGTCGTACAGACTGTCTTTTCTAGTTTACTGCTTTTGACTAAAATAATAACATTCACTCTGACATAATGACTGCACCAATTAGACTTAATTAGACTTAGGCAAAAAAACACCCCCACACACAGACACAAAACAAAAAACAAAACAAAAAAAAAACTCTGATGGAATAAATGTAGCGGTGGGAAGGGAGACTTCCCCAGGAGTCCCTGCAGTCATTATCTACCGTCTCCCAGGGGCCGGGTGACAGGCGCAGTGCAGGGCAGACGTCCACTGGGGGCATGAGTGTCACAGAGCCACGGGCCTCCCCTCCCACAACCTCCTCCCTAGATGTGTCACCTCCTTTCTTACGATGCACTCCAGCACTATCTGCTGGGGAAGGGGGTGGGTGTCCAACAGGGAGAGCTGACCAGCAGAGCTCCAGGCAGCAGGAAAGGCTGAAGCCATGTAGCATCTCACTTTGAGTGGAAGCCCCTGAGGGCAGGGCCTCTTCCACCCAGCTGTGCCGTAGCACATATACACTCAATGAAAGAAGGGCTGGATTCAATTCCAAGGATATTAAAACCCTTCTTATAACAGTCCTGGTCCTTTCTCAGGGTATCTGTATAGAAAAGGAGTTCCTCCAATACAACCCTGAGAGTGTGTATGGGAAACCTAGAGTGAGGTGTAGGGCTGTTGTCACAATTTCTTGGGGGCACTGAGTTACACATCAATAGACAAGGGCAACTTTAAAGACAAACTAAAATGGAGGTTGCATAGAAAGTAATTTTGAATAATTGTTTAAAAAATACAAATGTCACTGCAGTATGGCCAACAGACACAAGTCTTTATTCTATTTTGTTTTTTAATTGAAACTGTCAGCAAAGTTAAAAAATCCTTTTTCTCCCTGGCCACTGCCTAAAGGCTGAATGAGGCCCGCCCTGCATCCACTGCAGATGCTCACAGAGCGGCAGCCCCTCCCTGGGGATGTGATTAGCATCCCAGGGTCCTTAAAGAAAGGGAGATGTGAGGAGCTGATTAGGATTCAGATCAGCAGCCAGGCCCAGGCTGTCTGGAGCTGACATCGCCAGGTAAATAAAAGGGCATTCACTGCAGCCTGAGCATGTTCTTAGGTCCCGCGGTGGAGAAGTGCAGAGCTGCACCCACGGGAGGCACAGCCCTCCTGCGGCAAATGTCTGCAGCCCCCAGACACACGGGGATGCTTTGTGCACAAGATATTTCATTATTTCACATCACTTGGCACCCCCTCCTAACTCTAACATCCTTAGCGCTCAAGCATTGGCCAGTGTAGACCTAGCATTGGGTGGGGACTGATGACAGCCAGGGCCTGCTTCTCTGTTCCCCCATCATTTCCTGGGTGACACCCCTCTGTATGGGAACACTGTCCACTGGTCAGTAATGACCTGTATCAAACAACAGCAAAGCCATTGGCTCTGTGGCTTTAAATGAATTAACTAAATGACCTCTCAATAATGGCTAACAGTTATTGACTTCTTTTTCTGTGCCAGGGCTGTGCTTAATATTCATTATTTCACAGCAACCCTACGAGGTTGTTCCCCTCCTTGTTATACAGGTAGGAAAACTGAGACAGAGGATGTTAGTGCCAAAGGTCACACAAGGCAGCACACAAGGTAGCCGGGGCTCAAATCTGTTTTTTCTTATCTCCAGAGCCTAAGCCTTGACTCCTTCACACTGTCGCAGCTGACAAAGCCCCTTGTTTTCCTCCCCTCCAAGGGTCAGCACAGTCCATCAAGTTGTGCAAAGCGATTCCTCAATCTCATACAAATTCTCTTTTCCTTGGGTATCAACCCAACTTCATCTAAAAGCCCATCTTCCAGTTAGCTTGCAGGGACTGAGGGGCTGTGGTACAGGGGAGTTCAGGGCCTCTCCTGGGAATGTCTATCTGCGGTAAAGACTAAACCCTGCCGCATAAATCTTGTCCAGGAAAAGAAAAGAACCTGGGTTGTGCAGGGGTTGAGTTACTCCAGCTGCCGGGACCCCCTGCTCACAGACTCCCGGAGATCAGAGGGGAGCCAGGCCAATTTGATTCTTGGCCCAGGGAGGCCTGTTTGAAGTGAATCTTCTCAGGTTTCCAAGGAGGGCAGGTTGGCTGGGGAGCTGGGAGCGCTGAGCCCCGGGGATAAATTCCGCACTGTGTGGCTCCTTAGAGAAGCTTCAGGCTGCAGGCTGGATAGCCAGCCAGGCTCCTTTCTCCCACAGGTAAGAGAGAGGTCCTCTGTCTCCCCATGTGTTATTAATACTCTGCTCAGGCCACTGCCTGCCTGTCCAGGTGGGAAGAGGGGCAAGCACGGTTCTTTTCCTACAGAGTGAGAGTCAGAAGAGGCAAGGGATGCCCACCCCCCTCCACCCAGGTTATCTGAGGAAGACGTTGACAGAGCTGAGAGCCCACAATGCGATGTCTGGGTCCTCATCCTGGCGTCAGGTAGGGGCGGGGGACTCAGCCCCAGCTCAGCCTGGAGGCTGCCATCACTACTCTCTCTTTCCTGCAATGTAATCAGATTTAATAAAACATGAATATTGTATAATAAATACTGCCTTTTCATAAATCTGCCTGTGACATCAAGTGGCATGCTAGAAAATATTATGAAATATGTCTCGAAGTCTATTACAGCCTCCTCTGAGCATTTTATATAAATCTTTACCTGCAAGAACAGTTCAGGGATAGAATCCGGACTCCACAGAAGACCAGAGCCTTTTCTCCGTGGCAGTGACATATTATTAGCATAACATTTTAAAAAATGCAAACTAGCCACTGGAGTTCCCAAGGCCTGCACCACCTTCCTAAGAAACAACATGTTTTCCATTCACACAAACAATCGCTGCCCTGGTCCTCGGCCCTGCACCGTGCTAGCCCCATCATCGGCAGCAACCCAGCTCCTGGGGTCAGCGGTGTCCCCTCCTACCAACTCCTGATGGCTGGCTTCCTCCTCACTCCGCCCATCCTTCTGAGAGGAGCCAGTCTGTGCCATGCACCTCCCATCCTCCACCATGGCCCTCTTGTCTTTAGTGACCAGTGAGTGATGTGCAGAGCTAGTTCATCGCACAGGCATCCCGCAGGCATCCTCCCTCACACGCGCCCATCTTTATTCTCTAATCTCTTCCTCCTTCTCATTCTCTTGTGACTCAAAGGAGTTTCTCCAGGAAAATCTCTTTCCATTTTCCATCCCTCTCTTCCTTCTGTTTGGGAGCTAAATACTAACCAAAATCAGGGGCGAACAATGTGGATGTGGCGTTGGTGATCATAGTGTATTGAGGAAAAGCACACACCACACCCGTGTTTTGCTGGGGAGGTCAATGCAATGATGCTCCCGGGCCTTCCATTTCTAAAGTTCTGGAACAGACCCAGAAGCACCTTTCAGTCTCAGTGCTGTCTCTAACGACCTCATTCCTTTTCTCCAAGGAAGCCTGCTTTCCTCAAGCGCCAGCATCCATGATGAACATTAAACATACTATTCTACTCCAGATGATTCCTTTTCTGTTGACTTTCAACGCAAGAGCCTTGATGTTTTTCCCAGGACAGTTTACTCAGAAGGGGGCTCAAGGTGTTTGTGGACTTGACTACAAGCTACACTAGTCATTGTTTATTCATAACACTCTTTCTATGGAGAATTGTGGTCTAAACACTGACCCGTTCCCCACGGTGGTCCGTGCTTGTGTGGATAACATCTCTTGTAACTCAACCCAGCTTCTGCAGCCTCACCACTGGGGCAGGAACCAGGTCCCATCTGGTGGCAACCAGCTTCACCCCGGAGTGAAGAACTGACAGTACCCTGCCTCAGGACCTCCCTGTGATGCCCAGGTGTGGGGCGCCTGAAACTGCTTCACATCCCTGTCACCTGGGAGTGCAGCAGAGTTCATACCCCGGAAGGAGCCCCTTGACCTGGGAGGCATGAGAGGGGAGTCATTGTGCTCCCTGGTTTCTCAATTGGCAGGTTCAGAAGATTCTTGAGAGCATCTATGACTGATTGTGTTGCCCAATTCCATAATGCCTATCCTCCCTGCCCTCTTTCCTGCCCCTCACTCCTACTGTTGGGGATTGCATCCCTGAATAAACCTCAATCCCATCAGCCCTTGTCTTGGGATGTACTTTAGGGGAAATCAGGCTGAGACAGGGTGTTTCTATGCATTTTCTGCTATAAGCTCATAACCATGGAGAACCAGGCAGGAACATGGCTTCTCAGAGCAGTGCTCCATAAGTGTGGCAGTTGCTTCATTTGGGTCCTCTGGGTGCCCGAACTAGAACTATATTCATGACGAACCCCAGAAGAGTTTTAATTAACGTGAGTGTCCCTAAAGACAATGAAAGGAATAGTTAGTATCTTTGCTCTAGAATGAAGACAAAAGACAGTTTGTCATCCAGTTGACTTCAACATAACATAAAGTCAGCTGTAGGTAACACAGAATGCTTCTGATATTAATGTTCAATTCCTCACACCAACAAACATGAGAACATCATTCACTGCATATGGAAAAGGTGCTATGTCTGTCCTGAGCTGGTCCAGACCACCTGCATTTCTCATTGCCTGGGTCTGCCTTTTCTCCTCTCTAGATTTTACTTACCCTGCAAAGCTTGTGTTGGGATGTCATTTCTAGGATCGGGTTTAGGCTGAGCCCCAGGGGTTTTACTGGTGGGACTGTGGAGAAGGCTTGATACCCTGCAGTACTCTCTGGAAAGTACCTTCCTCCGTTCGGAATCCCTGAGCTGGTGCCCCTTGCAGCCTGCACAGCTCTGGCCTCTCGCCGTGGATCTCATGGCCTCTGCTGCCAAAACTAGAGAGGAGGTTCATCCTCTGTCTCTTTGTGGAGAAGAGTCATTTGCTGACTGGGTGCTAGCTGAAAAGGGACTCCCCACAGAGCAAGAACAGCTGTCCTCTTGCTTCATGCACTCAAATTCCCTCCGTTGGGCCGCCCTGGGGATGCGCTGTCGGCCACCTCCTGCCTGATGTGGTGTGGGCTGCCCATGAGATGAGGCAGCTGTCCAAGGTGGGTGATGTGTGCTCAGACCTCCAGGAACCGGCGAATGAGGCCTCATGGAAAGAACGTGAGGTGGCGGTGGAGGGGAACAAGAGTGGGGAAATCCCTCCAGGCGGCCTCCTGCACCCCCAGGCTCTGGAGACAGCCTTCACTGGACGCTGGAATATCAGATGGGGTGAAGACAGAAAATGCTGTGCTGGCCTGGCCCTCCCACAAACACTCCAGTTTCACGGGCTGAAGAGGGTAAGTTGTGAATTCTGTTTCTTCAGGAATAGAGAAACCCAGATGCCAAGACCTGGAGGAGGCAGGAGGCTATGCTACTGTCTCCCCCACTTCTGGAAAGCACTGTGTGAGGTTTCCTCACCCCCAAAGGACAGGCCTGGCTTGGGCTCTCTGGAAGACACTGGCTGAAGGCCGGAGGGGGTGGCCTGGCTGTTTCAAAGCAGGAGAAGCAGGATGTGGCCTCAGAGTGCCACCTGGAGGCAGAGGCGGTGTAAACATGCAGAGAGATGCAGGCACAGGTGCCCCAGGGACAGAACATTCCTATCTGGACAGGGTCTGTCCTGCCCTCTGTCCCCACCTTCATTCATCTGCTCTGAGGAGGCCTGGGAGACCCCAACCTCACACCTTCAGCCTTGGACAGGCTCCAGCGGGGCCAGGGCCCTTCACCCGCGAGGGCCCAGGGACCACCTAGATGCAAGGAGAGCCCAGCAGGCCCTGTGCTCTGCCAACTCTTTCTGAACTTTTGTTTTCAGTTCTTTTCCTCACAGTCTTACCAAATGTTTCCCAGCCCCACACATTCTTAGACCTCAAGGAGGAAATGCTTATTTTTGTGAACTAAATCAGCACAGAGTAAGTAGGAAATCTCTATTTCTTAACTCAAATCTTATGACCTCCCTTGGTTCTTCTTTTGAGGAATCTACATTGTATCCAGCTACATGCATGTGTTGTTAGTTCCCCAGCATAATCATGGCCGGCTCAGAAAACATGATCATGAATCCCTGGTTCTAAAGTGTTCTCAGGTGCTTTCTAAATACGATAGGTCTTGTCCCCAGGAGAAATTTAATGCACCCATCTCCAAACTAACTTAAATACAGTTTCAAAACGTTGATGAATCACTCCTCTCCCCGGTTCATCTGTGGATGGATTAAAAGTCTATCTCTGGGCCGGGCACGGTGGCTCATGCCTGTAATCCCACCACACTGGGAGGCCGAGGCAGCCAAATCATTTGAGGTCAGGAGTTAGAGACCTGCCTGGCCAATATCTGACTGTAACTGTGTAAGAAGCCCTGAGTGGGAACCACCTATATAAGCCCAGGCAACCAACAGAATTATGAGAAATAATAATAAATTATTGCTTTAAACCACTGAGTTTTAGAATGATTTGTTACACCACTACAGATAACTGGATAAATGTAGTTCCCACTCAGGGTTTCTCACACAGTTACAGTCAGAGAGTGGCTGGGGCTGGAACCATCAAAGTCTTCCTTATTGACTTGCCTGGGCTCTGCTAGGGTGGCAGGAACAGCAGGGAACTGGTTGGGTATCCCTCTCTCCACGCTGCCTTTCCATGAGGCTAGCTTCAACTGAATTGCTATTGGGTTTTCAGTTAACTGAGGGAAGGAACAAGGAAGGATTTGCAGGGGGATCAAAACTAATTTAGGCTGTATCCCAGGGTGGCTCCCTCATCACAGCCTTGCTGGTCATTTCTCTGGTCATATCCTTCCTTGACCTCTCTAAAAGAAACACCTTCACATTTTAGGAATGGCGAAACCCTGTCTCTACTAAAAATACAAAAAAAAAAAAAAATTAACCGGGCATGGTGGCATGCACCAGTAGTCCCAGTGACTTGGGAGGCTGAGACAGGGGAATTGCTTGAACCTGGGAGGTGGAGGTTGCAATGAGCCAAGATCACATCACTGCACTCCACCTTGGGTGACACAGCGAGACTCCGTCTCAAAAAAAAAAAAAAATCTCTCTGTCTGTCCTATGCCCGAGGGTGAGGTACTGCAGCTGGTCCTGAGGAGCTGGTTCAGTTGTCTATAGCGGTAGAACAAATTATTCTAAAACTCAGTGGTTTAAAGCATAACTTACTATTATTTCTCACAATTCTGTTGGTTGACTGGGCTTATATAGGTGGTTCCCACTCAGGGTTTCTCCCGCAGTTATAGTCAGAGGGTGGCTGGGGTTGGAACTATCAAAGCCTTCCTTACTCATTTGCCTGGGCTCTACTGGGGTGGCAGGAACAGCAGGGGACCAGTTGGGTATTCCTCTCTCCATGCTGCCTTTCCACGAGGCTAACTTGGGCTTCCTCACAGCATGGTGGTCTCGGATAGCTGTACTCCTTACGCAGCCTCTGGTTTCCCCGGGCATGTTTTCTGAAAGGTCTGGGCAGAAGCTCAAGGCTTCTCATGACTCAGCCTCAGAAAACCCAGAAAGTCACTTTTACCTCATTCTACAGGCAAAGGCTAGGGCCAGCCCAGAATCCAGGGGATGAGGACTAGGAATTTGACTCTTTCAGAGAATGGAGGAGCAAAGAATGTGTGACCTTTAATGTGTGTCTTTAATCTTGTGACCATGTTTAAGCCACACACCTTGTTTCTCTGGCCAAGCACTGTTACGTACTTTGAGTTTCATATTAAATGCCATTTTCCTAGGAGGCTCTTTCCTAAGCCACTAGACTAGGATAATTTCTCCATTTTGTATGTGCTTCTATAGAGCTCTAATACACCCACCCACACACACAGAGGTTTTTCATACTTTCACACTTGCTTAATATCCATCTTCCCCATAGACAAATCCCACAGGGCAAAGGCCATGTTTTTTAGTCTTTTACTCACTGCTGGTCCCAGGCGTTTATACAATGCCTGGCTTGGTGTTCAGCTTCTGAATTGAACTTAACTGCTATTGGGTTTTCAGTTAACTGAGAGAAGGGACAAGGCAGGATTTGCAGGGGGGTCAAAACTAATTTAGGCTGTATCCCAGTGTGGCTCCCTCATCTCAGCCTTGATGCTCATTTCTCTGGTCGTATCCTTCACTGAGCTCTCTAAATAAAAGGCCTTCATGTTTTAGGAGTCTGCTGGTCATATGGGCTGACCCCCGTAGACTGGGAGGACTCCAGCTATGGGGTGGGACAGATCCTAGGGGTAGTCCCCTCTGCCAGGGCTAGAAGGAACTCCAGTCCCCCAGGCAGAACATGGCAGTAGAGGTGCTGGCACAGTCAAGAGGTGGCCAGTCATCCAGCCCCGCTGTCAGACCAAGAGGCTCCACAGAGGCTGAGGGTGTCCCAACAGCGGGGCAGAGCATGGAGACAGGATATTCCCAGCAGACCCTCTTCAGAAATTGAGTCTCAAGGGGTCTTGGGGAACTTGGTCAGCAGATGTCATGGCTTCATCTGTCAGCTGGTGGGTCAGCTCAGCGGGACTCCTGTCTTTAGAAGGGAGGCTCAAGTCTTTACTCTGTACCAAGACAGAGATGGGGGCCAGGAAACAAGACATGCAACCATTTTCCATCATCAAGGGGCGAGATGGTGCTTGGCATGAGGCAGAACTGGGCTCTGTCAATGCCACGCATCAGGAGGAACCCCTTTTCTGTTTCAATCCCTCCTGTTCATGTGTGGTGCCCGTTAGAGCTGGCGTATACTTCTGTTCTCCAGTGTCTGAGGACATGGAGGACCCATTTCCTCATTTTCCCCCTTGTGGTTGGATGGGATCATGCACCCAGTTCTCGTTGAGACCAAGATGCTGAGGTTACCGTTTTCTTTGTGGGACCAAAAAAAGAGCTCTAATTCGGCTTGAAACGTGTGTGTTTGTGCGTGCGTGTGAGAGAGGGCAGGTGCGTAATGGAGAGTGTGTCGGTGTTCCATGTGTGAGAGTGTGTAGGTGAGTGTGTGTGTGTGAAGAGATGTGTGTGATAGTGGTGTGTGAACTTGGGAGTGTGTGTCTGTGGTGCATAACTGTGTGTGTGTGTATGTGCAAATGTGAGTGTGTATGTGTGTTAATGTGTGTATGTGTGTGTGACTAAGGCGTGTGAGTGTGGTGTGTGAGCTTGGGCGTGCGGGTGTTGAAATGTGTGTGAGTGTGTACACGTGTGTGAGCACAACAGTGTGTGAGTTTGGGGTGGGCACAGGCCACAGCTAGTCTCTCTTGGGGCGTTAGATCTCTGCAACCCAAGCACCCCAAGTCGCTCTCCTTCCTCACTCCATCCTGAGCTTCCCAGCTGCTGCCTCTGCTCCGAACTCCCACGGGGAAAGCAGCGTCTCTAGGACCAGGGGCTCCGAGCATGGCACAGCGCCAACTCTCGTCTCTTGCCGCCTCCTGAGAACCTGGGTGCAGCACAAAACAGTCAAATATTTTCCTCTTCTGTCATCACTAACTAGAGCTCCACAAGTTCCCAGATTGCCGTGTTAGCTCTTCACCATAATTAGCAGTTTTCTGATATCATGCTAACACTCCTTAATTCTTCCCTCAGAGACAAAGCAAATCCGTGGGATGCCGAGGGCACTTGGATAACTTCCGCTCGGGAGAGAAGCCCAAACTCCGCGTCCCGGAGACCTGAAGTGTGGCCGCCAGTGGACACCCAGCTGAGGGATGAGCAGGTGGGCCTCAGTGGTGGCTGTGGGGTCCCTGGACACTGCTCGCCACTGGCCTCCAGAAGCATTGTAGGCTTTGGGGACCTGCTGGTCCTCCGGCCCTAAATGTGGCCCTGGAATGATGAAGGAAAGTTTGCCATCTCCATCCTCCTCAAGCTGCCTGAGCACCCCAGTAGCACCCACCCTGTCTGTGCTCCCGTCTGCACCCCATGTCCTGGGGCCTGCTTTGTGTTGCACCGGATGACAGGAACCAGTGCCCTGACTGTGACTTGCTTCTCCCTTCAGGGACACACAAGCACTTTCACAGCAAGGCTACTTTTCAGCCCTTCTGCAGACAGGGCTTCCTGCAGGGATGCTGGATGCAGAGGCAGGACGAGGATGCAGGGCCTGGGTCCAGGTGCGACTCCTCTCACACCTGGTACAGGTGGCCCCTCTCCCGGCAGGGCACCTCGGCTCCCTGGGGAGAATGAGAAAGGGGAACTGAGAGTTCATTGTTCCGTGGGGCATGCCACAAACCCCCAAAGACCCATCGGGTGAAAAGAAGAAAAACAACCGCAAAGCTATTTTCACCTGAGGCGGTCTCATGGGTGAAGCAGACGCCTGGATTACTCAATCCAGGCAGGGTCTCCTGCCTGGATTACTCAAATAATGACCCGGTGTGTCCTCCTTCCACCAGTGAGAAAGTCCCTTCTCAGTGGAAAATTATGGGTTGAGGTCTTTTACCTGGGGCCTCCTCTTTTTGTTTAAGATGGTAGTTTAAAAAAAACAGTTTTTTTTTTAGAGAAGTGTTTGTTTCCAGCAAACTTGAGAGGAAAGTACAGAGGTTTCCCACGTCCCCCCTGCCCAAGCACATGCACAGCCTCCCCAACTACTCACATCCCCCATCGGTTATCCATTTGTGACAACTGATGAACCCCCATGGGCACATGATCATCACCCAAAGCCCAGTGTTAGCATTAGGGTTCATTCTTGGTGTTGTACATTCTATGGGTGTGGAGAGCAGGTAATGACATGCGTCCACCATTTTAACAGAATAGTTTGCCCGCCCTAAAATTTCCCATGCTCCTCCTGTTCATCTGTCCTTTCCTCCAATCCCAGGCAACCACTGATCTTTTTACTGTCATCATGGTTTTGTCCTTCCCATAATGCCACATAATTGGAAGCATTTACATTTCCTCCATTTCACTTCATAGCTTGGTACCTCAGTTGTTTTTAGTGCTGAATAATATTCCATTGTCTGGAGATATCCTTATTTATTTATTTATTTTGATGCAGTCCCAGTCTGTCGCCCAGGCTGGAGTGCAGTGGCGGGATCTCAGCTCACTGCAACCACCACCTTCCATGCTCAAGCTATTCTCCTGACTCAGCCTCCTGAGTAGCTGGGATTACAGGTGCCCATCAACACGCCTGGCTAATTTTTGTATTTTCAGTAGAGATGGGATTTCACCGTGTTGGCCAGGCTGGTCTTGAACTCCTGACCTCAAGTGATTCGCCTGCCTTGGCCTCTCAAACTGACCTCAAGTGATTTGCCCACCTCGGCCTCCCAAAGGGCTGGGATTACAGGCGTGAGCCACCATGCCCGGCCGGCATGTATCAGTTTATTTATCCCTTCACCTGCTGAAGGACATCTTGGTTACTTCCAAGTTTTGGCAATGATAAACACGGCTGCTATAAACATGTGTGCTCAGGTATCTGTGCAGACATTAGTTTTCGGTTCATCTGCACAAATACCAAGGAGCATGATTGCTGGATTGTGTGGTAAGGGGATGTTTAGTTTTGAAGGAAACCACCAAGCTGTTTTTCACAGTTTGCATATTTTGCATCCTAACAGCAATGAATGAGAGTTCCTATTGCTCCACGTCCTCACCGCATTTGCTGCTATCTGTGCCCTGGATTTGGGCCATCCTGATAGGTGTGTGGTATCCGGTAGGTGTGTCTCATTGTTGTTTTAATTTGCATTTCTCTGATGACATATGATGTGGATTATCTTTTCATCTGCTCATTTGCCATCTATATATCTTCTTTGAGGCATCTGCTCAGATCTTTGCCTTTGGCCTTTTGTTATCTCTAAAACACAGAAGGCGGTGCAGGGTGCGTTAAGAAGGCATGTCTGGGCAAGTGGGTGCCTTTGCCTCTCCCTGCTGCCCCCGCACAGGGTTTCTCCAGGCTGTCTTGTCACCCACCTCTATTTGGTTGGGGCCACATTTACCAGGGATCCCCACTATCCCAAAACTCCTCTTGAACACATTGTCTGTCCAGGAGGGGCCTGTCGAGCTGCAGTTTATGTTCTATAGGTTCAGGCAGCTGCTGCTAAAGTGACAAGGTGACTCTCTGACCTGGTTTGCTGAGATAGTCGCGGATGACACCTCTTTTCCTGGCTTAATGGTTACAACTCCCACCCCACCAAAGTGTCTCAGTTTGGACAATAACCACAGTTATTATCCTTGGGAAAGGACATTTGGGCTCTGACATCTGGCCTGGCTGAATCACCTCCTCCCTGTTGGAGGGGGTCAGGGGTCAGGGTTGCTTCCCTGGAGCTCTGGAAAGACCAGTGAAGGTGAGGGAGGTGTGACAGTAGAAACTGCTGCGAAGAGCAGACTCCTCTGTCCATGGGCAGGGACCTCAAAGGCTTTCACTTCACACCCACCTCCATCAACGTCAATGGTCACCAAGGTCCTGAAGCCTTCCTGAATTTCTTCCTGCATTTCTCCAACCAGAGCAATTCTCTTTCTTTGAGTCCTCAAGTCCACACTGAGCTTCTTTCTCCTCCCTTAGTACATTCCTTCTCCTGAGAGACAGGTTAACATGCAGCAGCTCTGTGACCTTGGGCCTCAGTTTCCCCATCTGCAAAATGAGGAGGGTCATAGTGCCTGTCTCATAGAGTCATGAAGAGGATAAAGTGAATGAATACATGTGATGTGCTGGGAGCAGCTTCGGACACATGGAAATGTTCGCTATCATTTTAAGCACTGAATCTTAGATTGTAAGCATCTTTCCTTTAAAAGAGCAAAGTTCAAAGTTATATGTTGAGTAATGACCATATGCCAGGTGCTTTCACACCCACATCAATGCTCCAGACTCCAAGAGCTGGCGGTCATTGGATCCAGTTCATAGGGTGGAGAAGAGGAGGTTCAGAGTGGTGAACTAACGGGCCCAGGTCACACAGCAGAACAGTGAAAAGGTCATGGATGGCTTAAAATACCAGCCCTTCCTTCACCCTCCTTCAGCCTCTTTCTCTCTCTCTCTCTCTCTCTCTCACACACACACACACACACACACTCCCTTCATAAAAATCTCACAATGGCAAGTGTCTTATATGAGACACACAGAGGAGAAGATCCTGTGAAGAGGGAGGCAGAGATTGGAGAATCACAGCCACAAGTCAAGGAAGGCCGACAACCACCAGAAGCTGGAAGGGGTAAGAGCAGCTTCCCCGCGCTGTTTCTAGAGGGTGCATGGCCCTGCCAGTACCTTGATTTTGGACTTCTGGCTTCCACAGTTGTGAGATAATACACTTTCCTTGTTTTACGTCAACATTTTGTGTAATTTGTCTCGGCTGCCACAGAAAGTGAATAGAAATAGTTTTCCCTCAGCGCAACCTGGTGATGCACGTGTTCACTTTGAAAACACGTCATTTCCACCTGCAAAGGTTTTAGGTTCCTCAAAGGGACTGTGCAGAGGGATCGCTGCAAGTGAAGTCAACATTTGGCCTCATTCTGTTAGAACACCTGCAAGAGGAGGCTCAGGTGCTGACTGAACAAATCCCCTGGCTCTTGGGGTGGTCCATGCCTTTACCGAATGCCTCCTTTGTTGGGGTCATTCTGCTGGGAAGACATTCCCATTGGAAGATACTGGACCTTTCCTTTACCATGTCAGGCATGACACTCCTACGTTAAAAAACTGTCCATACCAAGGGCATGACAGGCAATTCATAGAAGAAAGCAGGATGATCAATGGCCTATGAAAGGATCCTCAGCTGTGGCTAGGCGCAGTGGCTCACCTCTGTAATCCCAGCACTTTGGGAGGCCAAGGCAAGAGGATCACTTGAGCCCAGGCGTTCGAGACTGGCATGGGAAACATGGCAAAACCCCATCTCTATAAAAACTTAGCTGGGTGTGGTGGCATGTGCCTGGAGTCCCAGCTACTCAGGAGGCTGAGGTGGGAAGATCATCTAAGCCCAGAAGGTTGAGACTGCAGTGAGCCACCATCGTACCACTGCACTCCAGCCTGGATGACAGAGTGAAACCCTGTCAAAAAAAAAAAAAAAAAAATCCTCAGCTGTTCTAGAATCAGAAGGCAAATAAAAACCACAGTGAGACACCTTTCAATTACATCAGATCACCTGAAATCAAAAGTGTTTCACAACAGCACTGGTAAACAATGTTTTTTGTTTGTTTGTTTTTTGAGATGAAGTCTTGCTCTGTTGCCCAGGCTGGAGTGCAGTGGCACCGTCATGGCTCACTGCAACCTGTGCCTCCCAGGTTCAAGCAATTCTCCTGCTGCAGCCTCCCAAGTAGCTGGGGTTACAGGTGCGCACCACCACACCTGGCTAATTTTTGTATTTTCAATAGAGACATGGTCATGTCTACATGTTGGTCAGGCTGGTCTCAAACTCCTGACCTCAAGTGATCCTCCCGCCTTGGCCTCCCAAAGTGTTGGGATTACAGATGTGAGCCAGTGAGCCCGGCCATAAACAATGTTAATAATTGTAGCTTTGTTTAGTTCGGGAAAAGGAAAGAACCCAAATGTTCACTGGAAAGAGGATAGACCTGTAAATTGAGGCACAGTTACACAATGTTAATTACCGATAAAGCTGGGCCTAACCACAGGTTGCAGGAGATATATATATCTATATAGGACACTGTGGAAGGTTGGTCAGTGTTTGAGGACTGGGGTGAGTAAGAACACACGCTTGGTTAAGGTGATTTTCACTTTTTTACTGAGGAACAGCAGACAAACAGCACAAAGTATGTAGCCAAGTTTAAGGGTAAAGTGAACGGCTTAGATTCCTTTTTTTTTTTTTTTTTCTGAGATGGAGTCTTGCTCTGTCACCCAGGCTGGAGTGCAGTGGCGCAATCTCGGCTCACTGCAACCTCCACCTCCCGGGTTCAAGCGATTCTCCTGTCTCAGCCTCCTGAATAGCTGGGATTACAGGTGCACGCAACCACATTTGGCTAATTTTTTGTATTTTAGTAGAGACGGGGTTTCACCGTGTTGCCCAGGCTGGTCTCAAACTCCTGAGCTCAGGCAATCCACCCACCTTGGCCTCCCAAAGTGTTGGGATTACAGGTGTGAGCCACCGCACCCCACTGGCTTATATTCCTTTTTACATCTTTAGTTCCTCAAACAAGCTCCATGGTCGGTGGTCTCTACAGCCTGTACAGAATGAGGAGTTTCCCAGGCTAAAGGCCGGATCTGAGGGCTCACTCACTACCTGTGTGTGTGTGTGTGTGTGTGTGTGTGTGTGTGTGAGTGTGCATGAATGCATGTGCCTGTGTGTGCATGTGTGCACACACACAGACGTTGGGGGAAGGATACACCAGCACTCACAAACCTATTATTTTTATTATTCTTTATTATATCATACTACCTATAATTGTTCACGTCTTAAAAATAAATATGAATCAAATCCATAAACATGTTAGGATTTGATAGAGTCAACAATGGGGCCAAAGGTGGGATTATATTCACAGGGCTTTTCTGTAGTATGCAACATTTCATTTCAAAAATCCGTCCCTGGGTCCTGTCAAGTTACCATCTGCCATCCCAGGTAGAAGTCAGGAACTAGAAGAACTCGCCAAGGTTTGGGAACCTTTGCAAATTGACCACTTTTGTGCTTTCTGTAACCCAGTCTCTCCTTGCAGGGATTATCAAAGCCGTTCTAAAAGTCGAAGAGTCCTGTGTATATATGTTTTGGTGGTCAGAAGAAAGAAGCGAGTGCCCAGGAGGCAGTGTGGAGTTTTCATGGATGACCTCCCAGGCTTGTCTCCTCCTGAGCCAGGGCAGGCCGCCAGATGGGCGTTCCAGCCCAGGGGAGAGCTGTGCTCAGCGGAGCCCCAGCTCCGTAGAATGTGAGTCCCTGGGCCAGGGTGGAGGGGCCCGGTTGGTGAAACCTTGCTTCTGGCCCTGAAAAAGACTTGGCAGGCTTTCCTGCCCAGTGGCTTAGGTGGCGCCTGAGGCATCTTAGGAAAATGCTGTTCAGTTCTTTAGAACCTGAGGTCTGGAGGATCTATTAACATGCTTTTCCCTGGGCTGACCTTAGGACCAGTTCGTTTACCGACATGAAGCGGCATGGCTTTCAAAATGAACAGTGGAGCCAAAGAGAGCAGGAAAGCAGAGAGACCCATGTCCACCCTGAACGCTGGTTGTAGAGGTCCCAGCTGATCACTCCTGGTCTTGACCACTTCCCTCCCCTCCCTTCAGCTGCAGCCTCTCATGCCTTTTGATTATGGTGCTGATGAAAGCGGTGGAAGCAGCTCTTCTCTCAGCATCGGCTACTCCACTTTGCAAGGCCTGCGTTTGGGTTGTGCTTTTCAAGTAAGGAGATGTTGCTACCCTGGGAATCACATCAATGTGTTCTTAATATTTAGGGCTTATTGGTACATGCCTGCTGACTCAGTGAAGGTCCTATTGGATGACAAAAACAAGCAGACCAAAAACTCAAAGGGACTGATATGGTCTGAGTGGCCACAGCTTGATCTGGGCTCATTTTAGAGGCGCTGGGCTGTGCTGCCCTGTCCCAGGCTGCTTGCTGCACACAGCTGTTGGGCGCTGGAAGAGTGGAGAGTCGAGCGGAGGTGGGTGCCGAGTTGAAAACCCACACCAGATTTCAAAGACAAAACAAAGGAAAATAACTCATGAATAGTTTTTCTATGGATTACATGTTGAAATGCTAATTTTTAGATATTTAATATATTAAGTGAAATAAAGTAATATTAAAATTGGTTTCATCTGTTTCTCTTCACTTTTAAAAAATATGGCTACTCGATTACCCATGTGGCTTGCATGTGTGGCTGACATTGTATTTAAGTTGTCTTAAGGGAATGTTACCCTATATATACTAAGGAATCCAGGCTTAAATGAACAAAAAACAAACACCCAAAAAAACAGCAACCAAACCAAACACTCTGCCCGGATGACCCAGCTGTTCCAAAGGTTCTTCTTCTTTGTCTTTTTTTGAGATGGAGTCTTGCTCTGTCACCCAGGCTGGAGTGCAGTGGCAGGATCTTGGCTCACTGCAAGCTCTGCCTCCCAGGTTCATGCCATTCTCCTGCCTCAGCCTCCCAAGTAGCTGGGACCACAGGTGCCCGCCACCACACCTGTATTTTTTTAGTAGAGATGGTGTTTCAGCATGTTAGCCAGGATGGTCTTGATCTCCAGACCTCGTGATCTGCCCATCTCGGCCTCCCAAAGTGCTGGGATTACAGGCGTGAGCCACTGCGCCCGGCCTTATTATCTTTTAACCAATGGTGGTGGGAGTGGCTGGCCTGAACAAGGGAAGCAGGAGGTGCATTGTCTATAGAGAATTTAAAATGAGAAGAAAACTAACTCAAGTTTAGCCCTCTTTTCATCACCACCACAAGCTCCGTTGTGAACAATGTCAGTCCTGAATGACGGCTCCCTGCCCAAATGGGCGGCTCTCGCAGCCCCTGCCCGGCCAGATGTGTCATGTCAGGTGACTGTGTGGTACCTTGGTGTGACTCTTGGCCTTTCTCCCGTCTGTAGAGGGGCCCTCTGGATCCAAGTGGCCATGGCTAGCTTCCTACAACCCAGCCTTCCTGACTTCTCCCAATTTCCCCTCAGCCTCCCGGCCTTGGGCTCGCTCTCCAACGTGAAGTTCTTGCCTCTGCCTTGAATCAGGACTCTGTGGCCTCACCACCACCTGCTGGCAAGCTCCTACCCTTGCCTCAGGACCCGGCCTGGCCTCTCCCCTTCGGTGAAGCCCTTAGCGTCTCGGTCAGTTGGGGCTGCAATAACAAATTACCATAGACTGAGAGGCTTCAAGATAAACACTGATGCTCACAGTTCTGGAGGCTGGAAGTCTCAGGTCAGGGGCCACATGGTCAGGCTCTGGCGACGGCCCTCTGTCAGCTTCTCATGTGTCCTCACATGGTGGAAAGAGGGCAAGAGAGCTCTCGGAGGTCACTTTTATAACGACTCCAATGTCATTTATGGGGGCTCCACCCTCATGCCTCAATTACCTCCCAAAGACCCACCTCCCAGTACAAAGCCATTACACTGCAGGGTTAAGACTTCAACATGAGACTCTGGGGGGCACAAACATTCGGTCCATAATTGCCCATCCACATGGAACGCCCCATCTGTTCATCCACTGCGCCTGCTGCACACCTTAGGGTTGCACTTTAGTATTGCGTTATAATTTTTTATCATTAAGTAGAGCCAGACTACTTGGGTACACACCCCAGATCTGGCCCTTGAGAGCTGTGTGAACTTAGGCCAATCACTTAACCTCTCTGTCCTCATATATAAAATGGGGTAAAACCTCAGTTTCCTCATATATAAAATGGGGTAATAGTACCTCCTCCACGGGGCTGCTGGGAAGATGAAATGAATTAATATCATACAGTAGCCTCTCTTGTCCATGGCTTCATTTTCCACAGTGTCAGTTAGCAGTCATCAATGATGGTTCGAAAATATGAAATGGAAATTTTCAGAAATAAGCAATTCCTAAGTTTTTCATTGCTGCCATTCTGAGCAGCATATTAGACTCTTGTTCTGTCCACTCCCTCCATTTGTCTCATCATGCCTGCATTTCACCATCTCGCTCATCGCAGGAAGGGTGAGTGCAGTACAATCAGATATTCTGAGAAAGAAAGAGGCCACATTCACATAACTGTATTACAGTATATCGTTAGAATTGTTCTATTTTGTTATTAGTTGTTAATCTCTTTCTCTGCCTAATTTATAAATTGAACTTTATCCTAGGTATGTACATTTAGGAAAAAGCAGTATTGTAGGATTTGGTACTACCTCAGTTTCAGGCATCCAGTGGGGGTCTTGGAACTTTTCTCCCATGGATAAGGGGGTGACCGTACATGGGGCTAGAATAATACCAGGAACAGTGCATGGCACGCTGAGCTCCATGGAAGGTGCTAATATTAATATTGGGGGCGATGCTGTGTCTGTCTTCCCTTGAGGGCAGGCCTGGGCTTTGCTCACTTTCCTGTACCCGGGGCCCATCACAGAGCCTGGGCAAGGGAGGTGCTTCATTGTTGTTTTCTGAGTTAATATGTTGTTTTCTGACTAAGTGATAAGAAACAGATGTTGCAGCGAGTCTGCTATGCCCTGGGGCGCCCCTTGGGACACTAGGGTTGGCTGCCACCCCGGCCCCCACCTGATCTCTGCTGGTGCCCCCAGTGTCAGGGGCCGCATCTGACGGGGAGGCTGCATTCCGACCTCTGCTTGGGGGCCACAGGCTGACATCCCCTCTGCTCCCACCGGTCCCTCACTGGCCCCCAATCGCTCCTGACCTCCAGTCCTGACCCCGCTCACCCACCACCCTGCCCACCTCCTGGGCCTGCGCTTCCTCCCACAGCCCTTCCTGGAGGGCAGGGAGGAGGAAACGCTCTTCTCAGGGATGAGGGTCCACTGGGAAGGGGGTCCCCTGGGTTCAAAAGACCTTTGTTGTCCCCACGACAGCTTTGGTGCTTCACTAAGTGTCCTGGGGCTGCAAAAAGCATAGAATTGAAAAGCTCCTAGATGAGGGTTCCCTGGAAAAACAGAACCAATAGAAAGTGTGTATCTGTATTCACAGAAATATAGTTATTCTAGGGAATTGGCTGTCGCAATTGTGGAGGCTGGCAAATCCACAGGCCTGATGTCCCAGTTAGAGTCCACAGATGGAAAGTTATTGGAGAACCAGGAAAAGCTGATGTTCCCATTCAAATGACAGCAGTCAGGTAGGAGAGGCACCCTCTTCCTCAGCCTTTTTATTCTATCTGGGCTCTCAGTTGATTGCAACCCCCTCACCTCACATTAGGGAGGGCCATCTGCTTTACTCTCTCTATTGGTTTAAATGTAAATCTCACGCAAAAACAACCTCACAGAAACACCTGGAATCATGTCTGCCTAAACATCTGGGCACCCTGTGGCCCAGTCAAGTTGACACATAAGATTGGCCATCACAGCTCCTCCCAGGTGGGTGCCAGGGAGTGATGAGGAAAGGAAGGGCCCGTGCCAATGAGAGAGACCAATAAGTGGCATTGATTTTCTGGCTCAGATCCTTAGTTGTGCCACTGCCCCCTATACAACCCTGGGCAAGCCAACTTGTCTCTTTGTGCCTGTGTCTCCATCTAGGCAGTGGGGCCAGGCCAGTGCCCACCTTGGAGGCAGCACATGCAAAGGGCCCTGAGCTGTCCCTGGCACCCTGGGTGGTGTCATTGGTAGTTTTATAGTGTGGTTGGGACCCTGGCCAGAGAAGCTGGAGAAATTTGGGGCAAGGAGAATGAGGAGTGAGCCAGGAAGGCTCCCAATTAAACTAAAAAATCACTGCCGTGGCTTTGCATCTTATTTTCTTTTATTGCATTTTAGCTTTTGGATTTAGGGCCTTTTGAAGGTGAATTTCATCAGACTGAAGAACTGTGTGAAAACCTGCTTTTTCTGGACTAAATACACACAGGCGGGTCAGATACCCAGGACGCCCAGAGCCCTCCCTCTACAAGGCATGGGCGTTCCTCCTGCCCTCCACCTTCCAGATGCCAGGGTCTTCAGGGTCCTGCATTCATGCAGGGACGCTGAGTCCAATTCAACTACCTGCTCTCTAATCCCAGCTCTTTCTAGCGGGGCATTTTAGGTGATTCATGCTGCAGCCTGCACGAATCAAAGCTAAAAATAGGCACATTTTCATGGCAAGAGAAAACAGAGTCCTTAGAAAACACGACTCCCGGAAAAACCAAATCAGTAATCCAGACTCGGCGGCCCTGGGCGGATGACCAGTCATGGGTTCAATTTGTATTTCCTGAGCACCTACTGTATACAGGGTGCTGGGGGTGGGGCCCTTTTCTCTCTTCTCATGGATCAGAAGGAAGGAATTTCCCCTCCTTTGTCACCCCAGGAGAGGAGCGCCTTCTCATCTGAAGTTTGAACTTGACATTCACGGTCCATCGTTCACCTGTGGGCACAGTGCTCCTGCCCCTCCCACTCCTGGCTCCATGCTCACGATCCTGGAGGCATCCTCCTGGAGGATGCTCATTCCACAGATGTGCCCAGATAATGTAAGATGCATAGACTTCGTTGGCCTAAAGAAAATGTCTTCCAATTAAGCTGTCTTCCTGCTAGCATTGTCTCTTCAGAGACACCCCATGGGGTCTGGGGGGCAGAGAGCTGGGGACGGCATTGGTGTAGGGCAGGGGTAACTGGCTGGGGTGGAAAGCCTGCTCCCCCAGTCCTCAGATGTGTGAATGGCAGCAGGGTCACCTAAGCTCCTTGAGTCTGCCTTCCCTCCTCTGTAAAATGGGATAATAGTTGTGGAGCCCATGGGCTTGCAGTGAGGAGCCCGCAGATGTCAGATGCTGTGGCTGTCCTCGTCATCATCATTATTAGGACTGCTATTATGATGGCCCCACCAATGGCGGTCTGTGCATTAGCCATCTGAGGGGTGTCCAAAGGCCACGGACTATCCCCACATCTGCATACATCCTTGTGGTACTTTCTCTTTTTTAAGGTTCTTAAGAATGCATGCAATTTTTTTTTTTTTTTTGCAGGTGAATCTGGGATGGGACCTTATTACTCCCCTTACACCACCAGTAAAAATTGGCACACCTGATGAACTCATCGCTACCCACTGCTAGATGCCAGAGCAGGGGATGGAGGAATGAGCAAGTAGCACCTGGAGTCTGATGGGGGGCAGCAGGAAAGGTAGGGGTTGGGAATGCCGAAGAAGGAAGGGTCACCTTAAGGAAGCTGGTGCTGGGGGCAGACTTCACCAACAGGAGAATGGCTGAGGCATGGCCACAAGCCACCCTTTCTCTAGTGCAGTGCTTTTCTGACTCTCGAGCACATGCGTGGCTGCTGCAGGTTTGTTAGAACCCAGCTGGCTGGTCCCCACCCGAGAGCTTCTCATTTGGCAGATCTGGGATGGGGCCGAAGACTGCATGTCTGGCAAGTTCCCAAGCGATGCAAACATGGCTGCTCTCAAGAATGAGCTTTGAGAACCACTGTTTAAACCCATAATCTTCAAGTGTTTCAAAGCCAGGGATTGGTCAAATGAAATATTTTGGAGGCAAAAATAAAGCAATGAGGCCGGGAGTGGCGGCTCACACCTGTAATCCCAGCACTTTGGGAGGCCAAGGCGGGCGGATCACTTGGGGTCAGGAGTTCGGGACAAGCCCATGCAACATGGTGAAACCCCATCTCTACTAAAAATAGAAAAAGTAGCTGGGAGTGGTGGTGTGTGCCTGTAGTCCCAGCTACTTGGGAGGCTGAGGCAGGAGAATCGCTTGAACCCGGGAGGTGGAGGTTGCAGTGAGCTGAGATCGTGCCACTGCACTCCAGCCTGGGCGACAGAGCAAGACTCCGTCTCAAACAAACAAACAAAAACAAACCAAACAATAATAAAGCAACAAACAAGGTGATGGTACAGGGCTTGGCAGTGCCAGACACTTCCTAAGGCACAATTCCAAACCAAATGGAAATTCTGAAGTTCCCCCTTGGCTTTAGACCAGGCATCAGACAGCAGTGAGTCCAGGCCTTGTGTTGTGCATCTTAAAAGAACTGGTTCCAACCACATAGTATTCAGGATTGGGTGTCCCAGCAATCTGTGTTTCAGTGAACCCAGATGCTTCTGAGTGTGTGAAGGCTTGAGAGGCACTGGCATATATCACTTATAGTGGCTTCAGTTACCTGCTGATGCCCATACCTGCAGCTGTATCTCACCCTAGGTGGCAGCCTCAGGTCTCCTGAGCTCACAGCCAGCTCCACCTGCACCTGCCTTTCCCAGGCTACTGAGAACTTACATCTGAACATATAGCTGAGCTCAGATCCTTCTCCCCAGCCTCTCTTCTTCCTGGGCTCCCTAACCCGAGAAGAGCATGGTCATGTACTAATTGCTCACTATGTGCCTTGCACTGATAGGCGCTCCATATACATTAACTCCAAACCAAGGTAGATATTAGAATTCTCATTCTATAAATAAGGCTTTCAAGTCTCCAAGAAGTGAAGCACCTTGTCCAAGGTCACCTAGCCAGCAAAGATTTAAACCCAGGCCTGGGGCCTGCAGCACAGTCCTTTGACTCTACCACGCTACCTGGCATCATGCACCCAGCAGACCCAGCAGACAGAGCCAGAAACTCACTCACCATCCAGGACCTGGATTTATTGCATTTGATATTCACACCTTTTTACAGAGAGGATCTACAGATTTCATCAGCTGTGAACAACAACAAAAAGAGTACGTAGGAATTCCAAAATCCTGTAATAACAATGAAAATCACGGTAAGAGTAATATTTTGGAAGACTGTTCTCTGGTTCAAGGCCTTACACTAAGCGCCTTCCCGCCTGGCCGTGGGGAGGGACTTAGCATGTCCCAGGCAGCTCAACTTTGCAGAAAAGGAGCATCTCCCATCCCTTCCACAGGCAGCAGCTTTCTCCAGTCCATGCTTCAGAGACAGAGGCACCCTGCCGAAGTCCCTCCATTCCTGAGGGTGCAGTGACCCCATGTGGCCAATTCCAAATGTAGCCACTTGATGGACATTGGGCTGTGACTGCTATTTCTTCTTCATTTAAGCAATTCTCCAATTGCTGTCTTTTGCTGAAGTTTTGCTTTCATTCCACTGAGGAGGAGAGGCAACAGAGGCGGCTTGGAATGGGAAGGGCGGGGCTGAGCTTGCAGGGACAATGTCCACCTAGCCTGCTGGCCACAAGGACCCTCCAGCTCTGAAGGTGCGCTGAGAGCGACCCCTTCGGGCCACATTGGAGGGGCAGCAACAGGTGATCTGGATGGCTGGCCTGAAGCCTTCTAGGCCCCAACCAGGCTGCTGCATCGCAGAGAAAGGAGAGAGAGAGACAGATGAGACCAAGGAAACTCTGCACTGAGTCACCCCCAGACTCAGGAGGGGGAAATGGGGGGCTGTCATGTGAGAGCTGGGAGGGCCCATGGGGTTATCAAAGTCATGGCCACATTTTATAAAGACAGCGAGGGCCAGAGTGTGACAAGGTCTCTCCTTAAAGCCGCCCACTAATATGTGTGAGCCGGTGAGGAACTGCATGTGGCTGCTACCAACATATGCCGAGTCACAGGGGCTTCAGCTAGGTAGGGGTGTCTTTCTCTTATGTAATCTGAAATTTCTCAGAAGCAGGTGGTCCAGGGCTGCTAGGGAGGCCCCACGATGTCATGAGAGACCCCAACTCTGTCTTCTGCTTCACCAGTCCTAAAACATGGCATTTCTCCACAAGCCTACATCATGGTCACGACATCTGCTTCAGCTCCCCTCTCACTCCTGAGTCCCAGGCAGGGAAAAGAAAGAAGAGGGAAAGCTCAGAGGCTGACTGTCAGAAGCATAAGCTTCCCCTTCAATAGCATTTCCTGAGGTTTCACCCAATAACTTCCTTTTATCGTATTGGCCATTGGAACTGTAGTTTGTAAGCTGAGCGTATTCCTAGAAGGAAGGAGAGAATGAAGATATAGATTACTAGAGGCCTCACCCATCTCCACTCGGGATAATAACAGCTACCATTTCTTTGGAGCTTACTATGTTTACATGAATTTATCTATCCTCAGAATAACCCTGGCAGATGAGTTTGTTATCCCATTTCACAGGTGAGGAAAGTGAAGTTTAGTGAGCTTAGGTTAACTGAACCACACCTAGTGAGGGCTGGGGACAAAATCTGAAACTAGATATGACTCAAATCCTACAGTCTTCACCTTACAGCACCTAACAAAGGGGCAGAGACACAGGACTCAGGCTTCCAAAGCTATGTTACAAAGCCACTCTCCCTTGGCGTGGTAACCACTGATACTTCCCTGTAAATGGAGGAAGCAGCATGAAAACAGGCTTTTTGAGGAAGGAGCTGCGGCCGCTGTCACCATTGTTGGGAAGGACAGAGCACTATACTCGGTTTGTATCTAGTAAGCAAGTTTGCCCAAGAGTTCATTTCCCCAGACTCTTAATCCATTCTCTGACCTGCTGTCACTCTTACAGACTCCAGGAGAAACCTTCCACATATCTGTGAAACTAGGTGATTTTGGTTTCACCATGATCAGTAAAAGATAATCAGTTCATCCTCTTTTACTATTTATACAGCTGTGTCCAGGATTTTGTAAAAAATCTTTTAAATGTACAATAAAGGTAAATCCTTTGGCTTTGTGAAAAGGTCCTTGGCTTCATAAAAGGACTCATTCCAGGGCTCCTTTAAGTGAAGGTCTCCAATATCTTTAAATATAAAATATTTTAAAGTAATAGCCACTCAAGAAAGAGGCCTGAGCACAGAGAAACTTAAAGCTAGAGTGTGTGACACAGCGCCACCTGAAGATCAAGCGGAGATGAAGAAGGGTAGCTATGTAGGTCAGCGGGGAAATGGAGCTGGTTGACAACAGGATCTTCCAACTGGCCTCTTTGACAGAGGGACGTCCAACTCTGCCTAGGGCATGTGACAGTGGAGAGACATCTAGGGTGGTCCTGCTTCACAATGATATGGCCTATGGTTTGTCGTCTTGAAGCCATTCGTCCTGGGTTCTCAGCGAAGCCTTGTCAACGTCGCTGATGTATCCCAAATCTTTGGAAAGCAGGGAAATCCTGCTCGCAGCTCATACCCGGGCTCTCCAGTCCCCTGCAGTACTGGAGGATGTCCAGCAGGTGGCGCAAAAGACAAGGGCTCGCCTTACCCATCTCTTGTCCTTATGAAGGAAATTTGACCAAAATGACAGCCCCCTCCTTCCTTCCCCTCCCTCCTTTCCTTCCTTCCATCCTCTCCTTCTCTTCTGTCCCTCTCTTTCTTCTTTATTCATTGAATCATCAAGTATCCATGAAAGACTACAAGCAGAGCTCTGTGCAAGATAATGGGGGGATGAATTAGGACAGGGTCCTTTGCCTTTGAGGAACCTGGAGTATAATAAAAAAGTAAAATAATAAACAACCGAAATACAAGAGGTGGCACAGGCTTCTGAGGGAGCAGTGTCACTCTTGAGCTGTATCATCGCAGCCTGCAGGTTCTGGAGTCAGACCAACCTGTCTTGTCTGTCTTCTGGTCCCGATTCCACACTTGCTGCAACCTTGTGCAAGCGCCTTAATGCCTCAAAGCCTCCGTTTCCTTATCTGTAAAATGAGGATAACAATAGATTGTCCTATGACATGTTCATAAGGTTGGCATAAGGAGTTAACATACCTAAAACATTTAGCACATTTTTAAAAAAACCAAAACGTTATTTAAAACATATAACTCATTCGTTCTTGCATGCATTCATTTATTCTATAGGCATTTGCATGACAACCATGTGAAGAAGGCTGTCCTTGTTATTATAGGAGGTACAAAGTAAATAGAAGGAATACTTCTCAGTGTGGGGATTTGCAGTCAGGGTGAATATTTCTTCAACATCTTCTTGAACACTTTTCTCTGTGACAGTCAAAATCAGCCTGGACTGAAAAGAGAAGAAAGCAGCCTAGCTGTTAATCCCGCTGGGAGGACACACTCTGATAAAGCCAGCTGCAGCATCCGCCGAAAATGCCATTTCTCCCGGGGTCAACCTATAGCTGGAAAATGCCAGGATGATCTCCCTTGAGTGAGCACTGCTTCCTCACCAATCGTGCCCTAGAGCCGCTTTGCTGCACCCCTCTTTTGCTACGAATCCCCAAATGCTGAGCCCTCCTTGCTCTTGCTGGCACCCAAACAGTAGTCAATCCTGCTGTTCCTGAGACTGTCTTGGAAACAGCAGCCAGCACAGGATGGATCCCACTTCCTCAGACCCTCATCAGAGTCTCCAGGGAGAGCCCAGACCTTCTAGAAGGGGCTTCCCTCCCCCTCCCCCACCAAGTGTGCAGCACTCCCAGATTCTAAAGTCATGTCAGTCAGTGGCATTTTTCGGACCGAGGGGTGCATGGTGGTCTTCGGCAGATGGAAACTCACTTTTGCGAGCTCCCTGATAGCGGGGTGCAGGCCTCCACCTCCTCAGAGGCCCGCATGAGAAATCTTGGCAGGGAGGGAGGCAAGGGAGGAACGGGGCTCAGCTGGAATCCTGACTTCAGCAAAGGCGATGGAGGAAAGTTAAGGGCAGTGGCTGCAGTTATGTGAATCAGATGCAGCCCCAGCAGAGCTTCTGGTGCCCAGGCTGGAGCACCCCCAAGTGCCCCTTGAGCTATGAGCATCCAGCGAGACACTGGGCGTGCACAGCCTTATGGTGGGCTGTGGCATCGAACCACTGAATGAGAGAAGGTCTCTAGTAGAATCCGCCCTTCCTTCCTCCCCTCCCTCCTGCCTCCATCTTTCCCTTCCTTCTTCCCTCCCTCCTTCCTTCCACAAGCATCTTTGTGCAGGAACTGTGTTGAGTGTTGGGGGCACAGATGCCTCTGGCCAGTCCCCACATCCCCAGGCTTCTGAAGATTTCATCATGACACAGTGACAGTGGAGGGACAATCTCCCAGGTGGGGCGGCATCTGGGGGCAGGTGGCACCTGTGCACCCTTGAGCATGGGTTTGAGGGCACCCTACCGTTCCATTTTTGGGGTCTGGGCCAACATGCAGATCTGAGCCTCTGCAGGCCTGTGAGGCTGGTTCCGCTCAGCTGGCACCTTGGTTATCTGCTGAGCAGTAGCGACTGCTCTTTCAGGCCACAGTGTGTGCCACCAGGCCCATGTTAGGGATCTTAGGTCTCAGGGGTGTGTGGAATACCACGCCCCTCACTCTCCCTGGGTATGGAAGGGTGTGAGACACAGCACACTCTCCTCCCTAGCCAGACTGCAGGGATCTCCACCTCCTCCCCTAGAAATAAGGGTACTGTATGCATAGTGCTAGGAGTCAGAGCCCCCACCTCAGGACTGGGAGGAGGAAGAAAAAGGGCCCTGGGGCATGGAGAAATGTCTGACTCTCATCTCCCAACACACACACCCACCCTTCTCCTTCTCCCCAGCCCTAAGCCCTCCCTCCCCACAGGGAGTGTCAGCTGGGTGCAGGTGCTCGCTTCACGCATGCTGTGCTGAATCTTCTGGACGCTCCCACACTGCCTGGCCTGACTCCACCCTTCGGAGGCCATGCGCTCTGTGAAAGGGCATTGGCGGCAGTTGTGTGAATCAGAAGCAGTGGTCCTGCCTGAGACCGTGGTCCGGCCAGAGGCAGGGATCCAGGAGGCCTGGGGCCTAGCATAGGCCCAGGTTAGTCTGTGACCTTAGCAGTTCACTCCCTTACTTTGAGTTTGAGTGAGGGGTTGGGTCGCTGTGTCCCCAGGGAAAAATTTCCCTTTGGAAACCCAGACATTTCAACCTGCAGAGCTCAGAATTCAGGGCATGGGAAGCACAGATGCTCCAAGTTGGCTTCTGGGAGCTGGAGTCAGCACATCTTGGTTTCCAGACCTGAGGGCTTTCTACTGGGGACAAAGTGTCATGTAAAAGTGCTTGATCCCAAGTGCCTCCTGCATCCTGGAGGACAGCATCCCATTCTTGTCAGGTAGTGCCTGTGAGCTGGCACTAGGCCTTTAACAGCCATGCCAATTTCCTATAAGATCAGAAGCTCCTGTCTAGTTCAGTAGGTGACAGGCATCCACCATCACAGCCCATGCTGCGTCCTTCACAATGGAGGTGCTGTCCACTGCCGACAAAGCCAACACTCCATGAGCCCTGTCTTAGTGCTTCTGATGGAGGCCTTCTGGTTGGGAGAGAAATCTGTACTCAGAGTAGCAGTCTATTTAGATTTCAGAATGAGTCAGTGGCCCTTCGGCTTTCTATCAAGTTCAGTATTTGTCTCCATTACTGGCAGACTGGACACTTGGTGGAAGCAGTAGCTACATTATCTTTGGTAAGTAGAAGGCTGTGCCATTGGGCTCACTCATAGCCTCCATCCCTGCCACCATTGTGCCAGCACTGGGGGGCCAATGACACAGGCTGGCCCATGTTACCTGACTGAGTCATTTCGCCTACTTGGCTGCTAGGAGCGTCTTCTGTGGTGGATGCTCTCCAGTGAGCACTATCATGTAATAAGACTGTCATCACGCTCTCCGCCTGCCACTCCCATGTGCCTACCCGCATGCCTCTACCGGACCTCCCTGCCCCAGATCTTGCAGCCTTTGTCTTTCCAGGCTCCTGAAGCCAGACAAGCCATTTGGCACTGCCCACGAGTCCATGTATATTCTAACTCTGGCCTAGTTTTCCTTCCACACAAAGTGGATGACCAGGTACTCTGCCCCAAATTCTGCCCATTGGGAGCTTTCTCCATCGCTACTGTCTTTCGAGGCCACCCTTGATCAAGGCTGTATGCAGCTGCCATCTATGTGCAGCTCACACAAACACGTCAAGCCCACTTGAGCATGAACTGAGCTTGGATGTTTTCTTCCTCCTTTGGTTATACAGAATTCCCCACATAGCCATGGGTATGAACTGGTAAGATGCAGTGGTACACACATGGTGGATGACAGAGGTCTGAGCTATGTTTGTGTAGTGTGCCCTGGTCCTGCTCGTGTGTGACTGTAGGGATACCACTTTCATCTTAAGATGGATTTTTGCTGACCCGCCTCATCTTATATGATGGTTCTGCCCAACCCTAACTCATTGGGGCAGCTGTGGCTGCATGTCCACTTTCTGCCATGGCCAAGGGCTCTGTCTCCACCAGGACCCAGCAGCATGCTGGCAGTCTTGTGATTCTCCTATTATAATTTGCAATAAATTCCACACAGCTCCTTTCTTCTGTTGTATTATTTTGCTAGGGTTGCTATAATAAAGTACCACAATTGAAAGCCTTAAACAACTGCAATTTATTTTCTTGCAGTTGTGAAGGCTAGAAGTCAGGATCAAGGTGTCAGCAGGGTTCGTCCCCTCTAAGGGATGAGAGGGAAGTGTGTGCTCCAGGCCTCTCTCCTGGGCTTGCAGATGACTATCTTTCCCCTGTGTCTTTACATGAGCTTCCTCCCTGGATGTAGTTGTGTCCAAATTTTCTCTTATATGGACACCAGTCATATTGGATTAGGGCCTACCCTAATGACCTCATTTTACCTTTATTAACTCTTCTGCAGTGACCCTGTTTGGGTCACATTCTAAGGTACTTGGATTTAGGACTTCAACATATGAATTTCTGTGGCAGGGGGATGTCAGCTGACACAATTCAGCCCATAATACCCTCCAGTGATCCTCTTCATGTCTTAGTCGGCCAGGTGATGTGCCCAAGTGTCAGTGCCCCACGGACCACAGCCTGGGCCCCGTGCAGAGCTCTTTCCTGCTCTTGGCCCTCCCCAAAGCAGGCAGCTTTTCATTTCACCCAGGACACAGGTCTGAGCAACACTCCCAGATGTGTCATATGCTGCCTCCAAAACCCAAAGAAGTTTACAAGGTACTGTGCTTCTTTCTTCATGGTAGGAGGTGCAAGATGCAGTGATTTGTCCTGAATGCCCCTCATCCCTGCCTCCCTAGAAATTTCGTTGATGTGGCAAAGTCCCTGAATCATTGTAAGGTTTATCTCCAATCCTCTGGCATGCATGTGTTTTACCCAGGCCTCTGATGTGCTAGCCACTTCTTGCTCATCCAGTTTGAGTGGCCTCAGTGATGTAATAGATTGTGACTTGATGCTCTACAAATCTTCTAGATGGTCCAGATCTCTTCCTACTTTAATTATGACAGAGGGCAGGCAGGTCAACATTAGCCCTGAGGCAAAACTATAAATGTACACATTGTTTCATGCGAAAGTAAAGTGCCTCTTTCCTGATAGAAAATGCACTTGGAAAATCAATGTGTGTACACCATTTGCTACAGTCTAAGTGACTATGTCCTGGCAAAGATATAAAAATATATCTGGCACGGCAGATGGCAATCAGTGCTAATCCTCAGTTGAGTTTAGAAGAGTCTACTCTCATTTTCTAAGGTCAACCAGGAGTTTTCAATGGCAAGACTTGTAAGTTAAATAGATAAATCATGGGCTACAACCTCACATCCTCTAGATGTTTAACAGTGATGCTAAATTCTGCCACCCCTCCTGGGACATGATATTGTTGTTATTTACTGGAGTGGCTGAGGGGAAGAGGAAACAGTTTTGGAGGCTTCCACTTCCCTTCTTCACTGTAATAGCTCTTACCTCTCAGGCCAAGAATACTCTAAAATGTGTCCATTCTGATAATATATTTAAGTACCAGAAAAATGACCCACTGTGACCCAAATCCTGGCTGAGGCTGCATTTATTACCTGGTCCCCATGTACCCACTCTAATAGGGGTGTCACGATGATGTTTCATGTCCCTGGAAGCGGTGTGGACTTGGACCCCCAGAGTCCTTGAAATCCACCATCTCCCCTTCCCCCCAGTGTACTGTTATCTGGGAGAACGGGTGATGGCACCTCTGGAGGAGGACTGGGGAACCCGGCCATGATATCGCAGGCCCTTCCACCTGGTTCTCTTCCTCAGTCAATGGCTTCTGGGTCTGAAAGCAGCTCAGACATGGAAACCAGTCCAAGGGAATGTGAATTTTGATTAGGACCAGACCCCTTTGCCTCCTCACCATCACTCCTGATTGCTTTTAGTGGGGCTGAGCGGCTCCCTGCTGGCCGTCTATTTTGCCCCGAGGGATGCACTGCTTTAATAACCACCTCTGTACCTATGAGCCAACAGCAGCCCTCCCTCCACTCCCCAAACACAGTACCTCATCACAGTCATCGTGCTCACCTGGCTTCTGGTGTTTCCACGTGGCCTCTGTTGTTTTGGAATTATACCATCCTGATTGCCATGAGGGAGCCGAGTTCTGTAGCAGCCTCTCCTATCATCAGCTCTGGCTTGGACTTCAGTGTGGCTGGTGTCCCTTTCACCAGGATAATCTCCCATCTCCCGGGCTCCATGTTAGTGTGCTAAATCCTGAATCCTAGGACAGCACTCCCAGATTGGCCAGCTCTCCTTTATTCAATGCTGTATACCAGTCCCCTGGATAAAACACCCTCAGGTTCCCACCCAGTGTACAGTTTCCTGGCTTCTGCTGGTCCATGCTGGCTAAGGTCTTACAGCTCCTGGGGAATATAGTGCTTCCCTCCCCCAACATCAGGCTCAGAACATCCCAGTGGGTTTTACTGATATTTCACCCTAGTTACAGGCTAAGTAACCAGGAGGGAAGGTGAGGGTAGATTCCGAGAGGCACGTGGCATCGGCCCCTGCAAGAAGAAGCTTTCATACCATCATCTCCAAGCTACTTCTATAGGTTCAGGGGAATCTGGATATTCCGATTCTTCCACTGGTTTCAGCTGGTGATTAACTATTCATATATTTTATCTTTTTCCAGAGCATTGGCCAATTTTAGCGATAGCTACCTAATTCCATTGTCCTTATAGTTATGATTTACTCCATATTTCTCAAAGGGCTGATAGATTGCAGGAGCTAGTACACCATCCCAGTTCACGACCAGTGAACGTTTTTGTAGGGAAAAGAAAGAGAGATCAGACTGTTACTGTGTCTATATAGAAAAGGAAGACATAAGAAACTCCATTTTGACCTGTACCCTGAACAATTGCTTTGCCCTGAGATGCTGTTAATCTGTAACTTTAGCCCCAACCTTGAGCTCACAGAAACATGTGTTGTATGGAACCAAGGTTTAAGAGATCTAGGGCTGTGCAGGATGTGCTTTGCTAACAAAATGTTTACAAGCAGCATACTTGAATGTTTACAGGCAGCATACTTGAATGTTTACAGGCAGCATGCTTGATAAAAGTCACCACCATTCTCCATTCTCAGTAACCAGGGGCACAATGCACTGCGGAAGGCCACAGGGACCTCTGCCCTGGAAAGCCGGGTATTGCCCAAGGTTTCTCCCCATGTGATAGCCTGATATACGGCCTCGTGGGATGGGAAAGACCTGACCATCCCCACAGCCCGACACCCATGAAGGGTCTGTGCTGAAGAGGATTAGTAAAAGAGGAAGGCCTCTTGCAGCTGAGATAAGAGGAAAACCTCTGTCTCCTGCCTGTCCCTGGGAACAGAATATCTCGGTATAAAACCCGATTGTACATTTGTTCTATTCTGAGATAGGAGAAAAACTGCCTTGTGGCAGGAGGTGAGACATATTGGCAGCAACGCTGCTCTGTTACTCTTTACTCCACTGAGATATTTGGGTGGAGAAAAGCATAAATCTGGCCTATGTGCACGTCCAGGCATAGTACCTTCCCTTGAACTTATTTGTGACACAGAATCCTTTGCTCACATGTTTTCTTGCTGACCTTCTCCCCACTATCACCCTGCTCTCCTGCCGCATTCCCCTTGTGGAGATAGTGAAAACAGTAATCAATAAATACTGAGGGAACTCAGAGACTGGTGCCGGTGCAGGTCCTCTGTATGCTGAGTGCCGGTCTCCTGGGCCCACTTGTCTTTCTCTATACTTTGTCTCGTCTTTTTTCTGTCTCTCGTCCCACCTGACAAGAAATACTCACAGGTGTAGAGGGGCTGGCCCCCTTCACGTTTTAAAAATTGGACTGTCACTTCATGATGGGGCTGTGTTCCACCTACCACCAGTGATAGGGGTTCTTATTGCTAGAAAAGTGGTGAGTGATCCAGCTCCAACCCCCACTCCTGGTACTAACTAACCATTGCAGGCTGGCTCTAGGGAAGCAGATCTGAGACAAGGACTTAGCAGGCAAGGTGCTTATTAAGGAGTGTTCTTGGGACTCATGCCTAAGGAAGGAAGTGGCTGTGGGCAAAGGGAGAAGTCCAGCTGTCCTGCAGGTGCAGTGACAGTATCAGTTGAACGCAGAGCTCAGAGCAACCTGGCCCTTCAGAGTTGTCCCATGTGTGGCTGAGGTGGCTAGGCCTTTATGCAACGACTTTGATCAGTCACAGAATGTTAACTTTCCCAAAAAGGGAGAGCCTTTGGGTAAGGTGGCCCTGTGAAGGGGCAGGCAGCCAAAAGCCACCACCAGTAGAGCTCCCCGCAGCGGCAGCAACCAGTCTCTCACTGAAGGGGAGGTGGGCCATGGACCACGGGTGCCCACCACAGAGAAATATGTTGGATCAGTAAAAAATAAACCTTTGCCACGGAGAGCACTGAGATGTGGGGGATGCTTCTTACCACAGCATCATGTAGCCCATCCTGACTGAAACACCTGACTTCATGTGGAAAGGAAGGAAAAGATCTCAAGAACATAAAGAGGAACCTGTCCAGAAGCATACGCCTGTTCATTTTTAAACATATTGATTCAATAGTCATTCCAAGCATATTCAGGTGGGTGAGTGAGGTGGACAGTTTTGTTTATAATAAACCTTGGTTAGTTTTCACCAAATCCACTGGCTCAGGCCCCAGTCAGTGGACACAGTCACTGGGCCTGGAGGGAGGCCCAGCTGGGGACACAGAGGTGGGCCACGGGGCCGGGAGGGGGCAGCTTTCTGGAGGAAAAGCCAAATGTTAAAATCAAATTAAATAAAAAATTTAGTTTCTCAGCCACACTAACCACATCGTCAGTGCTCAAAAGTGACATGTGGCTGGTGGCTACCATACTGTACAGCACAAATACAGAGCATGTCTAAGTACTCATTTTCCTTATGACTCCGAGCTTTATTTCCAACAATGTCCGTCATCACAGAAAGTTTCATCCAACAGTGCTGAAGGAGTTAAGATTAGTCACTGCATGAGGAAGCGGGAAAATGCCTGATCCTTACAACTCACATATAAAAGACTTCATCAGAGGTTTTCCCAGATTTGACAACCATCCTATTTAAATGACATTACCAATAATGACTTGTGAAAACTGAAACTTTTAGTCTATGATTTTTGCCCCATATCCATGTTAGAGGAAGAACTTAAATATCATTCTCTCTTTAGTAACCAACACAAGATTGTCCTAAGAAGAAAAAGATGATCAAAGAGTATGCAGGGTTAGGTGCAGTGGCTTATGCCTGCAATCTCACACTTTGGGAGGCCAAGGTGGGAGAACTGCTTGAGCCCAGGAATTTGAGACCAGCTTGGGCAACACAGCTAGACCTCGTCTCCATAGAAAGTAAAAAAATTAGCCGGGTATAGCGGCATGCACCTGTGGTCCCAGCTACTCAGAAGGTTGAGGCAGGACAATCCTTTGAACCCAAGAGGTTGAGGCTGCAGTGAGCTATGCTTGTACCACTGCCCTCCAGCCTGGATGACACAGCAAGACCATGTCCCCCAAGAAGAAAATAAATAAATAAATAAACAAACAAACTAACCAGAGTATGTAGGTTAAAAAAAAGAAAAAAAAAGATGGGAAAGGTATCATAAAGGTGCCAGGAAGTTAATAAAAATACTTTTCAGTATTTTGTAGAGTGTTATGCTGTTTTAAATATTGTAATTTATGCCTCTAAAAATTCCAAATAAATATATGCTTTCATAGTTAACTCAGTATTTGCAATTCATATTCCTTTTCTTAAGAAGCACTACCCCCTTCCTCCCAAATAAACAACTATACAAGCTTCAGTTCTTATTAAATCTTATCTGCCTTGGATAGAAATGATTTTTAAAAGTAATTATGGTTTTAAGCCAAAGCCATTGGCAGCCCTCTTTCCTTTTTTTTCCTACTAAAATTAAATTGGAATCGTTCCACATCTGCACTGTGTTGAATACTGTTCCTCTAAAATTCATGTCCACTAGAACCTGTGGATATAACCTTATTTGGAAATACAGTCTTTGCAGATGTAATCAAGTTAAGATGAGGTCATCCTGGATTAGGGTGGAAGTTAAATCTAATGACTGGTGTCCTTATATAAGGAAAGGGATATCTGGACACAGACACACAGAGGGAAGAAGGCCATGTGACGATGGACACGGAAACTGGAGTGATGCAGCCGCTGGCCGAGGAAGGCCGAGGTCGGCCAGCAGCCACACCAGCTGGAGGAGATGAAGGAGGAGTTTTCCTGGGGCCTTCAGAGAAAGCCCGGCCCTACTGGCACCTTGGCTTTGGATTTCTAATGTCCAGAAATGTGAGCGAAGAAAACTGATTTATTGTGAAAAGCCGTCAGTCTGTGGTGATGTGTTAGTACATCCCTACGACACAAACACAAAGGCCTAGGCACTGATTTGATCTAATTTCTCATCAGTCTAGCCTATTACTTAGGTGTGATTATTTATTAAAGAACATTTACAACACTGTAAGTTTTATTCAGTTCAAATATCACATATTAGATATACAATACCAATTAATTGAAATGAACAGTACAAGAATACATGAAGTAAATATCATAACATTTAAGTTTCGTCTCACTTAGGCAACAAGAAATGCTGAGTAGTATTATTACATATTCAAACCAGACTTAAACTTCAGAAACAGAAGGCCAGATGAGTGACCTGTATCACAGGATATGACAACACATCACCTATCTCCAAACAAGAAAAAGCATGATTATTAAGTTTATCTACACCAGCTTATTTATTCAAATTTGCTCTTCTTATTAAACAGAAAAAAAATACACATTCAATTCCTAATTGGTAAAATCATTTCACAACTCTAAAATTAAGATGCTAATGACACCACTCTCCACTAGCATGAAAGAACAATATATGAATAGAGTACACAGCTTTCCAACCTATTAACAGGTTCTTATTTTCAGAATTGAGTGGGAAATTGTGTGTGGGGTAAACAGCATGAGAGAGAAGTCGGTCACTGGTTGAACTGTTCACAGTACAAAAAGGTGACAAAACTATGAAAGTGAAAATACTATGGTAAATAACGAAGGCCCCAATGCAATTTTTGAAAATGATCCCTGAAAAGCAAAAGGTTAGAGATACTCATGTTGCAAACTCCATCTTCATCCTTCAAAGGTCACATGCGCCAACCAGCCGAGACTCATGACAGTAAACTTCCTCAGGGTTCTCTATTATGATCAGGGCCAATCCTTCACCTCGAGGGCTGTCGTAGTACCCCGGGAGCCTCACATGACTCTCTCAGCCCCTCCCTGCTCTGAGTGACTGAGAGAACTTCCTTAGCTGCAGGGCTGCAGGCAGGTGCTTCTGCTCCTGAGCTCCTAAACACACCAAGGGGTGCTTGAAGGTCCAGGCCCGCCCCTCTCTAGAGGAAAAACCTACTCATTTGAGACTACAAACCTCTTCTAGAAGCTGTAACCTGAAATGCTAGAATGAGCTTATATTAATCATGCTTTTTTATAATGTATAATGTTTTCACATCTTGGGGACCTCACTGACTGGGGAGAGACTGCCCTTCCCAGGGCAGGCCAATTCTTAGAGATAGCAAAGGGGTCCCTTGGGAGTGCACCTTTGCACACTAACCAACTCAGAGTCCATCTCCTCGATTTGACTCTTCCACTGCAGAAGGCAGTATCCCCTCACCCTGATCACCCAGGGCCAGGCACCAGGCAGCTGGAGACCACCCCTGTAGCTACTGCCCAAGACATTCAAACCTGCCAATCCTACACTCTGCCCCCGCCCATCTTCGCCTTTGCCATGGAGACACAGTGGAAAGCTGCTCGCCTAGTTCTGCCTCCTGACCACTCTGGTGCGTCCTCCTCCTGTGGCCCTGCGTGGCCTGGTGCGCTCCTTTTCTCCAGAAATGCAAGTAACAAACTTTTCTTTCAATGACAGCAGCCTCTCCTTTATGAATTAAACGTGGGTACATTTCGATACCACGGGCACAGTGAGCAGGGTGAGTCCGTGTGTGGCACAGGGCATGCCTCGCCTCTTGGCTGCGCGTGGCTTACTAACTGGACCCCCACCCTGGGGAGCATGGCCGCTGCTGGCATGTTTGCACTTTGGCTGCACCACGTATGCTGTGTCTGCCAGTGTCTGTGACAGTCCAGCCTAAATTATAAGAGGACTGAGCTCATTCAGTCCTTGGTGCTGCAGACTAGGGTGATGTCAATCGCAGTCCCCTACACAGGACCTTCTGGGTATAATTGTATAATTGGATGCACTGGGTCCCTCTGAATTCCCTACCTGGACATACCTACTTTCTTGGCTGGTGGTCTCAGGGCAATGACGGTAGCTCCCTCCACAAGGAGCAAGGAACGGCTTTCCCTGTGAGCTTGTGTTGGATGAGAGTCTGATAACCGAGCCAGCAACGCTGAAGTCAGTGGTGGGCTGCTCACCTGAGGGGCCCTCCCCCAGCATCCAGTGAGGAATTAATCGCACTCCTGGGCAAAGGATCTGGGTGTTGGTCTCCAAAGCGCTGCAGGGATCCTCCGGCCATGCGGCCGGTGAGAGGCACCCTCCTCACAGAAATGACAGCCGCCAAAAGGTTTAAATGTTGCTTTAAGAGCCTTGCAGCTGTTGTGACTCATTCCTCAATCCGGTGGGATGCAAAGGATCTATCCATAGAGACCAGTGGCTTGAGGTTTGAGGAAAAGGGGAAGGGGTGGGACACTTTGTTCCCACTCCCCTGAGACCTGCAGAAGCCCCTGAGCTACGTGAGCCTGTAACCACCCCCCACCAGTGTGCCTGGGCACTCTGAACACCCTGCCTGTCAACATGCTGGGACCGCCTCCTTCCAACTAAATTGCCACAAAATCAGAAAAAAAGGAAAAAGCGAGAAAAAGCCTAGGTACAAGGGAAAAAACATTAAAGGTAACTAAATAGACTGTGTATTTATGCGTGTGAGTGCATATACATACACATACACACATATATACACATGCAGATAGGCTATTTTAACGCAAATATATAATAAATTGTACATGTATATGTACATATGCAGCTAAACGGAAGGTCCCTAATCTGATCCAATTAGAAATCCAACGCTTATACACTAAAAATGTATACAACAAATTATATACTAATATTACAAATAAATAAGATGTATATACTGAAACATTTAACCAAAACATAAAAGGGTGCCTATTGGCTTTTGTGTCTCCATAACTTAGGTTCTAAATTAATTGTAACATTTGCTAAAATGTACCCATTGACAAAGCTTCATAGTCTTAACACTGGGGCTCAAATTACAGTTATACCTGGAGATCCCACTAAATCTAAACATTGTACCCCTATAATCTTTTTAAAAAGGCAACTAAATATAAAATGGGGGGTGGATGGGTAAGGTATGCTTCACTTTAACTGTAGCCTGTCTAAATTTCCTGTGGTCATAGTACCCAACGCCCTAATATCCCATATTGAACACAGACACTCTAATAAAACAAATAATAAATTAAAATTAAAGTCAGTCTTTGGCAGTTATAAACTAGCTTGATAAAATGATGCCCCATGGACCTCCAGTTAAAACAGTTAATATGAGGTATTCAAGGATTAAAACTTACTAATTAATAAAGGGGTGATTATACCCTTGTTTCTCCATTGAACAGCCCAATCTTTCCTATCCTTAAACCTGGAAAAAAACAAGTGTGCCTCATGGTGGATTACTACAACCTTATTGCTGCAGTCCCATCCATTACCCAATTTCCATTATTATTAAAATTATTAATTCTACACAATAAATAACTGGCCAATATTTTGCTCTTACAGATTTGGCTAACATGTCCCATTAAGTGTCTACTTGCACAGCTTCTTGGCTGCCGTTTGCCTTCTGCCCTGAGGGGCACATACACCTTTGCAGGCCACCCACAGGGAGCTCCACGGCTTTGCCATGGCACACAATGTCTGCAGACAGGGTCTTCACCACATCCGCCTTCTCCAGGAGCACAAATGAGGAAACTCATTGTCACACTCATTAAGGACATACAAGTCCAACATCTTTAGATACTTTCGAGGTTCTGATGGCAATGTAGTCCTCATTTACAAATTTTACTTAATCTTCTTGCTGCTGCTTACAAATCAGCTTGCTTTAAATGGGGCACCCTCCATAAACAACCTCTATAATCAAACCTTAAAATCCATGGGCACTCCTGTTGGTGCCCTCAGAGACCCCTTCATTATAGAAGCTCTGGCAAGCTCTATGCAGCCCTGGAGTCTCTGGCCCACTTAGGATGGACATAAGGTGCCTAAGGGCTTTGGATGCAAGAAACTATCCCTCTCAGCCTCATGCTACCCTATTAAAGCAGTAAATGGCTGGATGCCTACTGGGCTCTCCTGGACACAGAGGCTCTCAAAGACCTAAGCCTAGGACCCCAATCTCCAACTGTCCATTATAAACACCTGACAAGCTCAGCAAAACTACCGATGCCTCCTTAACACAGGACAGAGTCAAGCCTGGGCCCTCTGGTGTATTCTACCCACAGGAGGGTGGTCTCCCATGTCCTCAGTCCCTTGTGAGGTCATCCTCCCGCAGACCCCTTGGTGTCCCTTAGATTAACTGAGTGAACAGCAGTGGGAGTTCACAGAGGGTACAGATGGCATTGCCAACCCTCATATAAATGATGGAGCCCAAGAGAATGTTGCTGCTTCCCATCTTTTAGCCAGCATGCCCTGATACGAAACGGAACCCAAAAAACAACGCATGTGGCCAAAGTTAGGCAGTCGTCTTAACGCTGGATGCCCTGGTCAGCACAGCGCCCCAGCTTCACATTTATGGCCAACTGTTGGACCACTGCCCAAGAGTTGCCCCCTTCAGGATGAAAAACTCTGGGACTCTTCCTCACAGATACCCCAAATCCAAATCTAAATCACATCTCTCCACAGGTGCTACAGCTGGGATTCCAGGTCTTGCCAGGACACTCCTTCATCTCTTCAGAGTGGCAGGCATCACTGGAAGTCACTGAGACACACATGCCACTTCTCGGAATCCACAATGCTGGGCTCTGGGAAAAGGCATTCGCTACAACTTCCACAGCCCTGATAGGTTCCACACAATCGGTTTCACGAAGACACACAATGGTCTCCTCAAACAACTCCATTTCAAATTCTGGTCTGCAAACAGACCCCGAAATGGGCCTCTATCTTGCACCACAAACCTGAATCTCTCTTAATTTAGGGCCTTTCGGTTGACTCACACCTCACACAAACTTTAAAAAACATTACCATAGTCCCCTTTAAACATAAAAAGAGGGCTATGTCTTGCATTCTTGTATATAAAAGCTCATTACATATTGGGGCCTTCCATAATGTTTCCCCCTATTCCTATAAATCTTGCATCTTATCCCCACCCCATCAGGGCTGGAGCCCAGAGAGAGAACACATTCTCTCCTGGACCCACTAACCCCAGGGCTCCCACAGGCCGTGCAGCTGCTCATCCGATACGGGACCCACTTGAGCCTAAACTTCCACCAAAAAGCAAGAACCAAAACCCTATCAAGCACAGCTGCACACATTCTGGGGTCTATTGATCTTGTCACCACTGATGTGGGGGCTTTCGCTGGTTTATGATCCAGAGACCCAGACCCTCCAGGTAAGCCACTGTTTCAACCAAACGCGGCAAATGCTGGGACCCACATCAGCACGAGTGGGGGTCCGCTTAGAAAGGAGACCCCACGTCTCACATCCCAGAAGACATTGCCCAGCCCAGCAGCTCACGGCTGAAGATGACATGGTCCCAGCCACGACCTCGCCGTGGGAGATAACTTTGTCCCAGATATTAAAACCTCTGCCCTAGCGATGTCCACGGGCTACCTCTCCTGAGGCACAAAGTGGGCACATGACATGTTTGCTGTTCTTCCTTTTAATACTGAGGAGTCCACTAATGCTGATACATGCCCTGCTTCTGCCGAAACATGGCCCCCTACACTCCCATGTCTAAATGGAAACTCTGGTAGAAGGGACTACTCTCTGTACCATTCTAAAACTTAAGGGAGCGTCTTGCTTTCCCAGGAGGTAACTGCCCCCTATCAGTCAACTCCTCAACCCCTGGGGGAGGAGCACCCACCCCCGGTGCCTTCTCCTACCACCCCAGCCTGCTTTCCACCGCGACTTCCTGTCCTGGGTCTCCACAGCCACTCCCTCCCTGTGGTGACACATGAACACCACGAGTCTCTACTTATCCTTTACTGAACTATCAGTGCACACCCCCAGCCACACAACCGCCAGACCTGCCACCCCGAGCCGAGAAACACCGCGATATCATCATCAGACTCATATGTTTAACACATGTTAACAACTGCACCAAGAAATGTTAGAGACCCCCCCCCCGCAAACTGCAGAACTACATTCTTGACTAATGCCACACACATGAGAGACTCAGCTATGGGCCAGCCTAAGGGACTCCTGTATCTCCACGTGTCTTCCTCCTTTCTACTCTCAGAATAAAATGTTTTCTATGCTCTTCAGGGCAACGTATGCCCTACTCTTTAAAAGTTTCTGCTATCAAAAGTGACCTTAGTATGTCAAAACAGCAGAGGACCAATTGTATTAATCATGATTTCTATATTTTATGATATTTTGACATCTCAGGGGCCTCGCTGACCCAGGAGAAACTGCCCATCCCAGGGTGAGCCAATTCTTAGATACAGCAAAGGGCTACCCTGGGAGCAAAGTGACCAATCCAGAGCCCATCCTCCTCTATCTGGCTCTTACAACCTAGGAAGCAATATCCCCCACCCTAACGACCCGGGGCTAGGTGCCAGATGGCTAGAGACCACCTGTATAGCCTAGAGTCTGAGCTGTTATTCAGACCAGCCAGTCTTAGCTATTTCCCTGCCCTTTCCTGCAGAACATACAGTAGAGGGTCTGAGCCACGTTCCTCCTCACTCCTGCTTCTGCCTGTCTCCCATGCTTCCCCTCATGGCCCGGTGTGGTCTGCTGGGCCTCTCCTTCTTTCATTTCTGTAGGAATTGTGAGAACAGTCAACGCTGTCAATGGCATCCACCTTTCTGCGTCCTCAATCAGTTACTTTTATCAGACCTGGGTGCAAATTCGAGTTTATGTCCCCAACTTGGGGGAGTGCAATGGTGGCACTTCAATTTCTTCATTATCTGTGCTCACCTAAAAGCTGAGTCACTGCTAAAAGGCTATTTTATAGAATTCAGCAGTTGAGAAGTGAAAGTCAAGGTGAGGCTGAGGTGAGGAGTTGTAAAGGGAAAAAGACTTTCCCCTGGGAGTCAGAGCCAGTGCTCTGAATGAAGTGTCTCACCCCAGTAGAGAGGGGGTGATGCTGGCAAAGGGGTTCGGTTATCTCCCTGTGTGGGCGATGGCTCACGCAGCTCATCCTTCCCATCCAGAGCGGGCTTCCCTGGGAATTAGTTTTTGGTGAACAATAGAATCAGAATGTGGCCTTTGGGAAGGACGATGTTGAAGGGGAAGAACTCCTTCCACTGAATGCCGCTGCTGTCTATGCTAAAACATGGGGAGATGGGCCGGGCACGGTGGCTCACGCCTGTAATCCCAGCACTGTGGGAGGCCGAGGCGGGCAGATCATGGGGTCAGGAGTTCGAGACCAGCCTGACCAACATGGTGAAACCCCATCTCTACTAAAAAAAAAAAATACAAAAATTAGCTGGGTGTGGTGGCGCGTGCCTGTAATCCCAGCTACTCAGGGGGCCAAGGCAAGAGAATCACTTGAACCCAGGAGGCGGAGGTTGTGGTGAGACGAGATTGCGCCATTGCACTCCAGCCTGGGTGACAGAGTGAGACCCCATCTCAAAAAAAATAAAAATGGGGATACAGGGACCTCCCTACCCTACTCAATAGTTATACTGGGGAAAAATAAAACTCTGTGCTTTCAACTAAAAGAAATCACCCACATTTATTTTCTTCTAATTTGCTATCACCTTTCTTCTTCATATCTTTCACACTTCTTCTTATTTGATAGACAGTATTCAAATTTTGAAGAGTGGTATTTACCCAAGTAATTTAAGTGGTGGGGCACAAAAGAAAACAAGAAGGAGAAGAAACAGATGGGTATTTTTTTAAAGCCCTTAAAAATTATAACAAATTCTATGTAACACAGGCAATGGAGTATTTCGATGGTAGCAACTGCCAATTTTCCAAAAAGTTTATAATAAAGTGATAATATCATAGTTCATTGTTATTCTACCATCCATAAACTTCAACTGTTCCTTGATGATTCAAATGTCCTGTGGTAAGACTTAACATATATTAAGAGTTGAGATACAATTTGTTAAACAGTCTTGGTGTGTTTTTTGTTTGTTTGTTTGTTTTTGTTTTTGAGAGAGGGAGGAGGTTTAAGTGCAAAAAGGACACATTTGTGACCCTAAAAATGAGATAATACTGTTGAATTTGGTACATGAATTGGTTAAGAATTATTGTGTTTCTATGGATAAACCTTAACATTTTAAATTATTTTCTTTTGAAACTTTAAAAAGTATCCTAACTTTCAATTCTGAAGATGAGGACACACACGGGGGATGGGATAAGCTAAAAATGCCACGGGCTTTCAGAAAGCTGCCTTTGGGATCTTACTTGCATTTCAAAGACACAGGCAGGTTTGGGCGATGAATGGAAAAATACAGAACAGCATGTATTGTTCCTCAAGAAGAAAAATGACTCCCCCACGCTGCTATTACTCTTTTCTGCTTTGATTCCAATGTAACGAGAGCATGCCTATTGGAGCACTTTCAGTACAATTAAGCTGGAATGTCCTGACATTGAATGAGAGATTACATTATTTTCTGAGAAATCCTTAGAATTGGCATCTCCCCAACAGAAAAGAGGCAGAAGGGGGCAGGCGGAGGAGGAAGCAGACCGTTCTGCTTTAGCTTAATTGGTAGCAAACTGAAGCTGGGGTTTTTTTTTTTTAGGTTTGTAAGGGAGGCTTCCTTCATGATATGACCGTAGGATGCTGTCACCCTGACCCGGTTCCTGATGCGTGATGTTTCTAAGTGCTCAGTAAGTACCAATCTACTCCCACACTGCAGTATGTGGGCGTGTGATGCTGAACAGAGAGAGCACGATGTGATCATAGTTAATTCCCTCTGGTATCAAAAAAATAAAAACCTATCAAAAAATAAAAACGTATGTTGCTCTCGTCTGCGTCATCATTGTTGTTCAGACTTTTACATAACATGCCGAAGGAGAAGACTCAGAAAGCCAGGCAGAATCATGAAGAAATAACTGAATAGTTCTGATTCCAAGAACTGTGTGACCTTATGACATTTAAAGAGTGAGGAAGAGAAAGCAACAGGTTCCAAGTATTATAGCAAGCATACCAGCTTTACTTCAGGAAGGCTCGTGGAGAAGCTGTGATCACATTGTGGTTATTTAGATACTTCCAAATGGAAATGGCATTGATAACTATTCAGCTGTGATATGAAGGTACAAAAAAATTTTCCAAAAGGGAAAGGCAGAGAATGGTCAATGCATACTGATTTTCATGAACCACTTCTGGTAAAGGTCTTCTGGCATGTGAGATGCATTTTGTTTTCTTTATTTTATTCCAATCAATGAATGATTCAGTTATTCCAATCAAATGATCGGGTTAGGTTATAATGCCTAAGAAAGTTGAATACTATTGTTAATGCATAAATTAATAAAATCTCTTAGAAATCACTTGGCCAAACTGCCATTAAACCATCTCAAGATGATATTTGAGATTCACAATAAGTGAGGCACTTGAAACATTGGATTGGAAAATACTTTCACATTTTCTCTTTACAATTAAGTGATGCTGGTATTTTCTAACTCCCATGATGAGACTGAAAACTAAAAGAAAAATTAATAATATTATAAAGTCTTTATCTACTGAAACTACTTTATCTACTGAAAACTAAAGAAAAATTAATAATATTATAAAGTCTTTCTAATAAAATGCTTGATGGATTGATATACCATCAACATTGTATATTATGAGATATATATATTTTAAAACTAAAAAATCACCTTCAATGAACAAAGCAAAACTTGCAGCTGTGATGTGGTCGTGACCCTCTGGTTAAGAATGTCCACCTTACAGACGAGGAAGCCAACCAAATGCACCAGCTGGTTGGGCCAGAGAGAACATATGAGTATCTCAGATTCAGTTATTCCAATCAATATCACCAACGTGCATTACAGGATGGAAGTCATACTACTGTCCTTTAACAGATAACACCTGGTCTGATCACCGTAAAACTTTCTTTCAAAAAAATAAAGATAATTTTAGGTTGGTGTTGGAGAAAAACTTACTGAATATTTACATCCCATACCGGCCATCCTCCCTTCATATATTCTGATCTATTTTCCTGGAATAGATAGATTACCATGGCATGGCAGATTTTTTAATGTTTTTGTATATTAATAAATGGATAGTAAACTGAAATTTACTGATGGGGCTAATTTCTAATGCAAATCCCAATAGAAAAAGATGACTGTTTCCTAAATGCTTAGTAACCACTGATCAATGAGACAAGGTTCTACTTTCAAAGCATTCTTTGCACTTGGTGGTTTTATGTTTGACATCCCAATGCATATACAATTTTAACTCACTTTATTGTGTGTAAATATATATATATATATCCTCAAGTGAATGATACTGTTCTCAGGTTTTTCTATATCCAAGGTATACTTTCTTATGTTTTGACATTCGTTTGATTACAACATGCAATTTACAACACCTGGGACTACAACAGGACATTAAACACAGTTCTATCCAGAGGCTACTACTTCTTGGGTAAGGACTAGTTTGGGCTCCTGCACTGAACAATGGTGTGATTATTCGATTTCACAGACAACTTCACAGCAACACGCAAAGCCTAAGCGTAGTTTTGGTTAGCCTGTGTTCTAAGAAATCCACTTCCAGATAAAAACGTGGTTCCCCCATATTGTCTACACACTAAAGCACGCCTTTACCATCTGGCAGAGCCAGATGCTGACTGGGAAGTGAATCCTTCTTTCTCGTGAAACCCAAACCACATGTAAACCATCTGCAGGGTCCTGTGCTGTCAGTGAACTGCATTCCCCAAGCACCTGCTTCTAAGAGATTTTCTTAGGTTGTTTTCCAACTATGGGCTCCATTCAGACTTCAGGCTAACCTCACACAAGGTCAGATCCCACCAGACACAGAATTGTCATTTTTGAGGAGGACTCAATGTTTGGCAAGCGTCCCATTTTGGAACCTCATCCACAAGCACTTGATGAAGCACAATGAATGGACGGCTATTCGTCCATGCCTGACATTTATAAAAGCACAAGGGCTGCCAGAAACCTTGACAGAGAGAAAAATCAATTATTTCTCTCCCTGGCATTAGCCAGCTCTTGCCGACTATTCATCTTACGCGTGATGATGACTAATATCCGTCGGATGGCAAGGAGCCGCTCTTTGAGCGAGGTCATGCCGAGGATGGCCAGCTGAGCCTTGCGCTCCAGGGGCAGCACGGCCAGGATCCACCAGGACCAGGCAGGGCCGCTGGGATTACTCTGCAAAAGAGATGAGGGGAAAGCAAGGTTAACACTGGAAATGCAAGCCTGTTCCCCAACACAGTCTTTTGCTCCACCAACAGACACGTGAGCAAGAATTAAATGCCACCTTGTATTTTAGGGCTAATTCACAATTCATTCAGCTCTCAAAATACATAGTTTACTTTTATGGTACACATTTAAAGGTGGGGGAACTCACAAAAGGAAGAGCCTGCAAAGAGAAGCATCTTCCATGGGGAGATTCTATGAATTAGTTGCTTCTGTTCTCTCAAGCTTTCAGTTAAGAGTATATACCAGTCAGAGGAGAATACTATCACTTTAACCTTCACTTTCCAATGTTCTGTGCTATTATTTTTTATGTCTTAAGCATGCCATATAAAGCATAATATTATAAAGGCTAAAAGTATGTGTACAAGTTTGAGTGACATACTCAATGTGGCAAATGAGTGTATGTATGAAACATATATATGTATGCATGTCATATGCAAGAGTTATCATAAATTATATATATAAGAATTATTATGCCACCAAATAACCTTTATTTCACATAATCAAACAAAGCACTTCTAGACTAAGTGCTAGGCAAAAGCCGATCATAAACTCGTTCTCAATATTCTTAGTACTGGAACCAAGATATCCAGGCCTTTTTGTTTCCAGGGTCTAGGATTCTTCACTCTATTCCTTCTCCAAAAATGTGCAGGATGCCGATAAGAGCTGGGAGGGTGAACTCTGGAGTCACCTTAGTTTAGGGTGAGGTAGATTATGCTGGAGGACTAGGAATAGCACTGTGGCCAAAGCTCACCAGGGGTAGCCCAAGTCACTGTGAGGAAGACATCAACCTGCCCTTCAGAGGTAGAAAGGCACAGATGGAGAAAACAACCTTTTATACAGATTCACACTCTTTTCCCTGCCTCATCTCACAGAGAAAGAAAAAAACTGAGTAGCACGCTTAATGGGAAGGACCTCATATAAAAATTGATGTATTACCTAAAATCCCTCTGTAGTCATGAGAAAAATGGTCCCCCATATGGTACCTTATATGGCAGAGGGAATTGGAGGATGTGATTCAGTTAAGGACTTTGGGATGGGGGGATTATCCTGATGGGCCCAATGTGTTCATATAGGGTCCTGTCTGGGCTGTGGTCAGAGGGACATGTGGCTTTGGAAGAACGGTCGGAGAGAAGCAACATTGCTGGCTCTGATGGAGGAAGGAAGCCGAGGAATGCCGCCAGCCTCTACAAGCTGCAGAGACAAGGAAACAGACTCTCCCCCACAACCTCCAAAGAGAAACGCATGCTGCCATCACCCTGATCATAGTCTGGCCTGCAGAACCAGGAGTGAAAGATAATACATATGTGTTGTTTTAAGCCACCACGTTCGTGAAATTTCTTAACAGCAGTAGTAGGAAGCTAATATACCCGCCAAGTAGAGATTGATTAATTTGGTTAATAAACAACAACTCCTAGGAAAAAGAATGACTCATATCCTAATGCAAGTCAGTGTAACCACCATGCTTTCTGAATCTGAGTTCCAGGATACTGCAGAACAAAGGCTTATGCAAAAAGGGCAAGCCAGGAAGGACTTAATGGCAATTTCTGGCAGTTAAAGCATTTTTCTGTGTTTGGAAAAAAAAAGAATTCAGGCAGGGGGTAAAAGATAGAAGCTCCAAGAGACAGAAAAAAAAAGTTAAAATGGATGGGAAAAGACCTTTCACATCACCCTAAACCAGCTGAGAGCCAATCCCCCTCCCCTACTGTCTTTGACAGCTGAGCATCCATGTACAGGTGGGAGGTATACACTCTCAGGCACAATCTTAAACCAGCCCAGCCTGGCTCTCCCATCTAATGCAGAGGAGAGGCCCACCTGAGCTTAGAAATGCTCCACAAACCTAAGCTCATTCATTGCTTAAAGAACCAGCTTCACCAAAAGTACTTGTAGGGAGCACCAGAGAAAGCCCATGACAGCTGGGCAGCAGGGTACTTAGAGGACAAGGAAGTCACGCTACTAATGTCACAAGAATGATGGGATTTTTCTCTTCACTTATTCAACATCTCTATACCAGGTGCAAGGCAATGCTATGCGCCAAACGTGGAATGTTCATGCCAATACAATAAAGTTACTACTTAAATTTTAAGATGTGAGTGAAAGAAGCAAAAGGCTACAAAAGCTGACAGCCAAGCAGAATAAACTGATTGTTGTTAGAAAAGAAATTATGTTCTGTTAGAGAGCCTTTGTTGTTTTGCTTCACAAGTCATGTGCTACCACAGTAGGTGCTCCTTTGGGCTGTTAGTAGATGAACTGGTTCATAAGCAACCACATTGGGGTAACCAGCATCATACTGCCAAGCTCTCCACCAGAATGATGGCTCAGCACACTACAGCAGGAAGTAACAGAATTATAAAGGAAAAAGGGAGGGCATACCTGAGGCTCAGGTTCTCTGTCTGGCATTACCCCAAAATGACTTAAAATTTGTTCTTTCATGCGATCCTGGAGAGACGCGAACCAGGAAACAGACTGTTGATGCACAGAATCGTGGAGAGCGGCAAGTTCTTCATACTCTGGACCCTCCACCTGATCAGGGAAAGAGGCACAGCTGTGTGAACCATTCACAGTAATGCACGTAACACAGTCAGCGACCTCTGCACCTCCACTAAGTGGATTTGTGGCAGTTAGCATTTTAATAATTCATCAGTTTCACAAAAATGGTACATGCTCAATATAGAAATCTGCATTTTTTGCATAGTTGAAATCTATCAATTGTATCCTGATTTTTCTCTTAATACCATAATATAAGCACATTTCCTGTAATTTTGAATAATGTTCAATGGCTGCATGCAATTATATATTTGAGATACATGCCAATTTACTTAACTATTCACGTAAGTTATTTAGAATATTCTAGCTTTTTTATTTTTAAAAATAACACAATAATATAAACATTTATGGAAAAGTTGTTTTGTTTTGTTTTGCTTTTTTGACAAGGGAGGGAGGTATGGTTTCCTCAGTGTAGTTTCCTAGAGACCTTGACAGAATTACCAAGTCAAAGGGTGACATTTTAAAAATTGTATTCCATATCACCAAACTATATTCCTAAAGGCACGACAGGGCAAGACTACACTCATTACATTGGCCTGGGCTGATGGACTCCAGCTTGTGGTCGGCCACAGCACCTTAGACTGACCAAGCTTGGCCTCTGGTCCCTATGTCACTATCACATCTGTCATTTAAATTACGCCTCAGTCCTGTTCAGGAACACCTGGTAGAGGAGGAAGAGCATGGGACTGGGAATCACGGGGCCAGGGTTTGGTCTGGCTTCATCACCAACTCTCATGTGTGAATCTAGCCAGTCTCACAGCCTCGTTAGGGCAGAGTTTTCTCATCTGCATAATAGGAATAAACCATGAAGGTCCTTTCCTGTTACAAAATTCCAGTACCTACAAAAACTACGGTGTGCTGAGAAATTATAATATAATGCATATACCACCCTCAATTTGATTTATACAAATCAAATATTCATATGTGATAGAGGATTTTCTTATAAAAATAAGCTAAAATTATTTCATGTTGTAGCTATTTAAGCCCCCATTTAAAATAAGCGCATACACTATTAAAAGCTGTCATCTACAACAACGGTCAATAAACCCTGCCGTCAGGTCTATCCATCCCACAGAGAGACCCTGAGAATTATCACTTTCAGCTGTAGCTTTGAAACCCAGCTTTCTGGTCCAGCCTGGGAGCTGGGCTCCCTGCTCTGCTCCCATGCACTGGGATGACCAGAAACAGCAGCTGGAGGAGGCACAGAGACAGTGTCCTGGGTGTGACTCCATTCACAAATCCTAAGTGTACACCACTGCCCCCAAAATGACTTCCAGTGTGATGTGGGGTGGCTACGTACCCTCACTTCCACAATTCCAAATGTCAACCAAAGAATTTAAAAGAGGGATACAATAATTCCAAGGATTTCCTCCTTTTAAGTATTTTAAAATTTCTTGCTGCAGTATAATTTACAGACCAAAAAGTGCATAGATCTTGTTGAGCTCAAAGAGTTTTCTCAACTGTATACACCAGTCTGACCATCACCCAAAACCAGATAGACATTTCCACTACTTAGAAAGATTCTTCACCACTCCCTCCAGTCAATTACAAAGCCAACCCCACAAGCCTTTTCTGACTTCTGTCCCCAGACTCTAGTTTTGCCTGTTCCTGGAAGTATACAGATGAAGCCACGCGGTATGTGTTCGTCCTGTGTCTGGCTTCTCTCACTTAGCATAATGTCTGTGAGAGTCATCCATATTGTTTCATGCACGAGTGGTTCATTTCTTTTTATTGACAGGTAGTATTCCATTGCATGAATGGACCACAATGTGTTTACTGACTCAAGTGTGATCAGCACCTGGGCTGTTCCTGGTTTGGGGCTATAATGGAGTAAGACTGTTATGGACATCCTTGTGTAAGTCTGTTGGAGAATCTCTCAAAACATTTTGCTAATTTGTCAAATTATATGTCCTGATATTTCTATTAGACACATGAAAAAATTCTTAAGGGTTAATAAATTCAAGTCTTTTATATTTAGCTTTGGGAGGTATTTTTTAAGTTGTAGATTTTGTCACATTCTGAATTAATACCAACCTAGAGAACAGGGACTGACAGACTGCTGTTCATGAGTCAAACCGTGCTCACCACCATGTTTCCGGAAGTCACATTTAACGGAAACCAGTCATGCTCATGCCTTTACACATTGTCTATGGCTGCTTTTGCACTACAAGGGCAGAACTGGGTAGCTTCGACAGAGACCACATGGCCTCTGGAGTCTAAAGTACTTATTAGCCGGCCCTTTACAGAAAAAGTTTGCCAGCTCCAGGGCTACAGCATCAAATACAAATCAAAAGCCTATTTTGCAATGCGCAGGTTTACATGTTGCATAAGTACAATAAGGTCTTTTTTTTTTTTTTTTTTTTTTTGAGATGGAGTCTTGCTCTGTCGCCCAGGCTGGAGTGCAGTGGCACGATCTCAGCTCACTGCAACCTTCAGCTCCCAGGTTCAAGCAATTCTCCTGCCTCAGCCTCCCAAGTAGCTGGGACTACAGGTGCCCGCCACCACACATGGTTAATTTTTTTATATTTTTAATAGAGCCAGGGTTTCACCGTATTAGCCAGGATGGTCTCAATCTCCTGACCTCGTGACCTGCCCACCTTGGCCTCCCAAAGTGCTGGGATTACAGGCGTGAGCCACCATGCCTGGCCAGATCATTTTTTTAAAAGGAGATTTCTGTACCAGCTCCCAACTCAGGTAAAAATCCACTGAGAAAATAAATAACTGCTGAAGGCAGGGGCTCATGCCTGTAGTCACAGCACTTTGGGGCTACTACACTTTGGTTGAGGTGGGAGGACTGCTTGAGCCCAGGAGTTTGAGACCAGCCTGGGAAACACAGGGAGACTCTGTTTCAACGACAAACAAAATTTAAATTAGCCATGTGTGGTGGTGTGCACCTACAGTCCCAGCTACTCGGGAGGCTAAAGCAGGAGGATCGTTTGAGCCTGGGAGGTCAAGGCTGCAGTGGGCCAAGATCATGCTGCTGCACTCTAGCCTGCACGACAGAACAAGACCTTGACTCAAAAATAAACAAATAGATAAATAAATAACTTAAGTGATGAATTAAGGACTTAAGTAATATTGTCAGTACAAGTTTGACAAAGCTTTTCCACAATGCAAAGGGAAGCGAGAGGACCGACTGCTATAAAATACACCAGTATGATAAGCCTTACCTTTTCATCTTCAAGATATTCAATGTCCGCTGTGTTATAGCCATCTCTGTGGCGGTGGCTTAGCACTCGGAACCGACTGATGCCAATCGCGTCTACAACAGAACTTCCATCAGGAAACGTTCTCACGTCCTTAATCTCCAGCATGCATCCATACTCTGAAAGCCTGAAAAGACAGTTAGGAGAAATGACTGTGATTTTTAAAATGCAGGGGGCCTTCTTTTTCCCTGGATGAGAGTTTACTTTTAAAAGGAATACAAAGCCACACAAAACAGTGTCTCCACATCAGACCAGCAAGGTTATTGTCGCTAAGAGACACGTGCACATGGTCGCTTCTGTTAGATGTTAAATATAGTGGTGATGGTGGCTGCAGGGGAAGGGCTCCAGGTGAGACAGGACTTGTGCCTTAGCGGTTCCAACGGGCTAGTGTTTTGGGAAGGACCCGAGAGATGGGAAGAGATGAAATCTCAAATGTGGCTCCTCAGCCACCTTGGCGGGGCACCATCAGGACTGCCCAGCTGGTGCCACGCACACACTCGGCTTTCCAAAGCTCTCCCCAGCTCTTACCCACACTCCGATTGTAACTATCACCCTTATCCTAGTGATATTCTCATGCTACCACGTGCCAAGCAACACACGGAGCAGTTTATAATACATATGAATTCAAGCCCACACTTAAAATTTGATTCATCAAAAGTCAACAAAGTGAAAAAACAAGCTATGAGTTCCATGTGCACTGAGAATATAGAACACTAAAAAGAATGTGAAAAACGACAAGGAAAACCAGATAAACCACAAAACATATGTCTCTTGAACCCACCAGAGGGTGGAGATTGCTCAGGGTAACCAAACAAAGATCCCACAGGGAGAGAGTAGGCAGAACCCAGGAAGAGACACAAAAGTGTGTAGGAAGCATTCAGCTATTTTTTTTTTAAACAAATTGCCAATGACCTTGTGTGGGCTGGCACCAGAGTGCAGGTCTGGAGAGCTGCACTCACAAAGGGAGTTTGCATCACACACAGGATCCTGTCCACAGATAAGAGCCTCCTTGATGAGTCATGCCCTGCAGTGAGGCAGGCTTGGAGGAGCTGACGTTTATCTGGAGGCCTCTGCTGGTGCTGGTTGCTGGGGCAGCAAGTCCTCCACCTTCAAAGGCACTCCGCTCCTCCTCCCTCCTGCCTTCGCCCACAAGGTCTTCACCTCATTCCAATTCTGCCAGCTCTGCCCTCCCCAACCAAAGTGCCGTGGAAAGCAGTCCCCGGCCACTGCCTTCATCTCCTTGCCTCCCCCTCACTCCTCCATATCCTACCGTTCCATTAAAATGACTCCAAAAGAAGTCAGAGATGCCCTCTGAATTGCTCAAATCACTTGACAGGCTCCTGTCTGACCTCCCTAAGGCACGGCCCTGCAGACTGTTGCTGAGCTAATGCTTCTGCTCTCCTGAACCCTCTCTAACCAGCCCGGCCCTTCACAGCCCCTACCTCTGCATGTCCCTCCTGCTCCATGCTGCCCAGGGTGGTATTCTAGGCTATGTCTATTCTCATTCCAAAGCTCTCCCCAGCTCTTACCCACACTCTGACTGTAACTATCACCCGTAACCTAGTGATGTTCTCACGCTACCACGTGCCAAGCACCACACACAGCAGTTTATAATATATACGAATTCAAGCCCACAAAACACGGAGGCTCAGAGGAATTAACTTCTCTAAGGCCACAGGGAGATTTAGAGCCAAAATGAGAACTCATGGCAGTGTGATTCTAAAGTTCTCATGGTGAGCAGCTTTACTACACGTCCCCCAAACTAAAGAGCAGCGATGATTCAAACTGCCACCTGGATGCCTCTACTTATATACTTAATAAAACTCTCTCTTCCTGGTATCTAACAGGATGATCTCATTCATAGCATGGTGAAACTGGAGGCGCCCTGAAGATTCCTCTTCAAGGGAGGACTGAATGCCCCAGCAACCAGCAGAGGCCTCCAGACAAATGTCAGCTCCTCCAAGCCTGCCTTGCTGCAGGGCATGACTCATCAAGGAGCCTCTTATCTGTGGACAGGAGCCTGTGTGTGATGCAAACTCCCTTCGTGAGTGCAGCTCTCCAGACCTGCACTCTGATGCCAGCCCACACAAGGTCATTAGCAATTTGTTTAAAAAAAGAAAAATAGCTGAATTCTTCCTACACACTTTTATGTCTCTTCCTGGGCTCTGCCTACTCTCTCCCTGTGGGATCTTGTTTGGTTACCCTGAGCAACCTTCACTCTCTGATGGCTTCAAGAAATACATGTTCTGTGGTTTATCTGTTTTTTCTTGTTTTTCTTGTTGTTTGGATGGGAATAACATTCTTTTCAGTGTTCTATATTCTCAGTGCACGTGGAACTCTTATAGCTTATTTTTTCTCTTTGCTGACTTTAATCAAATTTTCATATATTCTAATTTACTAATCTCTCCCTCTGTTATGTATTCTCAGCACCTTGTATAAAAAATCTTTCCCCACTCCTAATTATAAAGGCAGTCCCCAATATTTCCTCTTAAATGTTTTTATATTTTGTTTTTCACATTTCACATTAGGAATGCAAATGTGTTATTTTTTTATTTATGGCATAAGGTAAAGCTTTTTCCCCCCCTCTCATTTGGACCACCCACTAATTTTCTGGGCACCCTTTACTGAGTAGTTTGTCTTTTCTCATACAATTGTCTATAAATTTGGCGTCCACATATGAGTGGACCTGTTTCGGATCTCTACATTATTGTGTCACTGGTCTACTTACTAAGGCTTGTAAACTTGATATTACAGGAATGTTCTCCTGTTTGTTCAGCCAGATCTGGGCTTAGTCTTTTGCTTTTCTACACGGATTCTAAAATCAGCTTGAGCAAGTCCATGAAGAAGCTTCCTGGAGATGCTGACAGGAATTACTCTGGATTTGTGGAACTGGATAGAGATGGCATCTCTACAGCATTGAGTCTGTGCACCAACGGACATGGCATTTCTCTCCTTTGATTCAGAACTTCTTATCTTTCAATAAAATTTCAGAATTTTCTCCATAAAGGTCCTACACATATTTTAAAAAGATCTGTCCCTAGATATTTATGGTGGAAAATTCTGAGTGGCCCTAAAAATGCAGTCTCCTCTTCTTCCTGGGCACGTAGGTGGACTATATTTGCCAGGCTCCTTTGCAGCAGGTGTGAACAGGAGGCAGCCCCCTTTCTCCAGAGTCCTTTAAGAGCATGTGCACCTCCTCCATAGCTAGCACTTGAATGCAGTGACCTCATCATGACTATGTAGGGCTGACAAGGCCCTAAGGGATGGGAGGGTCCTGAGTCCCCAAATCAGTCCACAGAGGGGAATGACCTGCTGGCTTGCAACACCCTCTCTGGACAAAGACGTGAAACGAGGGGAGGTGAAAACCAAGCTTAGTGTGTTTTTGTAAGACTGAAAATGATTTGGCTGTAGAGACAGAGAAAAAGCTTTGCGCAGGATATAGACATTTTTCTTTTTAAAATGTTTTTGTAGAGATGGGGTCTCCCTATGCTGCCTAGGTTGGTCTCCAACTCCTGGGCTCAAGCGATTCTCCCACCTAAGCCTTCCAAAGTGCTGGGATTACAAGCGTGAGCCACCAAGCCCAGCCGCAATTTTCCTAGACCTCAGAAGTTGGACTAGATTTGTTTGTATATAAATGGGGATAAAGAAAATTGCAGGCAGAGGGAAGCACAGAGGTGTGGAAGCATGAGCTGTCACAAGAGAAGGGCAAGTAGCATGGCAATGGACTAGTGGGTGTGATACTTGAAAGGAAGAGGTGGGCAGTGAGGCTAGAAAGAAGGGATGGGACTGCATTGTGGGCAGCCTTGAACTTGGACTTTGTTACGTAACGGGAGCCACTGGAGGTTTTCAAGCATCAGCCTAAATCATTCTGCAAGAAAAATGACAAACGATGCCCTTCATTAGGACCCTTTGAACCAAATGCTAACAGTTCTTACCCCGCGTGCTCAGCAGATAAACACATGCCAAACCGCTTGGTGCCAGTTTCCATGCATCTTCTTATCATAAGCCGATAGCGGGGCTCAAAAACGTGGAGTGGACATGGGACCGTGGGGAAGGCCATGGCACACACAAAGATGGGGACGTCTCTGGTCAGACTGCAGAGCAAGGGGACATGTTATCTCAGATGTATGAGCTGTTAGATCAGAGGGTGGTACTGGCCACCAAAACAGCAAAAGCCAGCCAACCTCAGTTCTCCCCTCTACAAAACAAAACCCTCAGGCTAAGAGGGACAAGAAAGCCAAGGACCATAGCATGTGAAAATTCTCTGCTCACCCAGGTTTCCTGACAAATCTGTCTTATTTAACTTGAGGAAAGAGAACATGCTGAATTATATTACTTTGCTTGGAAAAGTTATACCTTTTAAGCACTCTAAAAAAATTCTGATAAAAGCAAAAACTACATAGTAGTCAAAGGCAATGAGTTTTAGAAGAGTGGAAGAGTGATAAGATCGCTACTAAAATACAAAACTTTTACCATTTTAAAAGATGAAAACTGTCAAGCCTGCTGTGATTCGCAATCCTGGGTATTAGTTCTCATTCTCTCTACTTTTTAAAACTGTGCTTCACTTTACTCCACTTTGCAGACATTACATTAAAAATTTTTTGAGGTAAAATATACGTATACAATTTGCTATTCTTAAGTGTACAGTTCATCAGTAACAAATACATTTATATTATTTGCCTTTTATTTATTTTTAATATATAAATTATTTTTAATTATTTATAATAATTTTTTAATATAGAGGTGGGGTCTTGCTATGTTGGCCAGGTTGGTTTTGAACTCCTAAGCTCAGGCAATCCTCCTGCACTGGCCTCCCAAAATGCTAGGATTACAGGCATGAGCCACTGTGCCTAGCCTTCTTTGCTTTTTAAATCCTGAAAAATTCAGTATCACTTATTTACATACAAAAAGCAACTATACAATTTTGTTAAAACACTTTAAAAATATCTTATAAAAAAAGAAAACAAATTCTTATAACTGCTTGCAATTATGTTTCCAAAAATATTTTGCAATTAACATCCTTTTCCATTTACAGACCAAGAGAGTTCTCTGCCATGAAAAGAAAATCTGAGGTGAAGCTGAAGTTGACAAAGTTCAATCTGAACTTAAGACCAAGGACACACAACATGAGCACTTACTTTGACAGTTCTGACATTTCTTCATCATAAATTCTCTTCCTATCAGACAATTCATCCGGCAAATATCGAAATATTAATTCTTCGGCCAGAACAGTTATGTTAAAGTTTCTGCTTGCCAATAACTGTAACAAAAAAAAGTCAAATGATACTGTATGGTAATTGATTCTAAAGGACGAAGCTTCCGAGTGGAAAGGTGAACAAGGAGGTGGTGGGTGGGATCTCTGAGCAGGTAAGAAGGAAAAGGGATGGAGAGAGAGGCGGGCCAGCCTGTAACAAGAGCAGGGGCAGCCCCTCCACTGTGAGAAAAGGCCAGGAGGAGGCGTTCACCTGGATGAAGGATGAGGCAACTCAATCTTGACAGCATCTACATTTTCAACCAAGTGCCATGATGTTGGTGAGAGGGGAGGAAGTGAAGTAGGGCATGTTGGGAGAGGAGAGACTTTTGCAATGATCAGCTTGGAAAGTGAAGAACTGGAACTACTAGAGAAAGAATGTAAGAATGATTACTTATGTTTTGAGTCTAAGACTTAAAATTTTTCATTTAAACTGACACCAATCTTCCCAACATTATGTTTTTTTCTAGCTTTGTTGTATTACTTAGGATGCATGCAAAAGGCAAAGGTTGACTTTTTTTGGATTGAGAAAGAGAGAGAGGGACCATGGATTAAAGCGGGATGTGAAGGGAAGGTAGGAGACTGAACAAGAAAGTGCTGGGATCGGTGGGTGGAAGGGCCACAATGTGGCTGAACTACTACTCTGCGTGTGTGTGTGTGCGCGTGTGTATGTGTGCACACAGATTAGTAGTTTGGTAGGTTGCACTGTTTTATTGCAGGCATGTATACTAGCATATAGTAGCTCTTTTCACTGACATTCTGATGCACATCAGGGACCACTGCAGGTGCTTTATTAGTCCTGAAAACAGTATAATACTATAGTTGTTCTCTCCACTGCGCTCATAAAGCTGTGATTCAGAAAGGGTAAGGGGTCAGTGCTGAGCCACCATGGCATAGCGAGGACCCCAGGCCTGGCGGGCTTCAGGGCTCTGCTCTTTCCTTGGTGGCCTGCTGCATTTCTGGGCTTGGGATGGCTCCACGTATTTCCAACACACCATGGCTGGGTGAGTCCTTCGCATACTGCCAGGTTTCCTTGTGGTTGGTGTGAAACAAACTAAATGTATTGCTGTGATTGACTGAGAACCAGGAGTTCAAACTTTGGAAACGCCTATGTTTGAGAACCACCATCACAGGGTAACTGGTAGAGAAACAGGCTATCATCTCACTCACAAAACTGCTTCATAATTGTCATTATTAATGACATAGGTATTTAATAAATGGTTTATGATGTCCTTTTATTGAAGAGTAATACAATAAAACATGCTCTACTTGGCATGATGCTAGCCAAGGGTTCTGGAGATTCATATATAATTGATGATTCAGGTCCCTGGTAGTGCATGCAAAGTCATTTATGTGCATGATGTGACTCCCGCATTGAAGAAAGACAAAACTATAATTTTGGATTTTATTTCACTTTATAGCATTCTAATTTCTGGAACATTAGGAACCCATGTATAGTTTGCATGTAATCATTCATTCATTCATTCAACAAAGACTTCTAGAGTCTCTGGTGCATGTGCTAGTCCCTGGAAATACAGGGAAAACAGGTCATAGGAAGTCTCAGTACTTAAGCAGCTTCTATTCTTTTTTTTTTTTCTTTTTGAGACAGAGTCTCGCTCTGTCGCCCGGGCTGGAGTGCAGTGGCGCAATCTTGGCTCACTGCAAGCTCCGCCTCCCGGGTTCACGCCATTCTCCTGTCTCAGCCTCCCGAGCAGCTGGGACTACAGGTGCCCGCCACCATACCTGGCTAATTTTGTTTTTGTATTTTTTTTTTAGTAGAGACGGGGTTTCACCGTGTTAGCCGGGATGGTCTCTATCTCCCGCCCTTGTGACCCACCCGCCTCAGCCTCCCAAAGTGCTGGGATTACAGGCGTGAGCCACTGCACCCGGCCAAGCAGCTTCTATTCTAGTGACGACCTCCAGCTATCACTTCTTCACTCAGCCCCCTACAAGGCAGCATCGAAACAGAAGTGAGTAAGGTCTGTGTTGTAAACAGGGCTCACACATACATGCATTTTATTCTTGTAAGAACAGATGAGCCTGTTCTGGCCCAGGCAGGCACCAAAACAAGAGGCAGTGGGTCCGATGCATCTACTAGCAAGAAGAGACAGCAAATGCCCAGAGGAAAACTGCACAGGGGCCACCAAGGAAACAGCTCTGCAGACTCAGAGCACAGTCACCACTGTGACACACAGCGCACAGCACAATAATTGATGTTCACGAGAACTCTGAAGAATTTAAAAAGATTCAGTATGCATGCAATTTAATAAAGCAAGTATGTGCATACAATGTTTTAGAAAATGTTTTCAATTGTAACTAGTTATTTTAATGTTTTGGCAGTAAATTTTAAAGGTTATAATTATTTAAAACTTCACTTAAGTATAATATCTCATCTTATCACATCAGATTTAAAAAATAAATTTTACTGTACGTTTGTAAAAAGAAAAAAAAACTTTATCCTACTTAAAATGCATTCAATAAGTTTAATCTCTGGAAAGTAATTAAGGCAAATATTATCAGTCTCATTTAATGAATGCAAAACAAAGGAAGATACTCCCCACCCCCTTAAGATGTTATATGACTTGCTCCATAGAAAGTTCATGGCACTAATAGGACCACAGCCCAATACAGCTGATATGGATTCACTATTTCAGGAATTGATCAGAAGGTCTTCAGCTTTTAAATACTCTTCATTGTATTTACCATACCTAACGTAAATGGATTTAATAGTTTATATTGGGGCTAAATATCATTAAATAGCTTCCCCATGGAACCTGGATTTAATAGTTTATATTGGGGCTAAATATCATTAAATAGCTTCCCCATGGGACCTGAATTTTACTGGTTTTGATTTCAGACCAAAGACAATAATAACTGACAACTGTAAAAGCCCTAAAGGGACTCACCTGTGGTCAGAAATGATCAAGTCTTCAATCCTACGAAAAACTCTCAAGATGAAAAAGAGAATTCCTGGAGCACATTAAGTGCACCATGACAACGTCTCAACCATTTACAATGAACGTAATGTAGGGTTCATAATGTTAGCTATTTTCAATCTATCTCAACTAAAATTTCTACCTAAAAATGTCCTTAACATTTAGCAATTTCTGTATGTCAACCTTCCTTGTGTATTTCTTGATTCATCAAAGAGATGAGAAAAGACCTATCTTTGATTGGAGAAATCTCAGTTTCTTTAACAACTGGGTGGGGGAAGCAACACGAGACAGGGAGTAAGCGTCCACCAAGGGATGAGAGGAGGAGCTGTCCCGTCATTTCCTAAAGTGTACTTACTTCCGAAAGTTTGTCTTTGCACAAAGGACAGTGTGGGGCGTGGTCAAGGCAGCGCTCAAGGCATTTTAGGCAAAATGTGTGTCCACAGGGCGTAGTGACAGGTTCAAAGAGCAATCTGGAAGAAAATATCTGTTTTCAGCCAGAAATGTCCAGGACAGACTTTCAAATCATGGACTGGTTTTTGAAGGATTCCTTATGCAATCCCCTTTCTGTTCTAGAAATCACTTGCATGCACTTTCATTTTATATCTTATTAAATCTTTAGAAAATAAATCAATTATTACTGAGCTCTCCCTAGTTTCCGTGATAATAAAAAGCCCATTACACTTTGGTATACATTTCAGAAAGGCTGCAGTTTTAAAAGAGTTGCACGGATTCTGTACCATCCTACCTCATGCAGAGGGCACACTCAAAGTCAGTTACATCAAGCGAGAGCCCCTGACTTTCTTCTGTCTCAGAGTTTGGGCTCCTTTGAAGTGAGAGATCTGAATGCGAAAAAATTTAAAACGCTGTAATTAACACCTAAGCACCTGAACAACAGCATGCAAGAAATGTATTTTCTCTGGACCAAACGTGTTGTATCAATGTAACAAATCACACTGGGCAGAAATAGTTCCTGCCCAGTTAACAGCATACAGCAATAATTTATCTGGATGGTAAGCATGAATAAAATTTTAAATTATAGCTAAATTTTCTCTGCTATTTTTGACTATGAAGTCTTTGCAGTATAAAACATCTAAAATGCTCTATAATCTTAGAGCTGATATAATCATTTCATTACTAATATTAAATGTTGTAAAAATTTAAAAAATATATTGAATACTAGTTAACATTCTATCACTTTGGAGTCACAGAACTGCCTGATGAAAACAGTTCACTGACCTTTCTTGGGAATTTTTCCAGGGGCGTTCAGGTCAGGTGCATCCTCCACGTCATCCGGAAACTGTCTCTTTAAGCCAGCGCTGGGTGCTGTTGGAAGGATGCTTTCTAACGCCTTTTTATCCTCTTCAAAGTGTAGACCCAGTATAAAATACAAAACTGAAGAATTGGTATTTCCAAGCATATCAGATTTCTCAGATGAATTCTGGTTAAGTGGGAAAAAAAGGAATCCTGAGTATTAAAGAAATCATAGCATAAGAGAAAAAGAATGCAGAAGCCTGTACTAGAAATCTTTGGAAAAAAAAAGGGGGGGGCATACACTCTTCTTCATAATTGGTTTCATCTGTTAATTTCTAAGATGAGCTTTATTCTTTTCACAGTAAAATACAGGATAATTTCTTCCTGAGCCAGGGCAAGTGAAAAGTTATCTTCATATGCAATCTGTCTGTCTGTCTATCTATCTACACACACACACACATACACATACACACGTACACACATAAAATCATATATCATATTCAAATCATCCCTTTGCTTTATTTTTTTTTAAATTACACTTTAAGTTCTAGGGTACATGTGTACAACGTGCAGGTTTGTTACATATGTATACATGTGCCATGTTGGTGTGCTGCCCCCTTTAACTTGTCCCTTTGCTTTATTTTCTCCAAGCCAAAATAACTTCAAGTCTCCTGCCGTTTGGGGTGATTTGGTGGTGTTCTAAAGCTTCTTTCAATCTTTAATCATTTTCATTACTTCCATAGACTTCATGTAAAAGTTCCAACTCCCAGGTTGAGGAGCTACAACTGGTCTTGAGAAATATGTCTAACTAACATAATGCCATAATGTGTGAATAATCTGTAAACTGTTTAAAATGAAGCCATTATGTAAAGCTTAATCAAGAGAATCCTGACAAATGCATGCACGTCATACCTCCGAGCTCCCTGCATCACCTTCTTCCAGCAGAGCCTGGGCATTCATGTGGCTGTGACCCTGAGCCTTTAATCTGCTTTGGATGGAAGATGTTAAATTTTCATGCACATTTGCTGTAGCTGAAAACAGCACTTCACACATTACCTATAAAATTGCCAAGAAAAGAAAAAATATATATTTTAAAACACTTTTGTAAAAATATAGTATGTCTTATAGATTCAGAGGAAACTAAGAGGCCAAATAAGCCTAAAATGTTGAAAAGAATAATTTTAACTGCCAACCTTTTAAAATCCAAACATTTTTGAAACCAGAGTCAATATTTTAAGTTATTTTAGCTTCCAATCCCTTTCCATCTTACACTTCCCAATGACAAAATGATAGCAATACCACTTCCTTCTACCTGGTCCTTACACACTATATAAAATCTCCCCTAAAAGCCACACAGATAAAAGAGAAAGGGAGTGTAAAGGTTGCTGGGGGCCTTGAATTAAATCTAAGCTGTGATCACCCACAGGGCTGAGGTCACTATACAGAACTGCTTTATTTATGAGAACCAGAAGACCCACCTCGTAAAGAACTTTAAAGGAAGAGAGAGGGAAAGGCCCTAATTGTGGTTCAAGAACCAGGGAATGGCATTGGTGGGGGCAGGGGAAGGGTGGTCAGCAATGGCCAGTTAGGCATTCTAGCTGACACCCAATGCTAGCAGACACTCAAATGGTCCTGTCAAACCTCATGGCTTCAGCTGCATCCAAGGCTTGAGGAAAGCAGAAAGGAGTGACTGAAACCTAAACAAAGACTCCTCCCACTCTCCACTGTTCCTCATGGTTCAAGGTGAGTGCGCTAGAATCCATGGCCTTGCAGCAATGCGCACCACCACCCTCAGCAGGGACATCAATGTCCTCAGCCCCAGCTCTGAGCAGCCTCAACAGAGCTGCTGGAGATGGAGCCACATTCCATGTGAACAGGCTAACATTGTTTTTGGTACCGTCTGTGATACAAGATATCTATCAGCCATAGAATGTCCAGGGGAAAACACCATGTCTGAAAACGCTCCAGGTAGACAACAACCCAGAAGACCTAAACCCTGGTCCAGGAACCTTGGTGAATGTGCTTCATCTCTTTGACCTTGGACTGACTTTCTCAGAAAAGTGTTATGAGAATCAGTTGAGATATGTTTTAAGATTCTTAGGAAGTTTCCGTATAGGACAAAGCAGGCAGGGATAGCTGAATAGCAGGCTGAAGATGCAATATTATTTTGACAAGTTGAAATGATGGCCAAAAACCAATGAGTGATACTGGTCAATTGAACAACTGTCAGGACAACTGAATGGGACTAACGCCAATCAATTGCACAAGAGAAGATAAAAAACAACATTGCTCTGAAGTTCTTACTTTTAAAAAAGAGGAACGAGGTATTTAAAAATAAACATGCCCCTAATGTGAACACAAGTGAAGGTAAAATTTCACCAACTGTGGCTGTCAAATGTAGATGCTAAAACACAGGGTACATTAGAACACATCCAGAAGAGGAAATCTTAGAAACGCCACTCTGTGAGAAAAGAATGTTTGGCCCACAGGGTGACATTAAGGCAAAGATAATAGCTGTTCCCAAACATCTAACGTGGTTTGAATTGTACAAGGAAGAACTGATTCATTTTCTGTTGCTCCAGAAAATAGAACTACACAGGTAAGTAAAAATTACAGGGTAAATACGTGGTAGAAGTTGACAATAAACAGTGTTAAAACAGGGAAGCGCAAACATAAAAACATAAAAACGCTGGTCATTGGAAATGCTAAGTAAATACCAGGTAACTATTGTATAAGCTTTTTAACAGGACAGATTTCCACATTCAGTGTGACTGGATGATGGGTAAAAGAGCAGGTATTTCTGCACTATGCTGGTGAACCTTTGCTGAAAATTACAGGTCACCCTATAGAGCCGAATTGATACATTTTACATATATCATAATGTCTTTTATGAAGCTTCTACACAAACTATAATAACCTTGCCTAACATGTGTCTTTATGTCAACAGAATCGAGGCATGTTTACACTGTCTCATGAAACACTCTGCTTTACCCAGGGACAAAATATAATGTTTACCTAGAAGTTATCCAATGTATGAACCTTACAATTATTGCCATGCGTTTTTTATTGCATTATCACGAACATTCAGAATTATATTTCTTGTTTATTTCACATGCAAGGGTTACTCAGCATGGACATGAAGGCTATAAATAAGACCTGATAGAGAAAGTCCTTTAACAGAACTCATACCTTCTGTGCTTCTTTCTTCACAGAGTTACATTCAGGATTCAGAGCAAGGCAGTAGAGAAATTCCTTTAACACTTCCTTACTTCTTCCCAATCCAGAAAGAGCCTGAGCTTTTACTTGATGTCCCTAGATTCACCGAAGACAAAGTGTACATTTTTAAAACCCAGCATGATTATATACTTGAATACAAACTTCCCTGAACAAATTTATTAGAACAATTTGTTTTAATTTCACATTACATAGAATAAACAAAGCCCATCAAAGGATGACTCTATCGCTACTTTCTCTACCCTGGAAACTTAGCAAACTTCAATAGCTCATAAATACAATCTACAGTCAGAACACAGGAGCTACCGTACCTGAAATGTTCTGCTCAAAGGAGTTCTAAGGGACGTGCTAAGAGAAAACTGGCTATCCACTTTAAATTCATTCAGCAGTTACAGGTCATTACCATCTTCCTGGCTTCCAGGAGTTTACAGTCTCATGAGCTAAGACAGACACGACTAAAAACAATTACAATACAAATCATAATATACTAAGTGCCACAATAAAAGTAAACAAAATACAATATGGATCAGTAATTTCCCATGGCATTTTCTTTTCATCTTATGAATGCAGTATTTTCTCAAATCTATAAAAACACTATTTTTGTTTCTTTTTTTACTGGTTTACATATAGTTGAAAGACTTTCTCTTAGCACTTGAAATATGTTGTTCCAATGTCAACCAGCTTCCACAGTTTCAGATGAGATGACAACCATAAATATTATTTCCCTGTATGTCATTTTTCTCATTCTCATTCCATGTCATTTTTCTTTACTGCTTTCAAGACTTTCCTTTTATCTTTGGTTTACAGCCTAGCCATTTGATTATGACTTGAGTTTATCATTGCTTATAAGTTGAGTTAACCTTCTTGGATCTGAAATTAATGTTTCCCACTAAATTTGGAAACTTTTTACCCATTATTTCTTCTTTTTTTTTCTTGCCAAACATTTTCTGTCTTCTTCTGAGATTCCAATTGCACATACGTTGTACCACTTCATATTGTCCCACAAGTTTCCAAGATTCTTTTTGTTTTTCTTTAATCTTTTTTCTTTCTGTTTTTTGCATTGAATAATTTCTCTTCCTATAGATCTATCTTCAATTTCACTGATTATTTTGCCATGTATAATGTGTTATTAACCCTACCTAGAAATTTTAAATTTCAGCATTGATAATTTTTATCTCTAGAATTTCCTTTTTTTTTCTTTTTTAGAGACAGGGTCTCACCCTGTTGCCCAGGCTAGAACGCAATGGCATGATCACATCTCACTGTGACCCTTAACTCCTGGGTTCAAACAATCTGCCTCAGCCTCCAGAGTAGCTCAGACTACAGGCACATGCCACCCTGCCTGGCTAATTTTTTTGTAGACTTGGGGTCTCGTGATGTTTCCCAGGCTGGTCTTGAACTCCTGGCCTCAAGTGATCCTCCTGCCTCAGCCTCCCAAAGCATTGGGCATACATGCATGAACCATGAACCCAGCCAGAATTTCCATTTTTTATAGTTTCCATCTCCCTGTTGAGATTGCTCTTAAGTCAAAGGTACCATATTGTCCTTCAATTCTTTGCATGCAATTTAACTCTTTGAACTTATGCATAATAACTTCTTCAAAGTCTCTTTGTGGAAAATATAATATCTGGGCCCACTCAGAGACAATTTTAGTTGACTGTTTTTTTTTTTTTTTTGAGACAGAGTCTTGCTCGCTCGTCCAGGCTGGCGTGCAGTGGTACAATCATGGCTCATTGGAACCCCTGCCTCCCAGGTTCAAGTGATTCTCCTGCCTCAGCCTCCTGAGTAGCTGGGACTACAGGCGCCTGCCACCATGCCTGGCTAATTTTTTTTTTTTTTTTTTTTTTAGTTGAGATGGGGTTTCACCATATTGGCCAGGCTAGTCTCAAACTCCTGACCTTGTGATCCACCTGCCTTGGCCTCACCAAGTGCTGGGATTATAGGCGTGAGCCACTGCACCCAGCCTCCATGGCTCCTTTTTAAGCCTTGTGGTTCTCCCTGATGCCTATGAAATTTGGAAATAAGCCAGGATTTGGCCAGAGCTGGGAATCATCCACTCCGGGATTTCTCTGCTTTTAGGGATTCCCCTAATTTCCAGCTCTTCTGTTAGAACTCGGAACTCTGAACTCCTGGTACTTTCACGTAGTGATCCTGAGTGTTTGTCCCAGTACTGTTTTTGTGCAGCTGCAGCTGTGGAGATAGACAGAACTCAGGGACCAAAAAGACAAAACAAAAAACAAACAAACAAAAAACCCACACACAATTCTTTTCCTTTTCATGTGCAGGTTTTTTTAGAAACTCTCCTCCAGCTTCTGTTTTTGGATGTTTTATAGTGTCTTTATTTTTTTTAATACAGTTCTTATAACTGTTTTCCCCTCTGGATTCACATGACGACTTCACTCCTTCACTATTACCAGAAGTAAACCACTACCCCTGTTAATGTCATTTTAATTATTTCTGTATAAAAATTCTCCAGAACATTGGCAGCCACTGATGGGTAAATGTGAAGGTCTATTTTCAGGTCCTGTCTTACTGCACTTCTCTCTCCATTGTTTGAAATACCATGACTGTGCTGATGGTGCCCAGGTTCCATCTCCAGCACCAACATCTCTCCTCATGCTTGCTAACTGTCTATTCACACATTGCTTACCTTGCAGCCCTCTGGAAGAGCAGCCATTTCAAAAGACATGATGAGTACTTTAGACAACAAATCATCAGTTTCATCCCTGAGCTCCCTGAAGTCTCAAATACACTTCAGACAATCAGTGATTCATCTATGGGACTTTACATTGATAATAAATGTGAAGTTTTACTAATTTTCTTATTCTCCTTTCACAAAAGCAGAATCACAAAAGATTCAGCTTTTGTGGAGCCTGAATCTTACATAATTTGGAAAGTCTGTTTAAGGAAAAGTACAAAATTGTTATTATTATTATTTTTTGAGATGGAGTCTCGCTCTGTCGCCCAGGCTGGAGTGAAGTGGTGCCATCTCGGCTCACTGCAACCTCCACCTCCCAGGTTCAAGTGATTCTCCTGCCTCAGCCTCCGGAGTAGCTGGGATTATAGCTGTGCACCACCACACCTGGCTAATTTTTTCTTGGCTATTTTTTGTGTGTGTGTGTATTTTTAGTAGAGGCGGGGTTTCACCATGTTGGCCAGGCTGGTCTTGAACTCCTGACCTCAAGTGATCCTTCTGCCTCAGCCTCCCAAAGTGCTGGGATTACAGGTGTGAGCCACCACACCTGGTCAGGAAAAGTACAAAATTAAGAATACAAAGTTGCTAGGGCCCCTTTCAGGCCTTATAAAAGTCCCCAACTTTCATGTTTCAGTAGTGTCTAAATTTGCTTCGATTATCAAAAGTTCTGAGAAAATAATACTGTCTTATACGCACAAAGAACTTCACGTAAAGTTTCAAGTTTTTCATACATGTGCACAGAATCTCAATTGAGATTTGCATTTTTTATACCACAGTGTATCAGTAAATATTTATTAACTGAATTAACTGGCTTTTAAGTAATTTTAAGTCTTATAAGTTCGCTGTTTGGGTAAGATCAAACTAATCATGTGCCTATATCTATTTCTGCAAATGGGCAAATATTTTGCTGGCAATGGATTATCTCCAGTTGCTCCAAAAGCTTTGAATCATTAGCCATGATGAATATTAGCCATGCCTGGATGCTTGAAAGGGCAGTTTTGCTTGAGTGAGACACACTGCTGTAACCCACCTCCCCCCAGAATCTAGAAGTGCTTCTCAAAGTGCTTGGTTCTAAAACAGCTTCCATCTCAGCTTGATCACACTCAGCCACCTTAGTCTTCCCCTCAGTGAACTTACTTCCCATCCCCTTACCTTACCTTCCAATGGCACTTCTTCCCCAATCCTTAGTTATAATAACAAACTTAGAATATATCTTTTACTATCTTAAACTTACTTTTTTTTTTTTTTGAGGTGGAGTCTCGCTCTTTTTTTTTTTTTGAGGTGGAGTCTCGCTCTGTTGCCCAGGCTGGAGTGCAGTGGTGCTATCTCGGCTCACTGCAACCTCCGCCTCCCGGGTTGACGCCATTCTCCTGCCTCCGCCTCCCGAGTAGCTGGGACTACAGGCGCCCGCCACCATGCCCAGCTAATTTTTTGTATTTTTAGTAGACACGGGGTGTCACCGTGTTAGCCTGGATGGTCTCGATCTCCTGACCTCGTGATCCGCCCGTCTCGGCCTCCGAAAGTGCTGGGATTACAGGCGTGAGCCACCGCGCCCGGCCTAAACTTACTTATTAAACTACGTTTTGGCTGAAGCTGCTCTTCACTGGGCATCTGTCAAGAATTGAGGTCCACAGATTTGCAGTAAACCCTGCAGATATGACCACCGTCTCATACCATCTCAAACACTAAATATTCATTTGCTGCCTCCCTTGACAAGTTATAATTAGCCACGTACCTCTGTAGAAATTAAGTCTATCTTTTGTGAGAGTCACACTGTCAAGTTTTTAGCTCAAAGAATACTACGGAGAGGAATCTAGCTTCAGAGGGCAATGCAGAGCTGCTGTCAGTCAGAAATAATAGTTATAATTCATAATAACTAAGGCTTGATCATTACTGATAGAAATTAGCTCAGAAGAAGAGTGGCAGGGGAGAGGAATTGGGGCGACGTCAGCCAAAAGATACAGAATTTCAGCTGAACAGGAGAAATAAGTTCAAGAGATCTATTATGATACCATATGTTGACTACAGTTAATAACAATGTACTGTATTCTTGAAAACTGCTAGGAGAATAGATTTTAAGTGTTCTTACCACAAAAATGGTATGTGAGGTAATGCATATGTTAATTAACTTGATTTTGCCATTTCTCATTGTATACATGTTTCAAATCTACATATTGCACCTGATAAATTATATAAATTTTTGCTTGTCAATTAAAAACATAATTTTAAAGAAGAATGGATGAAGGCATAGGAGAAAGGGCATTTGAAATTGGAGTCTAAACTTTTTTTTTAGGGAAGCAAACAAGCAACAAAATAGATTTCTGAGCTTAGTCCAACAAACATCTGCTTCCATCCTTGGGCTTATCCCTAAGTTGAACTTGACACTCAGGCTAACCTCAAAGCATTTGTTTTAAAAGATGGGAGGGAGGCCGGGCGTGGTGGCTCACGCCTGTAATCCCAGCACTTTGGGAGGCTGAGGCAGGCAGATCATGAGGTCAGGAGATCGAGACCATCCTGGCTAACACAGTGAAACCCTGTCTCTACTAAAAAATACAAAAAATTAGCTGGGTGTGGTAGCACGCACCTGTAGTCCCAGCTATGCGGGAGGCTGAGGCAGGAGAATTGCCTAGCCTAGGGGACAGAGAGACACTCCGTCTCAAAAAATAAAATAAAAAAATAAAAGATGGGAGGGAAAAAGGGCAGGCTTCCCAGTGCTTGTCTACTAACCTGGCTTAATGTCTCTTTAATGTTTATAAAACAAAGTTGATATAAAGTAATATAGCAAATATTTTTAATTATTAACTGACTAAAAGAGCATGCTATAGCTGTTAATTTCAAGTTCTTTAAAACTTTAAAATTCAAAGATTCATGAAAAGGCTTTTATTCTTTGGCTTCTTAAACTTCTTTAAGTACAACTTAAGTTATCATTATTAGATCCGCAAAGTTCGTTTTTTGTCATGAGAGAAATAGTAAACCTTTCCAAACAAAACACAGAGACTAAAATTAGTGTAAAATGTACACAAAATGTTAACTCTTTCACCAATAGCATTGATTTGTTCATATGCATATTAGGACCCAACAGCTAATCATGATCATTATGTGATCTTCCTATTTACATTATAATTTTAAATATTTTTTCTTCACTTACAACTTTATAAAATTTGATGATTTTATTTATATATTTTTTCAATGTAGAGAGCATATTATTCAGCTAAATATCTATTAAGTGTAATAGAAATTAGTGTTTCTCAGCTAAATCAGTTGGAGATTTAGTCTTTTAAATTAGGTTGCTTTAGTGTGAGGTGGATTGCTAAACGTAGGCTACAGTAATGTGAGGGAAACATACTTTGTCTATAGGTACCTGATCACAATAATCTTACTTTTGTTTTTAAGAAAATCATATAAACTTCACATTGATTATCTCCAAAGCTAACAAATACAAATACCTTAATCAAGAGAGGTTCATTCTGACAAGCTGCACTGGCATCTTGGAGAGCTTGCTCATAGTTCTTCATGGTCAAATATAACTCCGCCCGCAGCAGCAATAATGAATTATCATCAGGAGCTGAAAGACAGGAGGAATACAAATCAATAAAAATGACTGCATTTAAAAACAAGTAATCTTAATGTCATTACATATATTAAAGTGTATATATACATATGTATAAAGTATAAATACAATACAATACAAAATAAGTATAAAAACAAAATAAGAAAGAATTCCTCCCTCCAATCATATTTAGAGTTTAGTTATTTGATAAGTATATTTTAGACAGCTCCTCTCAGGAAAACAGGAAGAAGATTAACAAGACTTGAAAAAGCACCAAGAAAAACAGACTGCCACTGAGTATTCCTACACACACACGAGCTACATCATCTCCAATAATAAATTCAGCAACTGCTGAATCCTCTCACTGCTATAACTAGGTATTTTTAGAAGAGATTTAAAATAATTTTTATGAAAGTATGCAAGGAAATTCATGTTTAAGAAACAGAAAAGTAAAACATAATTTTTTTTCTTTTTTTTTCAGACATCGAGTCTCGCTCTGTCACCCAGGCTGAAGTGCAATGGCATGATCTTGGCTCACTGCAACCTCTGCCTCCTGGGTTCAAGCAATTCTCCTGCCTCAGCCTCCCCAGTAGCTGGGATTACAGGTATGTGCCACCACGCCCGGCTAATTTTTGTATCTTTAGTAGAGATGGGGTTTCACCATGTTGGCCAGGCTGGTGTCAAACTCCCGACCTCAGGTGATCCACCCACCTCGGCCTCCCAAAGTGCTGGGATTACAGGTGTGAGCCACCATGCCTGGCCCATAATTTGTTTTTCTACACAACTTGGTAGATGTTGATTTGTCCCCATAATTGTACCTACAGTATATTCTCTTAAGGAGGGAAAGGAAAAAAAAACTCCTTTCTCTGCATTCCTCAACAGCAGAGGTCCTGATAACAACTCACATGCTGCCACAGACTTAAGTCCAGCTACACAGAAGCCAAGACTGGCCTCTCTTTGAACTGACTTGCAGTCTACGAAGTATTGACTTGGCAGGGTCCCATGGAAAAGGCTGGAAGCCAGACCTCAGAAAGGCAGAACCATCACAGCCATTTTCCATACTGTGGGGCCTGGCTCACTCTACCTTTGCCCACCTACGATCCTTGTAGGAGGGCTACAGCTATGCATTTTAGTTCAACCACAAATTTTCTGAGCTCCTAAGATGTGTTCTCATCCCTCTACCTAATGTACGTTTTCAGTTTCCTCCAAAACCTTGACCTTGATTCTTTTCAAACTACCCACTTGGTGCTTTCCAAATGCCACTAGCCTCCTTTTAGTTTATGTAGGTAACTGAGCAAGCATACACCGAAGAACTTACACACAAAGATATTACATCAAGACATGGTGAAAAGTAACTACTTATAAATGTGTCATCACCACATATGTGTAATATAGAGAAAGTATAACAAGAAAAAAGTAGAAGGGGAAAGAAACAGCAAGAGTTAAACAATACAATTTTAATTATTAAGAGAGACATTGCTGGGTATGGATAACTGGCTAGAGCAGGTGGCAGAAACTTTTTTTCTGTAACAGGCCAGATAGTAACTATTTTAGGCTTTGCAGGCAAAGAGGCAAACTGAAGGATATCATATAGATACTTGCTTAACAAGAAGGAAAACAAATTTTGACAGATTTCTTATTGACGCAATTTAAAATATGGTAACAATAATTTAAGTACTTTTTTGTAATACAGATAAACTAATGAGAAGAATGGAATTCTTGTTTGGGGAATAACATTTTTCTTAAGTTTCCAAGTTAGTGTTTCCTATCATCAAAACAACTGAAAATATTCATCTGTTAATTATGATCTAACATGAGATTTTATGTATTTCATCTTTGAAAATGCACATAGTAACTGTGAAAGTGCTGGCATCAATTCATATGATTTTAAATTGAGCATTTTAATTGCTGGGAAGACATTATAGAATTCTATTAGATTCTCCTCACGGTATCTGCCTTTTTAGCATGTTATTAGATTATTTCCAACTAAAAGATTGGTGAAAATGCCTCAATCACACAGTTAAATGCATTTTGAAATATACAATTCTCCTTTGGAGATTTCCAAAAATCCAAAGGAGATTTGGGGAAAAAAATGTAATACTTACTATAATGCTGATTTTTTTCCACATCTTCCAAAGGAGATTTGGAAAAAAAAATTTTGGAAAAAAAAAATGTGCTCCTGGAAGTATAGTTTTTTAGGCTTGGGTTATGCCTGCTGCAAACCTGTGTGAGAATGGAGATCTCATATCCTGTTTCCACTTGGCTACAGTTTCTTATTAGTCCAATCTGCCAATGGATTCTCTTGAATATTTTAAACAAGAATGTCATGTGCAATTCACTCCTTTTCATTCTAGTATTTATACTCCTATTTCCTCATGCTCTCATATTGCAATAATAGTGACAGCATTTTCTCTTATTCTTGAATTTAAAAAGCATGTGTCTAATGTTTTAACATAAAATATGTTTGTTGTAAGTTTCTGAGAGAAAATATTTATCAAGTTAGGTGATTTCTCTCCCATTCCTAGTTTTCTGTAAGGACTTTATAACAAGTAGGTGTTGAATTTTATAGACTGCTTTCAGCATCTGAGAGATTACATATAGTTATCTCCTTCAACCTGATATGGTGAATTACTCTGAAAGATTTGTCTAGTACCGAATTATCCTTATGGTCCTAGTATAAGCTCTTCTTGGTCTTAACTCCTATTACACTGCTGGACTCAAAATACTAAGAAATTTAATTAGGATTTTGACATCTATATACATATGTAAGACTAGCCTACACATTTTTTTTTCTTGTGCAAGCTTTACCTGATTGTGGTGTCAAGATTATACTAACCTTATTAAATGAGATGAAAATCTTCCCACATTTTTCTATGATCTGAAATAAGATGGAAATTAGTCACTGAAAGCTGTAAGGACTTTCTTGACCTTAGCGCCTTTTCAGCAGAAGAGAATCCCTGAGGAGCATCTCAATTTTTTTGAAGGCTTTTACTTCTTCATGGATAAATATTGATAATTTGTATTTTCCTTAAAATTGTCCTTTTTATATAAGTTTTAAAATCTTTTATAAATATCCTTTTATATCCGCAATGATGCTTCTTTATTCCTTATGGTATTTATGCCTTGCTTTTTCTTGAACACATTTATCAAATATTTGTCCCTTAATGGCCTTGGCAATGAATCAGTTTCTCACCTGTTAACTAACTCAATTTTTTTCTGTTTTACTAATATCTTGTTCATTATTCCTTTGCTTATACTATCTTTGTGTTAGCTTAATTAATCCTGATAAAGTTTCTAGTGTTAAAAATACATTTCATTTACATTTATTTTTAATCATTCTTTTCTAATGAATACATTTAAGTCTCTACTCCTCACATTCTAAAGGGTGCTTTAACTGAACTCCAAATTTCATAAAATTCACTTCCCATCTACACTTGATCTTAGCCAAAAGGCCAAGAAACAATCACTTCTCATCTCGACACTGAATGAATCACTGTTTTCTTTGTTGACGTCCACCATTTGGTGATACATTTGTGAGGACAGCACTTCACAATTTAGTCTTTTAAAACACATAAAATAAATGCTTACACATTTTCTAAGGATTAAACCTTAGGCTCAACAAAACTAAAGGAGTTCTCCAAGGATCCCTCAAAACTAAGTGGAAGAGGAAGTGCAAATTATTAAAAGTCTTTGTGTAGAGAAAACATATGGAAGAAAAATGTACATATGTACTTTCCAAAGAATTGATGCAACATTTCAGTAGGTTCACCAATTAACCCCTCTATGGGGAAAAGTCATAAGAGGGCAGCCTAAGACCCAGGCTTTGAGAGGAAAAGAAGAGATGTCTACCACAACTGTGTTTAGGGTCGACCAAAGGCTGTTTTCCAACAGCAACCCAGAGCCACTGTTGTACTAGGAGCTAGGGTTACTGCTATAAAATCTATCAAATGTGTGCAGTGGTGAGAAATGGAGGATTACATGTTATTTTACACAAGTTAAATGAGCCAGGCGTGGTGGCTCACGCCTGTAATCCCAACACTTTGGGAGGCCGAGGTGGGCGGATCACTTGAGGTCAGAAGTTTGAGACCAGCCTGGCCAATATGGCGAGACCCCATCTCTACTAAAAGTAAAAAAATTAGTCAGGTGTGGTGGAACATGCCTGTAATTCCAGCTACTTGGGAGGCTGAGGCATGAGAATTGCTTGAACCTGGGAGGTGGAGGTTGCAGTGAGCCAAGACTGTCCCACTGCACTCTAGTCTGGGTGACAGAGTGAGACCCAGTTTCAAATAAATAAATAAACAAACAAATGGACACATAAAGCAATAAAAACTGGGTAGTGTTCTCTATGAAAAGAAAGAATAAGTGGCAATACTCCTCAAAGCCTATTTATTCAAATTGATGGAAGACTGTAATTACAGAGTCAAGTCCACAAATCTTAGGTGTATATCTCAACCTTTGCATGTGTACCCGTGCCATCATCATGTAGTTCATTCCCAGGGCCTAAGAAGGTTCCCTTGTGCACTATCCCACTCAGTGTGCCCCTCCTAAAGGTAACCACCATTCTCACCTCTGTCACTTTGGATTACTTTATCCTGTTTTCTAACTTCTATAAATGGATATTTATAAATGGAATGTACTTTTTTGTATCTGACTTCTCACTAAATTATCATTCTGTGAGATTCATTCTTATTGTTATATGTCTCAGTAATATTTTTAAATTAATATTTTAAAAAATTTAAAAATTGCTGTGTAATATTACACTGTATGACTTGATTTATTTACTCATTCTACTAGTGATGAACAATTGAACTGTTCCCCAAATGTTTCTGGCATATATAAATAAAGCTGCAATGAACATTCCTGTACACATATTTTGATGGACATAAGCATTCATTTTTATCTAGTATATACTCAAAAGTAGAAATGCCACATCAGAGGTTGTACGAGTTTAGCTCTAGCAGGTGCTAACAAACACATTTCTTAAGTTGTTGTACAAACTTATGCTTCCATCAGTAATTTAAGAGTTCCAATTGCTGCAAATAAAAACTAAGTATTGCCAGTTCTTTTCATTTCAGCTACTCTGGTGGGGATGTACTAACTTACTTTCATTTTAATTTGCATTTGAGCACTAATTATGTTGTGCAGTCTTTTAGATGTTAATTGCTCACTTTGAGATCTAGTTTTTAACTCTTTGCCTATTACGTAGTTTCAGCTAAAGTTGTTTCTATCAATGGTGTTAAGTGAGTACTTACTGTGTTTAGACAGATTGGCTTTTTCTTTTTGAATCATAGGCATTATTTATTCTGCATTAGAGGTCTCAGTAAGATATTTGTATACTCATCCCCTTCTCACTTTTTTGGGGGCCTCTGAGGAACAGAAGTTTTATTGTTATGCTTTTTGTGTCTTATTTAAGAAACAACTGCCTACCCCAAGTCCTTGAAAACAGTCTCCTATGACTCCTAGATACTTAATTGTAATTTTGTTATATGATGTGAGATAGGTATTCAGGTTTATTTTTTTCCATATAAAAAAGCAACTGACTCTTTTTTCCCCATTGAATTTTTCCCCATTGAATTCCATTAGCATCTTTCAGAAAATCAAGAGACTGTATATGTGAGAGTCAGTTTCAATGTGTCTATTTTTAAGCCAATACAATGCTGTCCTAATTACTGCAGCATTATAGTAAGTATTGGAATCTGCCAGTGTAAATCCTCCAGCTTTGTTGTTTTTCTTCACTGTTGCCTTGGCCATTCATCAATTTCCACCAAAAACACTGGCTAGGATTTTCTCTGAGATTGCACTGAATTTACCATTCAATCAGCAGAGAACTGACGTCTTGCCAATACTGAGTTTTGCAATCCATGAAAAAAAATGATATATCCATCCATTTAAGTCTGCTTTAATTTCTCTCAGAAATGTTTCATGTTTTCAGTGTATTGAAATGAAATTTTCAGTGTAGAGGTATTAAACATCTTTCAGCTATTTCAGGATTTATTCCAAGGAATTTGTTTACATAAATTGTTTAAAGTTTTTTTCCTATTTGTTTTTTCTAAGTATATAGTTATGTTTGATAACCTCTATATTGACCTTGTAGTCAGCAATCTGGATAAATCATTTATAATTTCTAATAGTTCCTACATTCTTCTGGAGTTTCTATGTATGCCAGGTCATCTACAAATAATGACAGTTTTTTGTTTTATCTTTTATTTTTCCAATCTTAATACATAGCTATCTAGAATCTCCAGTGAAATGCTGAGTGGCAGTGAGAATAAAACAGTGTTACCTTCTCATTCAATGGGAAAACATTATTTCATCATTAATTATGATAGCTGCTATCTCATTTTTGTAGACTTTTAAAAAATTAAGAAAGTTCCTTTTTATTCGTAGTTTCCTGAGAGATGCATCATATCATTTTTCTTTTTTCTGTAAAGATGGTGAATTACATTGCTTGATTTTCCAGGATTAAACAAAACTTAACCTGCTTGCTACTGATGTGATATTCTTTAAGGGTATCAATGGATTCAGTTTGCTAATATTTTATTTAGGATTTTTGCAACTATATTCGTAAGAAACATTGGGCTGTATTTTTCCTGTCTTGTTACTGATTTTGGCTCCTTTATTTCCTTCTTTGTACTCTCTTTGGATTCTATTTGCTTTTCTTTTCCTAGCATCTTGAAATGGAAGCCTAAAGATCACTGACTATCAGCTGTTCTTTGGTAGTATGGGCATTTAAAACAGTAAGTTTCCCTCTAAGCACTGTTGCATTGCATCCCACAGTGTTTGATATCTGTATTTTCATTATCATTCAGGCAAAATAGAAAATTTTCTGGCCGGGTGCGGTGGCTCACACCTGTAATCCCAGCACTTTGGGAGGCAGAGGCGGGCAGATCACGAGGTCAGAGATCGAGAGCATCCTGGCTAACACAGTGAAACCCTGTCTCTACTAAAAATACAAAAAATTAGCCAGGCGTTGTGGCAGGTGCCTGTAGTCCCAGCTACTGGGGAGGCTGAGGCAGGAGAATGATGTGAACCTGGGAGGCAGAGCTTGCAGCGTGCTGAGATCGTGCCACTGCACTCCAGCCTGGGCAACAGAGCGAGACTCCATCTCAAAAAAAAAAAAAAAAAAAAGAAAGAAAATTTTCTAATAATTATTAGAAATTCTAATAATTCTAATAATTATTAGATAATTAGAAAATTTTCTACTTTATGTTGTGATTCATTTTACCCATCATTATATAAAAATATATTGCTTAATTTCAAAATATCTGAAGATATTCTATTTATGTGCTATTTAATTTTAGTTTAAGTCCACAGTGTTTAAAGAACATATACAGTCTGGTTTCAATCTTTTAATATTTATTACGACTTCTTTCATGGCCTAATCCAGGAGTTGGCAAACACAACCACAGGCCAACTCCAACGCTCTGCCTATGGTCATGGGAGCCTAAATGGCTATGTTTTTGCAGTAGTTGTATGTAGTGACACATATTAATTAAATCTAAGTGCTGAAGTATGTTGTATCTATATCCTTACTTATTTTGCAATCCTTACTTTATCAGTTACTAAAAGTTTTGTTCAACATCTCCAATTATTTCCCCTTTTGCTTTTGTCTCCTTTTGTTCTCTCCATATGTGTGTGTGTACACTTGTTGTTAGGTGCATAAAAATTTAGGCATATTATTACACATTTTTTTTCTGTTGAACTGGCCCATTCATCATAAATGTCTTTATTTCTTCTGATATTCCTTGCCTTAAAGAATACTTTATCTGATAGTCACTTTGCCATATCAGGCTTTTGTTTGTCAGTCTTTGTTGCCATCCTACTAATTTTAACCTTTTTTTGTGTTCTTACACCTAAAGTTTACCTCGTGTGTAAACAGCATGTAGCTATACTTCACTTAATCCAATCTGCCAACATTTAGTTTTTAAATGGGAAATTTAGGTCTTCACATTTAATGTAAATTAAATCCCCATTTTTCTATTTCTTTTCTAGTTGTCCCACTTATTCTCTCCTTCTCTATTCTTCCCTCCCATTTTCTTTTGGATTAATCCAGTATTACTTTACTATTCCACTATAGCTTTTTTTTAATTTTACCTTCCTATTGGTGGTTACCCAAGACAACAGAATATGCAAACCTGATTTAGCAGTCTACTTTAAATTGGTACTGTTACTACCTCCAAAACAGTGTACAAACCATACAACAATTTAACTGTATTTACCCATTCTGGCTTTGTCCTGTTGCCATATCTTTCACTTTTATGTATGTTACAAATACCACAAGACATTATTATTGTTATTTGAAATAGTCAATATTGTCTCATATTGTTACACCTTCTAGCACTCTTTACTCTGTGCATTAGTTTCACGCTTCCATATGGATACGTTTCCTTTAGCCTGAAGACTTTCCCTCAGTATATCATGAAATGCAATTCTGATGGTAATAAAATCCTTTAGCTTGAGTTATTTCTTTGGTTTAAAGCACCTTGATTTTGTGAAAAATATTTTCAGGTAAAGAATTCCAGCTAGGTTTTTTTTTTCTTTCAGCACTTTAAAGACATTATTCCATTAGCTTCTAGCTTCAATAATTTTGTCTAAAAGTCAACTGTCAGTCTTCTATGATTCCTTCGAAGGAAATATGTCCTGTCTTCTCTAAATGCATTTAAATTCTCTTTATCTTTGATTTTCAGGAACTTGACTATAATGTACTTGGATGGGTTTTGTGTGTATGTTTGTGTGTGCACTTGTGTCCACCCTGTTGGGCTTAGTGAACTTTTTGATTCAGTGATTTAAAGTTTCTCATCAGATTTGGAAAATTCTCAATTACTTTTTTCTTTAAATATTTCTCTTGCCCTTCCCCTCTCTCTTCTTCCAGGATTCCAATTTCATCGATGTTGGAACTTTTGTCTGTGTCTCACATAACTCCCATGCTCTCTTTTAGTCTTCTTCTGTGATTCAGTTTGGATATTTTCTGTTAACTTGCTTCTGAGTTTTCTCATTCAGATTTCTGATGTGTGCCATCTGGTTTGTAACAAATCTAATTCTCAACTTCAGACATTGTATTTTGAATTTCCAGGATACCCACTTGGTTCTTTTTTATGGACAATTGTCTTCTGAATGCTTTATATTTTCATACATTTATTTACCTCTTTCAACATACGTACTAGTTATTTTAAATTCCACTCATAACTTATCGGCCAAAAGTAGTCACATGGCTCCACCTAATCACAAGTGGAGCGGGAAGTGCAATCCTACCTTGCCTGGGGAAGGTATAGAGATAGACCAGCACTAATGACTACCACACTTCGCTAAGGTCACATAATAAATAAGCATCAGACATCAGGTGTGGTGGCTCATGTCTATAATCCCAGCACTTTGGGAGGCTGAGGCGGGCAGATCACTTGACTACAGGAGTTGGAGATCAGCCCGGACAACATAGTGAAACACGTCTCTACTAAACACACACACAAAAAAAATACGAGGCATGGTGGTGCATGCCTGTAATCCCAGTTACCTGAGAGGCTGAGGCACGAGAATCACCCTTGAACCCAGGAGGCAGAGGTTGCAGTGACCGATATCATGTCACTGCAGTCCAGCCTGGGTGACAGAGCGAGACCTTGTCTCAAAAAAAAAAAAAGAAAAGGCCAGGCATGGTGGCTTACACCTGATATCCCAGCACTTTGGGAGGCTGAGGCGGGCGGATCACAAGGTCAGGAGATTGAGACCATCCTGGCCAACATGGTGAAACCCTGTCTCTACTAAAAATACAAAAATTAGCTGGGCATGGTAGTGCGTGCCTGTAATCCCAGCTACTTGGGAGGCTGAGGCAGGAGAATTGCTTGAACCAGGGAGTCGGAGGTTGTAGAGCCACGCCACTACACTTCAGCCTGGTGACAGAGCAAGACTCCGTCTTAAAAAAAAAAAAAAAAGTCAGAGCTTGGATCTAAACACAGGTATTTCTGATTCCAAACATCTGTGAACTTTTTTTTTAACTATATCAAAACCTCTTTAAAAGGGCTAATTTATTTTGAAATTAAATGTTTTCATAAAATTTTAAGCTAATCTTTGAATAGAAAAATGAATACATTCTATATAAGTTCTCATATGAATTTACTGAAATAGCCTATTTTAAAAACGTTTAAATTAGGTCTAATATATATACAGAAAAGCTAAAAATATAAGTATATAGTGCAATGAACTATTGCAAAGTGAACACACTTGTGTATCCATCCCCTAAATCATGAAACAGAACATCACCACTACCCCACAGATCCCTCTCATACTTCCTCACAATCACTATTCCCTTTTCATCCCCCCAAGGTAACCATTGTCCTTACTTCTAACATCCTACAGTAATTTTGTCTGTTTGGGCTTACAGATAAATAGGATCATATAGTAAAAATGCTTGAGTCTGGCTTCTTCCACTTAACATTATGTTTGTGAGATTTGTCCACATTGTAGTTTGTAACTGTAGTTGATTTATTTTCTTTCTGTATAGTATGCTATGAAAACATAATCATATATTCACCCCTTCTGCTCTTACTGGACATTTGGGTTGTGTGCACTTTTGGGGTATCTCTAACAATGACATACACTCTTGTATCTAATTGCACATTCTTTTGGGGGCACATATGCATATACCTCTTTGAAACTATTTGGCCAAGGACAGGCTTAACATCTGTAGATACTACCAAATATTTTTCAGGGGCATAATTTGCAGTCCCATTAGCAGCATATAAATATCACAGTTTTCATTTTTCTACATCTTCTCCAACATCTAAATACAGATGAAGTATTTCTGATGAAAATTTGATGTTGGAATTGGGTAGTGCAGTAAATGCAAAATATATAACGAATTTCAAAGGCTTAGTTTAAAAAAGTAAAATCTCAATTATTTTTTAAAATTGAAGGCATGTTGAAATAATATTTTGGATGTATAGGGTTAAAAATTGCTAAAATAAATTTCACCTGCTTTTTTCACCCTTTTAATGTAGCTACAAGAAAATCCCAAATTATGTGTGGCTTACACAATAGTTCTAATTGGATAGTGCTGCTCTAACACCATCAATACCTAAATTAGTAGAAAACTAAAAAATATGCCTGTTAAAGTATGGATATGTTGGTTGCAAAAACTACAGAATACTCGTTAGAAAAGCTGAGTTAAGTGCTCTATTCCAGCAGAGAATATCCCAATTTAGATACAGATATTGAACACTTGTTCAATATTTGGATCTTTTTTTTTGCAAGACAAAATTGAATGCTAGTCACTTTATAATTTGTGCCTTCTAAAAGGGAAAACCTTAATCCTAAGTTTAAAATAAAATGTGCACTGACTACAGCATGGTAGTAGATTATTTTAGTAACAAGAGATTCAACAAGTCTTCTCGGCTAGTGCTTTAAATCGTATATGCCCTATTATAAAACCGGTGAAACCAGAAAGCAAACCGTCCTCCTCACACTGCCCAAAACAACTGCCAATAGAGCGCATACTCATATGTCAAAGCCAAAACGATGACAGAAGTTTGGTCTTCCTTTCAGCTAAATAGTGTTAACAGGTGGTGGCTGGGTGAAGGCAGGAGAGTGCCTGTTGCTGGCCTTAGGCCTCAGATAAATAAGGAAATGACTGAATGAACAATTTAAAACTACACACACTAGTCAGTGTAACTATCTAGTAAGTTAAATACGCCATGACATCTAATGATGGCCTCTGAGACAGAGAGCAGGCTAGAGCCGGAGCGTTTGACGTGATTACAGCAGAGTGGAGGCGGTTCCTTCCTGGCTATATTAGCTGAAACCCAAAGCAAATCTTGCCCCAGCACAAGGCACCCCTTTCTGCGCCTGTAGTGTGTCAGCTATGTGCATTTTCCTTCAGGATGAGCAAAAATATTTCGTCATCCTCCCCGCTCCTCAACAGCGCAGAAGATGCCGAAAAGCAATTACAGGACCTTACAGAGCTGCTCCGGGGGCCGCGGGAAACTTACCAGCATCCTGGAAAAGACAAAACCAGTGGGGTGCACTTGGCCTCTCCTGGCTGCAGGGTGTGGCCGCCCCCACCTTTCACCTTCCCATCCTTAGGAAGCAAAGTGACCCCTAAGCCTAGACAAAGCTCTCGAAAGCCCAAAGCCTCGGGCCCACCGGCCAGCTCCCCACCCCGCTGCTGGGCCGGACAGGTGTAGGGGAGGCGGACCCGCCCCGCAGCCGACTCACCCAGCTCCAGGGCCTGGTCGCACCTGAGCAGCGCGGCCTCCGGCTGCTGCTGGCGCTGCAGGCTCCGCGCCTGGCCTGCCAGCCTGCGCAGCCGGCACTCGGCCGGGAAGCACTTCTCCAGCAGGCCGCTCAGCACCACGTTCACGCGCCGCACCTGCGGCCGCGCGGGCCCTGGCTCCACGCAGCGCTTGCAGACTGTGAGCCCGCAGGGCAGCGTCACCGGCTTATGCAGCAGCCGCCGGCAGCGCGGGCAGCCGAGCAGGTCGCGGGGCGCGCGGGGCTCCGGGGCCGGCCCTCCCTCGCCGGGCGCCTCGGGCTCGCCGCCCGGGTTCTCCGCGGACAGCGGCCGGTCGCGCAGGCCCACGGCGCGCACCAGGCCGCCCGCCAGCTCTTCCAGCTCCTCCGGCCGCAGCGCCCCGAGCCGCGCGGCGCCGCGGAACGCGCCCAGGGCTTCGGGGAGGCGGCCGGCGCGGGCCAGCGCGTCCCCCAGCCTCAGGCACAGGCCGCGGTCCGGCTGCGCCAGCCCGGCTAGCATGGAGCGAAAGAGCTCGGCTGCCATCTCGTAGTCGCCCGCGCGGAAGGCCTCGTCGCCCTCCTCTAAGCGCTGGGCGATCGGCTCCGCGCGGTCGCAGCCAGGACACTGGGGCGGCGGCGGCGGCGGGACCGGCTCGGGGCTCATCACCGCGGGGCTGCGACGACGCGGGTCCGGAGCGAAGGCGCGGAGCAGGGAGGATGCGCTGCTGCTGGGAACTGGCCGGCGGGAGCGCGGTCTCAGCCCTCGCCAGCAGCCACGCGCGTCTGGGGGCGGCGCGCTGCGAGCGGCTGAGACCGCGGGCGGGGGCGGGCGCCTGGCTTGGGCAGCGTCCTCAGCGCGGTGTGGGCGGCGAGCCCCGCAGGGCTGCAATCGTTCCGGGGTGGGGGCCGGGACAGGCACCGCGGGCGCAATCTGAGCCCCTGCCCACGCGCAGCGGCCTCTCAGTCCCGCCGGCTTAGGTAACCCAGGTCGCTGCGGTAACGCAGTGACCGCGCTCCAGGTCCGCGTCTCTTGCGATGCTTCCCCCACTCGCCTGAGGGCTCCTGCGCGACTGCGCGCGCGTCCTCTGCCTGCCGCCTCCCCGCAGAGGTGCCGGGGCCCTGGGAGCAGGTGGCCTTGGCCGCGGGCTGCTGGCGCGCCGGCACCGCGGCACCTGCTCTTCCCCAGAGGCCTGGCCGCCCCCACAACCTGTGGCTCCGCTTAAGCAAGAACCCAGGAAAAGTCACCAAACGCATCACGCATCTCTAGCTTCGACTTAGGAAATTGTCCTAAATGACTGGGGAGGCTGAAGTGGGCACCCAGAGGCCCCGCCTCAGCGAGCTTCTTCTCTTAACTCTAGGCTGAGGCCTTTGAGAACTCATTTTAACAGAGAACGTGGAGGGCCAAGAGAACCAGATACCAGGAGGAGGAGGGATTCGAGAAGTGGACAATTGTATTGTGCCCTTGATTAGGAAGCAGAAATAGAATTAGAAATAGAATTCTAATTAATAGAATTAGAATAGAAATAGAAAGGGTGCCCTAGTATGGAGTACTGCAGACATAAGTTGCTGGGGAGAGGGAGCTAAACGCTCCGTTGGTGTACAAGCAAGGTTTAAATTAAAATCCTCTGTGCGTATTAACCGGGTTCATAATTTCTCCTATATAGCCTATGTATTTCTCCTATGTAGCCTGCTCCCTTCTTCCTGTCGTCACAGTATCTGTTTTATCCTGTGTATTTGAATACAATAAAATGCATTACAATATTCTAGAATTCATACTACTGTTCATATTTCAAGAATAAATTTTTTTAAAAAATTGGAGAGGTTTTTCTACATCTAAAACTGCTGGCTAAAGAAAATATACAATACCTCGACCACATCTGGCTTTGGGAAAGGAGAAATGCCTCATTAAGTGAGAGAACATTTTAGACCAGTTCCTAAAAGGGAAAAAGGGGCAATTTTTGGCCAGCCCTCTAGTTCTACAATAAACAAATGCAGAGTACCCACCTCCTTTTCCATGAAGGATTTCCCCCAGCTGTCTACCTAACTTAATTGATAACAGTGTACTGTTTGGGTCTCTTTTTCATTACTGAATTATTTCAAATTCACTTTTTCAATCACTGTTTGGATTTTTATCTGCTTTCTTTATAGAATAACAATTCACTTATATTTGAGGGTCATTTATCCATCAAATTCACAACCAACAATCAGGAAGCAATGGGGAAAAAGCTTCAGAGCACAGACCATACAGTAAAGATTGTGAAACCTTATGATCTCAGATCCTATTTGTTCTTATTTTAGACAAATATCTAGCAAGAGAACAGAAAGAAGCTTGCCGGAGGTATGCCTGCTGAGAGCCAGAAGTGTTTAAAGCAAAAATGTTAGTGTGTTGTGAGGTTTATAACACATAGAAATAAAATATATCACAAATATAACACAAAGGCAGGTAGAGGAGAAATGGCAGGATACTGTTGTAAGGTTCTAATGCTATATGTGAAATGGTATAATGTCACTTTAAGAAAGACTGTAATGAGTTAAGGATGTGTCCTCTAACCCTAAAGCAACCTCCTAAATAACACAAAGAGCTATAGTTTAAAAGCCTATAGAGATGAAATGAAATTGTTAAAAAAAACTCTATTAATCCAAAAGAAGGCATAAAAAGAGAGGAAGGAAACAATTAGATAAAACAAATAGAGAACAAATAGCAAGATGGCAGGTTTAAACCCAATTATATCGGTTAATGTTCATTAAATATTGTCTAAATACCATAATTAAAAGGCAAAGATTGTCAAAAGGAAGACCCAGATATATGCTGCCTACCAAAAAAGAACTTTTAAATATGAAAATACAAATAAGGTAAAGGTAAAAGGATGGAAAAAGATGTTCTAGTTAACTCTAAGCAAAATAAATCTAGAGTGACTATATTGATAGCTGACAAAGTCTATTACATAGCCAAGAACATTGCTAGGAGAAAGGACAGCCATTTCATAATGATAAAGGTGTTAGTTGGTCAAGAGGACATAATAGTCCTAACCGCGTGTGTTCCCAATAACAGAGCTTTCAAATATTTGAAGCAAAAACTGATAGAACTGTAAGGTGAAATAGGTAAATTAATAATTATAGTTGGATATTTAAATATCCCTTTTTCACCATAAAAAGAACAAGATCATGTCCTTTGTAAGGACATGGATGGAGCTGGAAGCCGTTATCCTCAGCAAACCAACACAGGAACAGAAAACCAGATGCTGCATATTCTCACTTATGAGTGGGAACTGAACAATGAGAACACATGGACACAGGGAGGGGAACAACACACACTGGGGCCTGTCGGCGGTGGGACCGAGGAAGGGAGAGCATGAAGAAAAATAAGTAATTCATGTGGGGCTTAAAACCTAGGTGATGGTTTGATAGGTGCAGTAAACCACCATGGCACACGTTTACCTATGTAACAAACCTTCACATCCTGCACGTGTACCCCAGAACTTAAAAATAAAACACCCCTCTTTCAACAATTAATACAAGTATACTGAAAATCAGTGAGGCTATAGAAGACTTGAGCAATTCTACAAACCAACTCAATCTGATTGATGTTTATAGAACACTCCACCCAACAATAGCAGAATACACATTCTTTCCAAGTGCACATGGGACATTTACCGATATAGAACATCTTAGAGCCATAAAACAAATCCCAATTTAAAAGTATTCCTTCTAGGGCACTGATACATCAATAAATTGGATCAAATTGAGGACTTCTGCTGTTTTAAAGACACTGCTAAGACATGCTACACACTAGGAGAAAATATTTGCCGATCACATAGCTGATAAAGTACGAACCAAAAATATATAAAGAAATCCAAGAACTCAATAAGAAAATACAGAACTGGATTAAAAAGTGAGTGGAAGATTTGAACAGTCATTTCATTACAGAAGACATATTGATGGCAAATAAGATGCTCAGCATTATGAGCCACTGGGGAAATGCAAATGAAACCCCAAGCAGTTAGTACTGCACACCTAGTGGAATGTCTGTGATTAAAAAGGCTGACCATGCTGAGTGCTGGCAAATACAGGGCATATGCAGAACTCTCACACATTGTCAGTGGGAGTGTACCATGGTGCAGCCACTTTGGACTACAGTTTCTTAAAATGTTAACTGTATACTTATCATATTAACCACCCATTCCACTTCTAGGTATTTATCCAAAAGAAATAAAAGCATATGTCCATTCAAACACTTCTACATGAACCTTCATAGCAGCTTTATTTGTAACAGCCCCAAGCTAGAAATAATTCAAATGTCTTTCAACGGGTGAATGAACAAATTATGATTTCTCTACACAATTGAAAACTACTCAGAAATAAAAAGGAATGAACTATTAATGTATCAAATAACATGTATGAAATTCAAAATAATTATGCTGAGTGAAATAATACAGCAAGATAGAGTACGTATGTATAAATTATTCTATTTATACAAAAATCTTAGGCTGGGTGCGGTGGCACATGCCTGTAATCCCAGCACTTTGAGAGACCAAAGCGGGCAGATTGCTTGAGCCCAGGAGTTCGAGACCAACCTGGGCAACATGGTGAAACCCCTTCTCTACTAAAATTACAAAAAATTAGCCAGGCATGACAGCACATGCCTATAGTCTCAGCTACTCAGGAGGCTGAGGTAGGAGGATCGCCTGAACCCAGGAGGTCAAGGCTGCAGTGAGCTATGATTGCACCACTGCAGCCTGGGCGACAGGAGTGAGACCCTGCCTCAAAAAAAAAAAAAAAAAATCTTGAAAGTATGAGTGAATCTACACTAATAGAATCTACACTACACATGAGTGGTCATGTGGGGATGGGAAGAGGGATTACAAAGATCCATGAGGAAACTTTTAGGGATGATGCATACATTTGTTACCTTGATTGTGGCGATGTTCTCATGGGTGTATTTGTGTGTCAGAACTTATCACAATGTATACTTTTTTATTACAAAAACCATTTTTTATAGAGATGGGGTTTCACTGTGTTGCCCAGGCTGGTCTCGAATTCCTGAGCTCAAGCGATCCATCTGCCTTAGCCTCCCAAAGTGCTGGGATTACACACATGAACCACTGCACCTGGCCTATATACTTTAAATATATGCATCTTATTGTATTGCAATTATACCTCATTGGGGCTGCTTTTAAATATGTGTCGATTTAAAGAGAGGTACTCAAAAATTAAAATTTTAAAAAATATATAGGATGCTTCTAAAGCTATATTTCACAGAAAACTATAGCCTTAAATGCTTGTGTTAAAAAATAATAAAAACTAAAAAGCAATGTGTTAAACATCTAATTCAAAAAGTTGGGGATTAAAAACCAACAGAATAAACCCCAAAAGTAGTAAGAAGACAAAGAGAAGAAACTAGTGAATAGTTCTTATCTTGGTAAAAAGAAGATACAGATATCAACTCAAAAGGTGAGAAAAAGGAGCAAACGGGCAACAAAATGAAACACTGTAAGAGGACAGAAATAAGTTAAAATGTATCAAAAATGTTAATAAATGTAAGAAGACTAAATTTACCAATTAATCACTGAATATATCAGATTGTAAAATAATCCAGTCCAACTATATGTTATTTTAAAGAGGTACACCTAAATTATGAAAACAGATGTAAGTTAACAATAAAAAGATGAAAAAAGATATATCAGGTAAATGCTAACAAAAATAAAGCTAGGATGGCTGTATTAATAGCAGATAAAATAGATTTTAAGGCAAAAAGCACCTAATGATACAAGGTTCAACTCACCGTGAATATACTAAATTCTAAGCGGCTATGAAATTAATAAGATTCTCAAAATGTATAAAGAAAAGAAATTGATGCAACTACTTGGGTAGACAAGAAGTGGTGAGTGAAAGTGAAATTTTACTCTTTTTAAAAGGATTTTTTTTTATAAAGCCCCTTTTTTTTATTTTTTATTTTTTGTTTTTTGAGACGGAGTCTTGCTCTTTCGCCCCGGCTGGAATGCAGTGGCGTGATCTCGGCTCACTGCAAGCTCCGCCTCCTGGGTTCACGCCATTCTCCTGCCTCACCCTCCCGAGTAGCTGGGACTACAGGTGCCCGCCACCACGGCTAATTTTTTTGGTATTTTTAGTAGAGACGGGGTTTCACCGTGTTAGCCAGGATGGTCTCGATCTCCTGACCTCGTGATCTGCCAGTCTCGGCCTCCCAAAGTGTTGGGATTACAGGCGTGAGCCACCGCGCCCGGCCAAAGCCCTTTATTGTACAAGATTTCAAGCAGGCATAGCCGAAGCAGAGAGGAGAGTAGTAACAAAGCACCACGTATCCATCTCCCAGCTTCAACTCACAGCCTATCTTGTTTCTCACTTTTCCTTCCCCTGCCCTTTTCAACAGACATCTAGATATCAAATCGTTTCATCTGTGAATAACTCAACATGTATCCCCAAAGGGTAAGGAATCCTTTAAAAAGAAAACACCACACCTTCATCACATTTTTTAAAAAAGTCATGTGATGTCATCGAATATCCAGTCAGTTCGTAATTCTCTGACTGTCTTACCACTTTTCAAGTTTGTTTGCTTGAGTCAGAATCAGAATTCAAATAAAGTCCATATATTCTTATTGGTTTATATCTCTCATCAGTGTCTTTCAACATATAAGCTCTCCTTTATCTTTTTAACCTTTATTTATTTATTTATTTATATTTATTTTTTGAGACAGTCTTGTTCTGTCGCCCAGGCAGGAGTGAAGTGGTGTGATCATGGCTCACTGCAGCCTGGAACTCAAGCCATCCTCCCACCTCAACCTCCCAAAATGCTAGGATTACAGGTGTGAGCCACGGCCTCGACTTTCCTTTTCAATTTTTTGACGAAGAAACCAGATCATACGTTTGTAGATCAAAATGTCAGGTTGTCTGTTTGTGCTGTTAACAGCCATTGATGATCATTGCCCAGATCCAGTTTCATTCATTAGAAGTTGCCAAAAGGTGATGTTTTAATGACTGTTCAGTTCTTCTTAACTTATTTGCTGCAATACTTCTATAAAGAGAAACTCCCTCTCGTTATCTGTTTAACCCAACAGTTTGAATGGGAATTTTAAAAAATTATCAGTTTTAAAAAAACAAGTTAGTTTCCTAACATCCTCCAAAGGTAAATGGTATTTTATTATTCACCATTATGAACACATAGATTTAAACATATCTGATATACTTTAATCCACTGCTGTTATAATTGTTATTAATGTTCCCATCATTCCAGTAGAAGCCTCTGAAATTTGGGGGCTGAGATTTTTTTGACATGACCCTGGAAGTCTTTGAGAGCCTCCTTGCATTCTGGAATAACAAAATGTAAGTTCCTTTGGCACATTTTCTGTGCTGGGTTTGGAACCAGCTGTTTCTCCAAGGAGCCCTGGTTTCTTTAGTGGGAAAGAGTAATCAGAAAATAATCTGGCCTTAGGGGTGCTTTTTTCTTTGTTTCTTCTGGGTGGGTCATCGTTTCTAGACCTCTTCAATGGAAAGTGGTTTTCATTTTATCTTTATGCACCATGTTTTTGAAAAATATGCATATATATATATATTTCAAAAATTTTTAGGAGTTATCTAGATTTTAGGGCTATATGTTTTACATTAAAATATAATGTATGTTTAAAACACATATGGTATTCAACTTTATGCTTTTTATTTTAAAAATATAATAAATGTTAAAAATATATGTGGTACCAATGTCATCCTAGTTCTCTAAAACTAAAAAATAATAATAATAATAATAATGCATTTCAAGACTGGTCTGAGAGTGGTCTGGTATTTCAAACAAAGCATTAAGTATCTACTATTCATCTAGCAATAAATATCTTTAAGGATACCAATAAAATAAGCAAATGAGAATTCCTGGCACTCTGTCATTTAATTTAGAGATTTTTAAAGGAACTGATGGTTATGAAATACTTGGTATGAAGAAGACTATTTGCCTTTGTAATTAATTCCAGATAATTTGATAAGCAGCACTATTTTTTCAATTACAAATAGCAATGTCCTAGATGCTGAGATGTGTCACTTCTTACAGCACTGGAATGAAAGATGTAAGTTACAAAGATACAAGTTATAAAAAAAAAGTTACAATAGCATGTTACAAACACTTCTCAGCAACATGTTCCAAGAAGCATTCAAGTATGGTAACATTTATGTGGGTAATTACCTGTAAAATAAGTTAAAACACTTTTTAATAATTTAGTTATGATGGACAGCAGAGCTTTTTTTTTTCCAACCTGACTTGTAGATTGTTTCTCAATATTTATATCACCACAGGCTAATAATCTTACTTCTCTGTGTCTTATTCCCTCCTGTACAAAAGGAAATTAATACACATTCCTTATACTACCATATATTCACTACATTGTTTTTGGAAAAATTCACATAGAATTTCAAATTCTATGTGAAATGCGTTTGCAATGACATCTTTGGAAAAGTATACATTTTTGCTTTTTTCTGCACATTCTAAAGGCTGTCATAGTATTTTTATCTTGGAACATATTTGGGGGTAGCAGGGAGGGAGTTCTGCATTTGAAAGGGCCCAATACTTAGCTAGAGTGGAAAAAGAGGGTGCTGCAGGGCTCTGATCCTTCCTGCAGAAGGGGTGAGCCCACCTTGACAAATCTAATCTTTATATTGCAAGATCCTCTATGACAAAGTTTCCCAATCTTGTTTTACTAGTGAACACTTTTCATGGAAATATGTAACTACAGACCCCCTGTAGATCATAAGTTTTGTAAGATATATGTAAAAAGGTGACTTTCAGTTAAAATCTTTTAAGAACAGGATGTTATTTTTACTCTTTAAAAAAATGTCGCCCAGGCTGGAGTGCAATGGCGCGATTTAGGTTCACTGCAACCTCTGCCTCCTGGGTTCCAGTGATTCTCCCGCCTCAGCCTTACGAGTAGCTGGGATTACAGGCACCCGCCACCATGCCCAGCTAATTTTTGTATTTTTTAGTAGTGATGGGGTTTCACCGTGTTGGCCAGGCTGATCTCGAACTCCTGACCTCAGGTGATCCACCTGCCTTGGCCTCCCTAAGTGCTGGGATTACAGGCGTGAGCCTCCACGCCCAGCCAAAATTTTTTTTTTTTTTTTAAGACAGGGTCTCTCTCAGTTGCCCAAGATGGAGTCCAGTGCCGCAGAGTTCACCGCAGCCTTGACCTTCCTGGACTCAGGTGATCCTCCCACCTCAGTCTTCCTGCAGCTGGGGGTATAGGTGCATACCGCTATGGCCGGCTAATTTTTAAATTTTTTGTCTTGACATGTTCTCCTTATGCTGCCCAGGCTGGTCTTGAACTCCTGGGTTCAAGCGACCCTCCCACATTAGCCTCCCAAAGTGCTGGGACTGTAGGCATGAGCCACCACACTTGGCCAGGAAATTATTCTTAAATTATATTAAAAGTAATTTTAGTACCTTTATAAAGTATTATGTAAAGAAAAAAATACTGTTTTCCTAATATTAAAGACACATCACCCAATTTAATTATGTAAGAAAAGAATGATTTGTTGACAAATGTGGAACTGCTCACTGTTCTTGTTCTCAGAAATGAGTGTGCACTGAAGTGTAGATTGAAATTTAATTAAGGTTTAGGCCTAAAAATACGCAAAAACCACTATTATGTCTTAATATTTGGAATTATTGAATTTTGGCTTCACAAAAAGCAACAGGTTTCTACTTACAAGTAATGTTTTGTTACTAAACAACCTGATGACAGAATTTCAGACTGCTTTTTATTAGACATTTCATCTGAAGAATCATGTGTTACAGATGTGGATAGTTCCTCCCTCTCTCGATAAATGAAGAGAAAATTAGAAATAATTGTCACTATATTTTGTCTTTCAAAATGTTGACTTTTTAAATACTAGGGACAGCTTAATGTTCTGTATTAGAATTTTGGTGAGAGGGAAGCCAGATCATCAGTTCACTGGTCTAATGAACGTCCTTAAATTTTTAATTTTCAAATTTTTAAGGTCCTTATTAATTTTGTGTGTTTCAATAGCACCATTTATTTTTTTCAAACCAACAGTCCATTTTGGGGATGAATTAAACATTATTTCATGAGAATGAAGACAATTTAAAAGTGTGTAGCAGTCCACCTCCACCCCTGGAAGAGAGGGATGTTCAGTGGACACACTGAGTAAGGGGTCGCCTGTGTGAGTTCCTCTCTGCTAAGCCTCTCACTATGTCCACACTCAGCTGACACTGCCCTGTTTTCAAAAGTAAAACCTATTAAACTGTCATTTTATCTATTAATTATTAAAACAAGAAATGGCAGCAGATGCTATTGCTACCCTTAAAACGCTGCCCTAAGAGAATCAGACGTATTCACCCATACACCTATGACACTATTGTACACTGTTGGTTGACCCTAACCTCTCATTTTGCATCTAAGGTCTTTTGGTGGCTGAATTACACAATTACAGAGCTGGACGGAAAGATGAGCACCATATAATTTGCCCTGTTTATTTGTTTATTTAATGATTTATTTGTGTAATTGCAAATGCCCGTAACATTTGAGAGGTTAAGTGATTTTAGTTCAAAGCCAAGTCACACATCTATTCAACGATAGAAATAGATCTAGACCCCAATTCACTTTTCTCAGATCCAGTGTCCTTCAGAGAGGAGTATTTCGTGGGACTATTGGCAACTATTTATTGGATGAATTCGAGATCACCTCTCAGAATTATAATGGCATTTCACCCTTTACCTAATTTCCATTATGGCAGGTGTGTTGGCTTTAATGGCAGATGAATTACTGCCAGGGACTTAGCAAGAACAATTGAATACATGTCATCCACCTTTTTACTAGAAGCACGAGGTACGCTATGATCTCATTCACCAAATCTTATGGTCAAAACAGACATACAACTGAAATTTGTAAATTGTTTTAAAAACTCAGTCTAGCCTTATATCAGACAGAACAACAGAGCAGAACTCACATTCAGGGAAATGTGCTTTGATATTTTCCTTTACTTGTTCACACACAGTTGAAGACAGAACAGGATTGAAGCCTGGAGAAATCTTGAAATGGGTGAATTAGTCTTTGGAATCTGTCACCCCCTTTTCCTGGGGCCTTTCCTTCCTTTGTATTTCAGCTGGAATTGGTGGTGGAGCTGGTCAAGTGGTTACCAATCTGTAGTAGGCAAAACACAAAAAGGTCAACACACAGCATTCTAGTTCCCAAGCAAAAGATATTTGTACATCAATTAAGAGCAAGGTGAAAGAGAACCAACCTGTTCTCTTGACTATAGCAAATAGGTGGTGAATAAAGCTGATTTAATATAGTTTTCTCCATCTCCACACCAGGCAGCTGAGCCAGTGATACGGGAGTGGGGCAGGGAAGTGTTGGGTAGGGTGGGGTTTCTGGCAGGGGCTCCACTCTAGAGCCTGTACCCATGGACCTAAGTGAGGACAGGCACTCCTGTTTTCATGCCTGAATGTTTCATTTTCCAAGACCACTCTGGCTTGCCACACACCCCATCCTGTGCCCATAAAAACCCCGAGACCCTAGCGGGCACAGACACAAGTGGCTGGATGTTGAGAGGAGAAGAGGAGCAGAAGAGCACACCAATAGGCAGCAGGCACTGGCAGGCCACGACAGCAGGACAACGTGGAATTTGGTCAGGGGCAGTCAGAGGAGAGTCCGGCCACTGGATGGACTGACTCCAGGGGAAGACCACCTTCCCACTCCATCCCCCTTCTGGCTCCCCATCTACCTTGCTGAGAGCAACTTCCACCACTCAATAAAACCTTACACCCATCCTTCAAGCCCACGTGTGATCCGATTTTTCTGGTACACTAGGGCAAGAGCCCGGGATACAGAAAGTCCTCTGTCTTTGTAATAAGACAGAGGGTCTAATTGAGCTGATTAACACAAGCCACTTGCAGAAGGCAAAACTGAAAGAGCACACTGTAACACATGCCCACTGGGGCTTCAGGAGCTGTAAACACTCAACCCTACATGCTGCCATGGGGTCAGACCCCAAAAATGCTCCCCATGATCTGCCTTTGTGCATGCTCCTGCTAGGGGGTTGAGCAGTGGGGCACCAAAGAAGCAAGCCACACCCCTGTCACACACCTGGTGAGGAGGATAAGGGAACTTTACCCATTTCAAAAGGGAGCCGGGAGAAAGGGATCCAGGACTCAGACTTCCTTTTTAATTTTTTAAGATATAATTATGCAATTGTTGGGAACAAGACCCCCAAAATCTGGCCATAAACTGGCCCCAAAACTGGCCATAAACAAAATCTCTGCAGCACTGTGACATGTTCATGATGGCCATAACGCCCAAGCTGGAAGGTTGTGGGTTTACAGGAACGAGCACAAGGAACACCTGGCCCCCGCTCAGGGCAGAAAACTGCTTAAAGGCATTCTTAAGCGACAAACAATAGCACGAGCGATCTGTGCCTTAAGGACATGCTCCTGCTGCAGTTAACTAGCCCAACCTATTCCTTTAATTCGGCCCATCCCTTCGTTTCCCATAAGGGATACTTTTAGTTAATTGAATATCTATAGAAACAATGCTAATGACTGGCTTGCTGTTAATAAATACGTGGGTAAATCTCTGTTTGGGGCTCTCCGTTGTGAAGGCTGTGAGACCCCTGATTTCCCACTTCACACCTCTATATTTCTGTGTGTGCGTCTTTAATTCCTCCAGCGCCGCTGGGTTAGAGTCTCCCCGACCCAGCTGGTCTCGGCATGCAATCACACCAAACGAGCAACAAAACAAAGGCTGAGTATATGAAAGAATTTAGTACTATAATCAAACCAAATTTACAGCAAAGTTAATGTGATAGCTATTTAACAATACAAATAAGCATAGTTATCCTCAAATGCTAGAAAAACGAGTGTAATGTACGATAATTAGGATGGATAGTGAGAGTTCATACTAATAGCACCAATATAACAAATTAATGGAAATTTGAATTTCCTGGGTCAACTGAGGAAAAGCGGAGTGAGCAGAGGAAGAAGCCACTCTGAGTCTCTTCTGAAAATCTATGGAGCCGTAACCCTGGGGATCCCAGGGTGCTCTGCCTTGTTGGTTAGGTTACCTTCATCCTGTATTTTCTGGAGACCAAGGGCTATGAACTGTCCTGTCCACTCCCCCTCCCTGGGGCCTGGCTTTATGGTACAGAAGAGTAGAGTGACTCACAGCATTACTACCAAAGTGAGGTAGTACTTCAATCTATGATGAGTATGTAAACAGAGGGTAGGCACTTAGAAACCTCTGCAGCAATGTGACACGGTGACACTGTTGGGCTATCTAAGCCCTGGGTTTCTCAGGGAGCAGGGTATCGACAAGTTTAGTGTTGTCAAGCCCTCAAGGTAAGCCTCCTGCACAGCAGGACCACAATACAATGTGTGATATTTGCCAAATGTATCCTACAAGTGTATAAAATGCTGAGAAAATGTAAACATTTATTTTATTTTATAATTGTTATTTATTATAATTATAATTTTCACAAAGTAATTTTTAAAAATTTCTGGTTTACTGTTATAAGCTAAAACAGGGAAGTAAAATCTGTATTATTTATTTGAAACTCTGATTTACAGATTGATAAACAAGCTTCTCTGGACTATTTTGTCAAGAGAAGACACAGGTTTTCCGCATGCATCTGTAGACATGAAACAGTAAAGCTCATGATGATGACGTAAGTGATATGAGGAAGTAAAGACCAAAAATTAGCTTCAATTTTCCTCAGAAGTGTGATTTCTCACATATTGAGTTTGGATTTGTGGCTGTGATTGATGGTGAAAGGCTCAAACCACAGTGTGTTATTTGCAGAGACATCCTGGCTAGTGAAACAATGAAGTCATCAAAGCCTAATGGCATTTACAATTAACCATAAAGAATTAAAAGCCAAAACTGAAATAACCCCTTAAGAGAAGGATTATTCTGAGGCAGGCAGATCACTCAAGGTCAAGAGTTTGAGACCAACCTGGCCAACATATAGTGAAATCCCGTCTCTACTAAAAAATACAAAAATTAGCTGGATGTGGTGGTACAGCCTCTAGTCCCAGATACCTGGGAAGCTGAGGCAGGAGAATCACTTGATTCCAGGAGGCGGATGTTTCAGTGAGCCAAGATTGCACCACTGCACTCCAGCCTGAGCAACAGAGTGAGACTCCATCTCTCAAAAAAAAAAAAAAAAAAGAGAGAGAGAGAGAGAGAAGGATGATTGAGTAGCATAAAAGCTGACAGAAGAAACATTTAATATTTTACATATGACATGAGTGCCCCAAGCACATCTTACAAAGTAATACTTTGAAACACTAAGAAAAAAGATATAGATACATACAACACACACACACACACACACACACACGCATACATTAGTGGAAAACTGCATCAAAGATGTTTGTTTAAAATGTTGAGTGAATCTGAGGCAAAGAGAATAAATAGCTCAAGAACCACTTCCCAATGACATGTAGCTCAAAGGATTGAAGAACTGGCTAACGTTATGAAAAACCACCTTACAGAACAGATGAAACTAGCAAAGCATTGTTTATTGAAACTTGATGAATGCACAGATATTATTAATGTGGCAATTATTTCAGTATAATTTGAACAGTGTGTTGATGTGGAGAATCCCTTATTACAACCTTATTGCCAACAAACAACGAGTTCTGAATAGTATACAGGTAGGAAGAACTGCATGAGAAGAATTACAGCAAAGTGTTTGGATTTTAGGTTTTGTGTAGACATGTGTTCTGTTGGTGAAGCTGCAATGATAGGAAAACATTCTGGAGTTGTCAGATTAAGCACTTGTACCAGAATGTAAAATAATGCACCACTGCTTTCACGGAGAAACGCTTGCTCTGAAAACAAGTCAGCTCAACTAAAGTGACATAGTATAAATAGTAAAATGTGTTAAACTCAAGATTTTTTTTAATTGTGTGAAACCATGACAGCTGATCACAAATAACTATTATTATTGCTCTTGAGATATTTCAAAGAAAAAAGTTCTGTTGAGAATGTTTGAACTTCAAAATGAATGCTTAGGCTCCTGCAATATAAGAAACAAGTTCAATCCCACTTTTTAAATATGTAAATTGGACAGTCAGACTTGTTCATTTGTCTGGTATTATTTTTAATTGTCTTAATAATATAGCAGCTATTAAGAAATTATTTTTAGGCAGCTAGAAAGGGCAAAAGAGTTCTTGGTGGAATATTCCTTTAATAAAAAGCAGCCCCCAAACCATTTCTTCTTTAACAGAAAGCAGCCTGAAAGGTCAGGCCGCAAGCATAGATATACAAACCAGGAGCTTTCAGCTTCATATGTCAATGCCGGCAGCTGTACCTGCATCGAGGTACATTCAATATGGCATTTTCCACTCTCTTTTCCTTGTCACCTTGTGTGCGAGTGTCATGGAACTGTCCAGGTAAAACCACATGTGCAGGTGTTATGGCAACTGCGAGGTAGAAGCCACATTTGCATAATAAAAGATTAGGTTGGGAGGGCCAGTCTTTTCTCGGGCTAGGTAAAGGGCACACCTGGTCAAACCAACCTCCTGGGCCCTATCTAAATCAATCACTGCCTCCTTAAGCCTCTGTACAAAATCAGTTGCGTTCTGCCCCAAACCGTAGACCCTATCTTGGACGACCCACTTTCTCAGCATGAGGAAGCTGTCTTTCTCTCTCTTCTTTTTTGTCTATTAAATTTTCCACCCCTAAACCCACTCCTCATGTGTGTCTGTGTCCTGAAATCTTTCTCTGTGTGAGACAAAGAACCACGGGTAACTCCCCAGACAAGAGTCATTTCATTAATACGTCCACTCAAGGAAGGAGTGCAACATGTTTCTCAATTTCAGATAAGATGGAGGGCAAAAGAGAAAGTTGGAAGCATGGAGGAGCAGAGCTTCTACAGATTGTTAGAACATGCATGAGCTAACCTCAATGATAAATTATTTAGGTGATGCTCTTGATATTGCATAGCTGTAAAAAGTTATCATCACACTTTTTATACATTTGATACAATGCTTTGAATTTTTTTTTTTGAGACAATTTTGAGACAACGTCTTGCTCTGTTCCTTGGGCTGGAAGGCTGGAACACAGTGGCACGATCGTAGCTCACTGCGCTTGAACTCCTGGGCTCAAGCAATCCTCCTGCCTCAGCCTTCTGAGTAGCTGGGACTATAGGCCGGCACCACCACACCCTGATAATTTTTATTTTTTGTAGAGATGGGGGTCTCACTATATTGCCCAGACTGGTCTTGAACTTCTGGCTTTAAGTGATCCTCCTGCCTCGGCCTCCCTCCTACCTCGGCTGGTATCACAAGCATAAGCCATTGTGCCCAGCCCTGAATTTAATTATTCATCAAAAGAATTTCTCAGAAGAAAGTAATAAATCAGGAGTAATTTCTTTCATCAAAAGGTAATTAAATTCAATTCTAACTTTACAGGACAAATTTGTTGGAACTGGCTACTGATGAAGGATTGAAGATTAATTTTGAAAATATAGTATAGTATCACTTGCTTCATTTTGGAAAGAGTTCAAAATAAATATCCTGAATTCACTGAAATTCCTTTAAAATTTAAACATTTTAAATTGAAATTTTGGTCAACATTCCTCTGTGACATGGTTTCTCTACTGCTAATGTTATTAAAACAAAATATGGAGCAAAAAAGAAACCTTGTCTTCTACAAATGGCATTGTTGGTAATCTAATTCAGATGAGATTAACACACAAGAAGCATGCTCATTTGTCACTCTAAAGACTTCATGTATTAATATACATGGTGTTCATTCAGAGGGTGCATACAGATATTTCATATGGAGAATCACCTTTCACTCATTACATTTTATCTAGTTACATTGGTGACACAACCAAAAGTTACAAGTATATAGACTACCTGTACAAATGCTTGCTTTCAGTACATGTGTATAATTTTTGTAATTCTTTTTTTCTAATGTTATGTTTGTGTTGATTATATTTATTGAACTATAATTTTATGTTGAATGTATTACTAAGTAGATTCTGCTGAATCTATTAATAAAAATCTGGGCTTGTATTTTGTGTATCTTTATTTTCTTTTGTTTTTCCTAGTAATTTGGTTTTTTGTGTTTTACAAAAGTATTTATTTGCAGTGACTTGGAAATTAAAGATAGTTTGACAAAGACTGACTTACTGAAATCCCAACTTTTTTTCCTCATCTAATATTTCCATTCTCTTTATGCAGATTAATCAGATTGAAATGATTAATGCTCACTCCTTTCCCTTCCTTCTCAACTCTTTCTGGGATGTGTGTCTGGGTGATTTAGCCAATCCTATCCTTCCCTTACCACTCCCTAAAATTCACTGGTGTAATTTTAGGGAGCGTCAAGGGAAGGATAGGATTGGCTAAATCACCCAACTTGGCTGTGTGAGAGAGGAGGGAACAAAGCTAGCATTACTGCATAAATGGTTTGGTGAATCTCTACCCCAGCTTTTTATGACTTCCTCTATCTGTTAAAAATATTTCACTGCTGAACTGCTGGCCATCTCCTCTCCAAATGCCTCCACTTCAAATCTCAGAATTTCAAAGTCTGTAAATGCACTCTCTGAGAGGGGCTAATGATTACTTGCAGTGACTTACTATTATGAATAAGGCTTAATCCTTTAAAAGAATATTCATACTTTAAAAATGAAATGAGTTAACCCAAATGGATGAGGGCTGCTCCTGTGTTTAGAAACCCATCTGTGACCATGCTGCTGTAATCCATCCTCTTTCCTTACCTGGTCAGGCAGCAAAACATAAGACCATGGAGTCACCATCCATATCCACCCTTGTCTCATTTACAAACAAGCTAAACTGAAACAAATAGTTTAATCCTAGAACCAGCATGTACTGGTAGAGGTTGAACACCTAATACATGGAAGCCGGACCCAGCTTACTTTGGGGGATAAAATTTGAATACATCAGTATCCTAAAACTGCTTAAATAATTCAAAAATGTAAATAAGATGAACCTGGCGCCACCTGCACAGGTGCTGACAACTGACAGCCCGAGGACAACTCCGATGGCGCCATACTCCCTCACCATCTGCCACGTGTGCAGGCTTTTTTTGTGCCTGTCTCCCTCATGAAACTGTGAGTTCATGTAAGGAGATGATATATGTCCCCAACAGCCCCTAGCATGGGGTCTAGCCCATGGTTTATGCCTAATAAACCTCTGTAGGATGAATGCCATCTCACCTCTTCCAAATCCACAAAGCCCGGTGACCATAGAGACATATGGCCGGTTCTGTTTATAGAAAACGGGAGCCAATGAATGAGTAACTCAGATGCTTGCCTTTTAAGAGTGGCCATCCTGGAAATTTTCCTTATCAAACTACGCCGTCACCTCAGCTTACACACCAGAATGTGCTTTGTTTTTGACTTCGAAGCCTCATAGAGCAGAGAGGAAATTGATTTGTCATCCAGGTGCATTGTGTCTAGTGATCCAGACAGAAGCATGAGCTCTCAATGATCTCTTATGTTGAACAGCATAAACAAGCCATCTGGAGCAACAGGTTCACCATGCTCAGGCACCGAGCGGCCGGGGAGGAGCTGCTTCCACCATAGCAGCCACACTGCCTCACTCTCCTTCCCTTGACAGATCTCAAGAGGAGGCACTAGATGTCTGGGGAGCTAGACCAGAGCCCAGCTGCCAGCTTGTCCTGTTGGTCCCAGCATGCCTGCCGGTCAGCACACCAGCTCTGCCAGCAGCTGCACACCCAGGATCAGGGTGAGCCAGTTCCACAGCCGGGACCTCAGAAAGGAATGTTCAGATGCTGCAGTGAGCAGATGGGATGTTGCAGCATCTGTGTCAGTTTCCTGACTATTTCCAAAGCTCCTACCCCAAACAGGAGATGTTTGCAGACATACCTGTGCTCATCAGGTGCTGAGATACTTCCTTTCCTAATGAAAGACAAGGTCAAGAGCACACCCCTGACGTTTCCCACAAAAAGACACTAACTCCCCACCTTCCCCCACTACTGCTCTTATTTTGTGGTAAAAATAAAAATGAGGAAACTGAGCACAAGGGGTTTTCGTACCCCACCTGAGAGGCCCCGGTAAGGCCAGTGCTGATACTTGAATCCAGACAAACAGGTTTCAGGTTCTCAGCTTTTGACCACTATGTACCCTATGCCCAGTGGCCAGCGATGCTCATTTCTAGAATTTAGACATCTGCAGCCCCGTTTGTAGTCGGGGCAGTGTGGTGATCCAGTGGTTAGAATGTTCTCTGACCTTGACCTTCCTCCATTCAGCTTCGGCATAAATGTACTTCCTATGAAAATATTTTTACAATTGCTTTCTTTTTATATATTATCCAAGTGCCTTAGCCTAACCTCAAGATTATCTACAAAATAACCCACTTACCTTTGGCAATATTTAGAAAATGTCTTCACTGTAATAGTCATTTTCACAGGGGTGACAAATTGATTAGTGTAAATGAAAAATGATACGTCTTAATTCCTGAATTCAGGTGGGCCAATAAGACTGGAATGTCAACCCAATGCATTTAATAAGAGAGTACTATCTCAGGTCCAGCTAGAAATAAAATTGGAATTTGTAAAAAATATTATGTCGGAATATTTTTAAATAACACATGTTAATTACATTAGGTGCTGTGAAATTTAGCTACTTTCTTTTTTCATTTTTATCTGTTTTGTTTTGTTTTGTTTTGTTTTGAGACAGGGTCTTGCTCTGTCTCCCAGGCTGGAGAGCAGTAGTGTGATCACAGCTCACTGCAGCTTCGATCTCCTGGGCTCAATCAATTCTCCCACCTCAGTCTCCTTAGTAGCTGGGTTTCCAGGCGTGTGCCACCATGTGGGCTAATTAACTACTTTCTTTACTGTTCAGCTGTGTATTACAGATATGTGCTTAAATATAAAGTTAGACAGAAAGGGATTGAACAATGTGTATGCATTTGTGTAGGGGCAAAGGATGACTGTGAATTAATTACTAAAACCAATTAGGGCACCCCCTGAAGACTAATAGAAATAAGTTTAGTTTGCTACATTACTGCTCTTACTCATGGATTCCAGAAGGCTTTAATTAAATTCATGCTTTATAACTTGTCAAAAATAAAATAGACATGCATAACAGAGTTATTAGATGGTTGTCATTGAACCAAAACAGGAATTAAAAGAGAAAGAGAAAAGAGGGCTCAAGAGGAAAGAAAAAACCTCAGACTATTTGGAAAGAGTGAGTGTTGTTTTTATTTGTGTGTAAACTTAAAAGCTGGTCAAGAGGCTGCTCTGTCCAGCATTCCCTTGAGCAAACTGACTTGGGGAATCAAAGTGAACCATTTCAGTTATGTGCGGAGGATCTGAGAAACTTTGAAAGTGTCGGTGGTAACTGGCAAGTGATCTTTGTCCTTCTATGAGCTCCTCCACCTTAGATAGGCCAATGTGGGCTTTATTCAAATGGATTTATTTTCCACTATTTTCTGGAAAAATTGAGATACATTTATTTCCATCTTAAAGAAAATATAAGAATCTCTAAAGTCAAACTCTCTCTATATATTTTTTTTAGTTTTCAGAAAAGTTTACTCTGAAAATCCAGTAGAATTGATAATATCCATAAGAAATTTAGCAAATGCTCAGGAAAAACTCTAAAAGAAATACTACCTGAGCATCAAGCATGGTAGTAAAAGAGTAATATGGAACTACAGTTTGAAATGTAATTGGATTTAACTGTATTCTGACTCTAAACATAATCAGTGGTTACATTAGCTATTGAACAAGAGGAAGGATGAACCCCAACTGTGCCCTTCCATGGCTTAAGCCAGGACAGTTCCCTGGCTTGCAAAGGACTTAGCTTATCTCTGTTCTGCCTTCCCCATAGGAAAAGCTGGGAACTTGTTGGGAGGTATTTGAATATCAGCCTCTCAGGCAAGGCTCCCTCTACTCCCTCCTTCACCCCCTTCCTGCCCAATCTTGCACATTATTCTCTTCCTATGAGGTAAATTGTCAAATCTCCCCCAAACCCAGCCTCCCTAAGTGGCTGGTGCTAACCCTTGTCTTGCAACTGTATTTGCAATCCAGTAATGCTACTGATAAGGTTTGGCTGCGTCCCCACCCAAATCTCATCTTGAAATGTAGCTCCCATAATCCCTGCGTGACATAGGAGGGACACAGTAAGAGGTAATTGAATCATGGGGGTGGGTTTTTCCCATGCTATTCTCATGATAGTGAATAAGTCTCATGAGATCTGATGGTTTTATAAAGGGCAGTTCCCCTGCACATGTGCTCTTGCCTGCCACCATGTAAAACATGCCTTTGCTCCTCCTTTGCCTTCCACTATAAATGTGAGGCCTCCCCAGCCATGTGGAACTGTGAGTCCATTAAACCTCTTTTTCTTTATAAATTATCCAGTCTTGGGCATTTCTTCATAGCAGTATGAAAATGGATGAATACAGTAAATTGGTACAGGTAGAGTGGGGTACTGCTATAAGGATACCTGAAAATGTGGAAGCGACTTTGGAACTGGGTAACAGGCAGAGGTTGGAAAAATTTGGAGGGTGCAGAAAAAGACAGGAAAATGTGAGAAAGTGTGGAACTTCCTAGAGACTTATTGAATGGCTTTGACAAAATGCTGACAGTGATATGGACAATGAAATCCAGGCTGAGGTGGTCTCAGATGGAGATGATGAACTTGTTGGGAACTGGAATAAAGGTGACTCTTGCTATGTTTTAGCAAAGAGACTGGTGGCATTTTGCCCCTGCCCTAGAGATCTGTGGAACTTTGAACTTGAGAGAGTTGATTTAGGGTATCTGGCAGAAGAAATTTCTAAGCAGCAAAGCATTTCAGAGGTCACCTGGTGCTGTTAAAAGCATTCAGTTTTATGTATTCACAAAAATATGGCTTGGAATTTGAACTTATATTTAAACGGGAAGCAGAGCATAAAAGTTTGGAAAATTTGCAGCCTGATGATGCAATAAAAAAGAAAAACCCATTTTTTGAAATGAAATTCAAGCTAGCTACAGAAATTTGCATAAATAATGAGAAGCCAAATGTTAATCACCAAGACAATGGGGAACATGTCTCCAGGGCATGTCAGAAGTCTCCCCAGCAACATTCCCATCACAAGCCAGGAAGCCTATGAGAAAAAATGTTTTTGTGGGCTGGACCAGGGTCTTGTTGCTTTGTGCAGTCTCGGGACTTGGTGCCCTGCATACCAGCTGTGGCTTAAAGGGGCCAACATAGAGCTCAGGCTGTTGCTTCACAGGGTGCAAACTCCAGACCTTGGCAGCTTACACATGGTGTTAGGCCTGTAGGTGCACAGAAGTCAAGAATTGAGGCTTGGGAACCTCCACCTAGATCTCAGAGGATGTATGGAAATACCTGGATGTCCAGGCAGAAGTGTGCTGCAGGGGTAGAGATCTCTTGGAGAACCTCTGCTAGGGCAGTGTGGAAGGGAAATGTGGGGTGGGAGCCCCTACACAGAGTCCCCACTAGGGCACTGACTAGTGGAGCTGTGAGAAGAGGGCCACCATGTCTAGACCCCAGAATGACAGATCTGTTCCCGGACTGAACCAGGTCTGGCTGCATTTTCTCATGGCCCTATAATGAGATGCATATGAATTGGGAAAGAAGAGAGTTTGCTTCTGTAACTGGATACAGGGAGAGGGTCAGAGATAATTTGTTAGACCAACTCAGGATTATAAATTTTTTCCAGTGCCTACATATGTTTAGATTGTATGCCTATGTTCAGTACCATATTCACCTAAGTTTATAGGTGATTAATTTTGTTTTAACTACAAGGCCAGAGGCCAGAGATGTCCTCTAAATCTACTTAATCCATGAGGGCCCTGGAATCATGGTGATTAAGAAATGTCTCCTAAGTCTGTTTAATGAGGGCCCTGATACTGGAGTGATTACTTCTGTCTTATCTTACCTACGATTTGTGTCTAGAGAGTTGCTTCAGACCCCCAGTAAATTTATTCAACCCAAGATGGGTCTTGGTATGAGGAATGTAGGGCTGTCTTTGTTATCTTGACTTACCCCAGGTGTGGTCAACCCAAGATGGGTCCTGTTACAAGGAATGTAAAGCTATTTCCATTATCTTTACTTGTTCCAAGCTTCAGGAGAAGCCTGAGCAAGACTCTCCTGAAACATATGTTTCATTTCTGGCTTTAATGTCTGGGCATCAGTTTCCCTAGGTTTAATTATTAACTTACTGTTAAGGCAGACGCTGTGGAAGTTTGCCTGTATAACTGGAGTGCTATGGAGCCCTGTCTGTGTGACTCTCAGGGAGAATTGGCCTGCCACAGATCAACAACGGCTTGCACTGTGTGCCTGGAAAAGCCGCAGCCCGTGAAAGCAGCAGAGAGGGAGGCAAAAAGCCACAAGGGCAGAGCTCCCCCAGACCATGGAAACCCAGCTCTTGCATCAGCATGACCTGGATGTGAGACATAGAGTCAAAGGAGATCATTTTGGAGCTTTAGGATTTGACTGCCCTGCTGGATTTTGCAATTGCATGGAGCCTGTATCCCCTTTGCTTTGGCCAATTTCTCCCATTTGGAACAGATGTATTTACCCAATGCCTGTACCCCCATTGAATCTAGGAAGTAACTAACTTGCTTTTGATTTTACAGGCTCATAGGCACAAGGGACTTGCCTTGTCTCAGATAAGACTTTGGACTGTGGACTTTTGAGATAATGCTGAAAACAATTAGGACTTTGGGGGACTATTGGGAAGGCATGATTGGTTTTGAAATGTGAGGACATGAGATTTGGGAGGGGACAGGTGTGGAATGATATGGTTTGGCTGTGTCCCCTCCCAAATCTCATCTTGAATTGTAGCTCCCATAATCCCCACATGTCATGGGAGGAACTTGGTGGGAGGTAATTAAATCATGGGAGCAGGTCTTTCCTGTGCTGTCCTTGTGATAGTGAATAAGTCTCACAAGATCTGATGGTTTTATAAAGGGCAGTTTCCCTGCACACACTGTCTTGCCTGCCACCATGTAAAACGTGGCTTTGCTCCTCCTTTGCCTTCCCCCATTATTGTGAGGCCTCCCAGCTAGGTGGAATTGTGAGTCCATTAAACCTCTTTTTCTTTATAAGTTACCCAGTCTCAGGTATTTATTCATAGAATTATGAAAATGGACTAATACAGCTACTTCTTCCCCAGTGGCCCAATTTGTTAAACTACCCTAAAATATACTCCAACAACTACTGGGAAGTCAATCCTGCTGAATAATTTTTACCAGTTCACACATTAATTTGTTATTTATTAACAGCTGAAGGAGGACAAGGAGCCTGCAAAAGCTCCTAGAATGTTACAGGCATTTCTTTATCATTCCTGCACACTTGATACTGACTTGGGAGTTAGTGAGTAAATATAGGTTAAAAAAGAGGTTGGGATGGAAGATAAGCCCTATTCTTACAGAAACTTGTGATTAACTCTCACCAAACCTTGGCATATTTAGTTTTCTACATTACATATTTTTCTATTTTTCTTCTGTAGAGATGATAGTTGCCTATTATAAATTGTAAATTTGGGACAAGTTAAGATCACCCCAGGAGTGTAAAATCTTGGCAGCTGCTGGAAGTCTGCTCAAGCACAGTGTAGTTGGTTTTCCTTACTTACCCTCATAGATATCCGCAACTGAAAATAGGTTGTATGGCTTTCAACTATAGAAATACGGCTCTTTATGCTATGGGTCTTTAGAGGACAAAAATAACCCTGGCTGCAGGGCGTCATGAACAGAGGTGTGGATGAGGACTAGTAGGCTTTTCCCAAGGCTAAGTCACTAGGTCCATTTAGCTGATGTGCAAGGAAAGGGAGGCAAGGCTTGGAAAATAAGTTGGCAAGGGGAAAAGGGCCCTAGTGACAACCTGAAGAGTCCGTGGTCTGAAACCTAATACAGTGGAGGAAATGGAGCAGTGGAGACTGCAGTGACTCAGAAGAAGAACAGCAAGGATTTTATTCATCCATTAGAAACAATTAAAGCTCCAATGTAACCCACATGCTCCCCTTGGTCAAAAGCCCTTAGCACAGATTGTGGCTCCTGAAAGGCTATTTAGCTACCATTTTAAAAATCATTCTGAAAGTTAAGGCAACAAGAGCAGGATCTTCTGCTCTGGGCTCAATTGTAATATTGGAGAAAGGACTATGTGGCCAAGCAGAAATTATGGGAACTTGGGAGAAATTCCCTGCCATGTTGGAGTGAATTCCAGACAAGGGAGATGATGGCATTGTCTTATGGGTCTTACATTTTAAGAAGATGTATTTCATAATTTCCAGAGAAAAGATAATCATAAATTCTTGGTGAAATTTTATTTTAAAAAGACTCATAAATGTGTATTTTTGCTAATCTATTCATAATTGAGGTCACAGTGGTGGTGAGAATTTGAGAGGAGAGGGTCAAATTGTGCCCAACCTCACAGGCTATGGCAGGGACTTCAGCATTTACTGTGAGGTGGAACACTGTTGGAGGGCTTTGAGCATAGGATTCATGCGAGGTGACTGACATCTGAAAATGTTCACACTGGCTGCTCTGTTTACCTAGCACCTCCTCAATAATTATGCAAAAAGTTTACAACAATATGTAGGAGTTTACTTTCACTCCCTACATATCTTTTGTGCTATTATGTCATATGTATTTTTTCCTGATAAAAGTTTTTCTTTGCCTTTATTTTTGCAGGCTATTTTTGATGAGCATAGAATTCGAAGTTCAAAGTTACTTTCTTTCAGCATGTTAAAGATGTCATTTCATTGTTCTGGCTTTCATAGTTTCTAGTGAGAAGTCTGTGACTGATTTGTGTTTGTTCCCCTATGTAATATGCTGTTTTTTCTTCTGATTGCTCCTAAGATTTTTTCCTTTATCACTGGTTTTCAGGAATTTTATATGCCTTGGGGTGGTTTTCTTTGTATTTAACCCTCTTGGAGTTCACTGAGCTTGTTAAACTTGTGGACATATAGATTTAATCAGATTTGGAAATTTCGGAGGCCATTATTTCTTCAAATATATTTTTCTGTTCCCCATTTTCTCCTTCTGGTACTCCCATTACATGTGTGCTAGACTATTTGACATTATCCCAGAGGTCACTGAGATTCTGTTGATTTATTTTCAGTGGTCTCTTTTTTATTTTGCATAGTTTCTGTTCTATCTATTGCTATGCATTCTAGTTCACTAATCTTTTTTTCTGCATGGTCTAGTATGTGAATTTTTTTTCCCACACAATGAATTTTTTTTCCAGATATTGTATTTTTAATCTCTAGGACCTTCCATGTGGTTCCTTTATATATCTCCCATTTCTCTCCTTACTACACTGATGTTTTCCTTTAAGCACTTAAACATAATTATAATAACTGTATTTACATCTTTTGCGGCCACTTTCATTATTTCTATTATTTCTAGGTCTGTTTATATTGACTGATTTTTCTCCTAAGTTGTGAGTCACATTTTTCTATTGCTTGGCAAGTCTAATAATACTGAACTGGATGCTGGAAATTGTACTTTTATTTAATGAGTATCTGGATTATTTTCTTTTTAAGTACAGGGCAAGGCTGGCCATGGTGGCTCACAACTGTAATCCCAGCATTGTGAGAGACTGAGGAGGGAGGATCACTTGAGTCCAGGAGTTTGAGATCAACCTGGGCAACAAAGTGAGACCCCATCTCTCCAAAACAACAACAACAACCAATTAACTGAGCATGGTAGCGTGTGCCTGTGGTCCCAGCTACTTGGGAGGCTGAGACGGGAGGATCACTTGAGCCCAGGAGGTCGAGGCTGCAGTGAGCCATGACTGTGCCACTATACTCCAGCTTGGGTGACAGAGAAAGACTCCCTCAGCCCCCCAAAAAGTATAGGGCATTGTTCTGGTAAAGTTACTTTCTGTTCCTTTTGAGGCTTCTTTTGAAGTTTTGTTATGGTGGATCTAGAGTTGCCTTTATATCAAGGAGAGCGTAGCCTTACTTCTAAGATGTGGCCCATCTGGGGGTTTCTATTGGGTGCCCTGAGTGGTGAGGGACAACTCTTTACTCTGGCTAATGGTGACCTTGCATAATTTCTAGGAGTGTGTGAGCCCTGAGAACCATTCAGCTCATAACTCTGACCTCTCTTTGCTCTACCTCATGGAGCTTCATCCTACATGTGCACACTTTATAATTCAGGAAAGTCTCAAGGCAACTGCCAGGTAAGTTTCTGTAGCTCTTTCTTTCTCCCTCCTGTTTATTCTATCTTTCCATTCTTGTACTCTGCCCCCACAACTTTCAGTTGCCTGAACTCCAACCTCTGTCTCCTAAGCCCAGGGAGGATTCTGTTCACTTTTGGGATCCCCTCCCTACTCCATGGTCCACAATGAGCCTCCAGACAGAAAGTTGGAGTATATATAGAATTTTTTTGAATGCATGGAATAATAGTTAGCTATTCCATATGCACAGTATTTGTTACTGAAGTAAAAACAATCCTTCCACTATTTTAGGATCAATTTAAAATTAATATGGTTAATACAAAACTGAACACATGGAAGAAAACTACTAAAGCAAACAGGTATTTCCTGCCCCCCAGGCATTCCAAAAGAAAAAAAGCTGATATTTTCAGTTTCCTGCAGGATCTTTACTCACCAAGATTAATTTCAATCAATTCCAGTGCACTGCAGTGGAGCAATGGACAGCCCTCACAATATGATGGAAAGGTGACTGGCCTGTGAACAGGGAGCCATGGATTCCAGTCTTGATGGTGTCACTGTGTGGTTTCAGGCTAATTCCCTCAACTATAAAGGAGGCAATGATGACTGCTCTACCCAACCCCCAGAGTTGTTTTCAGGATCAAAAGAGCTAGTGGAGGCCAGGCGCTGTGGCTCACACCTGTAATCCCAGCACTTTGGGAGGCTTAGGCAGGTGGATCACTTGAGGTCAGGAGTTCGAGACCAGTCTGGCCAACATGACAAAACCCCATCTCTACCAAAAATACAAAAATTAGCTGGGCATGGTGGCAGGTGCCTGTAGTGCCAGCTGCTTGGAAAGCTGAGGCAGGAGAATTGCCTGAACTCAGGAGGCAGAGGTTGCAGTGAGCTGAGATGGCACCATTGCCCTCCAGCCTGGGGGACAAAAGTGAAACTCCACCTCCAAAAAAAAAAAAAAAAAAAAAAAGCTAGTGGACATGGAAGTGCTACATAAAGAATAAAGGGCTGGATAGAAGGATTATCATTATTAGACTCATGAAAAGTACATTATGTTCAGGAGTAACTTAAGGTCTCTGTAGTAGACATTCTCAATTCGGAGAAGCAAGTCAGATTGCACGTCAAGAACACAGCAGGGGTGAGTGGGCTTGACCTCTCCACACACTCTCCAGGCAGAGTTGTGGAGAAGCACACCAGAGCAGTTTGCAGGAGTCCATATTTTGTCACGATAGGGCCCTGAGAAGTCCACCTTCAGGGATCACTGATATGATTTGGATTTGTGTTCCCGCCCAAACCTCATGTCAAATTGTAATTCCCAATGTAGGAGGAGGGCCCTGGTAGGAGGTGATTGGATCATGGGAGTGGATTTCCCCCTTGCTGTTTTTGTGATAGCGAGTGAGTTCTCATGAGATCTGGTGTTTCAAATGTGTAGCACCTCCCTCTTCTCTCTCTTCCTCCTTCTCTGGCCATGTAAGATGTGCCTGCTTCCCCTTCACCTTCCACCATGATTGTAAGCTTCCTGAGACCTCTCCAGCCATGCTTCCTGTACAGCCTGTGGAACCTTGAGTCAATTAAACCTCTTTTCTTTATAAATTACCCAGTCCTAGGTAGTTCTTTATAGTGATGCAAGATCGCACTAATACAATCACTCTACTGAGTGCTGTCACCTCTGTGCCATTGGAGTCCCATGGTGCAGATTAACTATTGTTGAGGCTTGGCAGGACCTGGCAAGCTCTGTTCTTCCTGGCTCGTGCTCATGGCCAGTCCCAGCCCCCTCCAGAGCAGCCTAGATGAGCTGGGCCTCAGGACCCCTTTTGTCCCCCCTATCCTCCAGAGAAGTGCCATTCACTGGGCCTCCCACCCAGCCACCTGGCTTCTGTCTTCTGTACTGACAGTCAGAAATCCATTCTTATTAACTGCTGCCTAATTATCAGCTTAATTAAGGGCACTTGCTGGTGAGATAGGCCCCTCCGTTCCAGGTTCCTGCCATACCTATCACGGTTAATTTGTTCCTGAAGAATCAGGACCGAAGTCTTGTTTCAGCCAGACGTTTGGTTATCCGTAAGTCAGCTCCCACTCAGTCCCCCTGGATAATTGGGAATAGCCTGTGCAGCGGGGCGGGCCAAGGCACAGGAAGAAAGTCTCCCTGAACCCAGCTGTTAACGGTGTCTGCCAGCCAGTAGCTTTGGCATCACCTGGAGCTGCTTCAGAATGAACCATCTCAAGGCCCGCCACAAAACTACTGAAGCAGAACGTGCATTTTAACCATAGCCACGGGTGATGTGGGGTTGAGAAGCACCGCCCCAGACTAAGGAATGACTTGGACAGCACTGGAGCATTGCCAGAGGCACCAGGGAGCGTCCAAAGACAGCGTTTACGCTGCTGTATAGAGGACACCAAAGGAGCAGTGAGCCAACTGGAGGAATAAAGGGAACACAGTTACCACCTACATGGAGGGGAAGGAGCTGGGTGGCTCTCGAGGCCTGAGGGTTACGACTCCCTGCTGGGTAGATCTCTCTTATCAACAGTGGGAAGGGGCAATTTGAGAAGCACCATTCAGTGAACACAGTTTTCACCTAACCCAAGAAAACTGTAAAAATATGTCAAACGGGCATAAGCCCAGTCTCTGGATAATTCTAATTTCAAAACAACAACATTCCTTTGAGCATACCTAAACAAGGTCAAAATGAACAGCGTCAGAATGGACCAAGGATTTGTACAAAAACTAACAAACAGAAACCAAAACAAAACACCCAGCCAAAATCTGGCTGCAAACCCTCTAAGCAAATGAAAATAAATGACATATATACTATGAGATTAAGCGTTTGCCCTCTTGTTATCAGTGAGAAAGGGCAAGGTGTCATCACAGATGAATCAGCAATAGAGTTTGAGATAAGAAATTGGAGGACCTAAGTTTGAATCTTGGTTCCACTTCTGTGACAGTTTCATACTTTTACCTTGTTGACAATCTTTGATAAAATAAAGCTCATAAGGCTGGGTATGGTGGCTCATGCCTGTAATCCCAGCACTTTGGGAGGCCGAGGCAGACGGATCACATGAGATCCAGAGTTCAAAACCAGCCTGGCCAACATGCCAAACCCTGTCTCTAATAAAAATACACAAATTAACTAGGCATGGTGGCGTGCGCCTGTAATCCCAGCTACTCAGGAGGCTAAGGCACAAGAATCACTGGAACCCATGAGGCAGAGGTTGCAGTGAGCCAAGATCCTACCACTACACTCTAGCCTAGATGACAGAGCAAGACTCTGCTTCAAAAATAATAAATAAAAATAAATAAATAAAGCTCATAATATGTTTCAAGGGAGTGTCATGGGAATCAGCCAGGATGGCTGGAATACACCTACCTGCCTGGCACCTGAGTCAGCTTACGGTATATTCTTCACTCTTCATTCCTCAGCCCAAGGTGATATTGGGCTTAGCAGGGCTGGGACCGGGCTGCATCTGGGAATAAGGGGAATCCCGGGCGAAAGAAGGTTAGAGGACAAAGTGCCGTCTTTGCTGGAATCAAACATTGTCTTCCAGAGAGGAGTCATTTTGGGGTCTGGATAAAATTCTGGTGCATGGGCCCAAGACTTGGAACCCATCCCAGCCCTGGTACCAGCCAAAAAGATGTAAGGCAAAAATGAGAATCCTCTCTCCTAGTTAATTTTAAAAGACATGAAATTTCCTCAGTTTTCTCCATGTATTTATATGTTTTATGCAATTTTGCTTAATACGTAGATCTTTCTTTTGCCTAGCCCAGCAAGGTCGAGAGATTCTCCTCTCAATTATATTTTACAGCTAACCTGCTCCTATACAAGGAAGTCAGGGTATCGGGATATGTATAGCAAGATCCAGCAGAAAATCAGAGAAGAAAAGAAAAAAAAATCAGGGATATAAGGTGGATAGGAAATTTATGATTTTCAGTGTTGAGTGAGTGGAAAGGAGAAGAAACTGGAAGAAAAGAGGTGAAGAAAATGATTGAGAGGAGTTTTGATGACGAAAGAGGCCTTTTAAATAGCAGATTCTATAAACCTGCAGGCTAAGCCAAATGAATATTCAGTGACAAAATATAACGTAACAGCAGTGAGGGCAAGGAAGGCATGGGCCACAAATGAATGAGGCATTAATAAAACACTAAACCCTCCCCTCACTGGAGCACCAGTATGAGAGGTGCTAAAGCATAACGATGTGCAAGTTAATAAATACCATGGCCAAACAAGCGGGTGGCAAAGGCACTCAAGCCATTGAAATCATGCTGAAGATACTGACAAAAGATGTCATGAAGTGCCTGGGAAATACCGCCCTGATCTACTTACAGTTGACGGGGTCGGGGTGCAGGGTGGGCAATTTTGTACTCATTTATAATTTTAAATTAGTTTTCCTCCTCCAAATCCTTCACTTTATTTTTAAAAAAATAATTGTGGGCTGGGCATAGTTGCTCACACCCGTAATCCTAGCACTTTGGGAGGCCAAGGCGAGTGGATCACCTGAGGTCAGGAGTTCAAGACCAGCCTGGCCAACATGGTGAAACCCCATCTCTACTAAAAATACAAAAATTAGCCGGGTGTGATGGTGCATACCTGTAATCCCAGCTACCTGGGAGGCCGAGGCAGGAGAATTGCTGGAACTCAGGAGGCAGAGGCTGCACTGAGCCGAGATAGTACCACTGCACTCCAGCCTGGGTAACAAAGCGAGACTCCATCTCAAAAATTAATTAAATAAATAAATAAATAAATAAATAAATAAATAAATAAATAAATGATTGTGGAAGAAATGCTCAGAAAAAAAGTAACAAGTATTTGGAAACAAAGCAAAGCATAGCACAGAAAAAAGGAGGAGAAGGACGAAGAGGAGAAATTGTAAAATACAGTTGGGACTGTCCTTCTATTTGTGACAACAAGAGAAAAGAGTCCAGGGATCATAGTGAACCACAAACAAAACTCAAGTCAGCATTGTGGTGTACTTACACCAAAAGGTAAATATATTTGTTGCCATGATGAGGAGCAGAAATAGAGTGTGTTTTAGAAAGAGCTCTGCACTGGGGTTAGAAACTGCTAGAAGTGACTGCCATGCACTTTGTGTTCATGAGGATCCTGCGGCTCTGTTGAGGCTCGGTGGGAAAGAGTGCAGGACTGTTCTCTGCCAGAGGCTCCTGGTGTCTATTAGACAAACCTGTAAGTTATCGTGTTTATGTTGCTATGAAAAAACTGTGTGACTCTGGATATTTTCCCCAATTTACTTAAGCCTAAGTTTCCCCATATAAAACAAGGAGGGTAGACAAAATGATCTCTAAGGGTTGATTCTCTCCAGCTGGCTGGAGGGTGGCTGGAGGGAGGCTGGAAGTGGAAGTCCATCTGATTGCATCAGGTGAGCCAATGCACTAGGATAAGATGGTCACTGTCACAGCTGGGTTCCAGGGGTAAGTGAGGTTCCCAGAACAAGGGGAAAATCAAGCCAATCCATGTGGAGAAGGCCACTGTCAGGTGCTTGAAAGGCCAATAGGAACATGCACCTGGAAGACCAAACCTAGGGTCAAGGTTTGAATCTTAGAGTCAAGAACTCCAACTCAAGGCTGAATTCAGAAGAACAGTCTGGGAAAAAGCACAAGGCAGAATGTCCAGTAGGGGCAAAATCATGATGGTATCATAGTTTTCTGACTCTCCTTTAAATCCTCTTAATATCCCCCTCTAAAATTCCTTAAATCTCCTCCCAAAAATGAATGAGAGCTGGGTGCGGTGGCTCATGCCTGTAATCCCAGCACTTTGGGAGGCTGAGGTGGGTGGATCACCTGAGATCAGGGGTTCGAGACCAGCCTGGCCAACATGGTGAAACCCTGTCTCTACTAAAAATACAAAAAAAAAAAATTAGCCAGGCATTGTGCTGGGCACCTGTAATCCCAGCTACTCGGGAGGCTGAGGCATGAGAATCACTTGAACCAGGAAGGCAGAGAGAGTTTGCAGTGAGCCGAGATCAGGCCACTGCACTCCAGCCTGGGGGATAAAAGAAGACTCCCCCCCGCAAAAAAAAAATAAGGACAGAAAAACTTGTGGACCACATCTTCAATGAAATTAAGTGACAAAATATCCCAGAAGTCATGAAATATGGATAAGTCAGCCAAACCATCTGACAACAATTAGACCTTCTAAGACCCATGTGAGATCTGCAGCTCTGGGCAGGGGAGAGTTGGGCCCAATAGCGGACCCCAACTTGTGTGGAAACCTCTGCAAGTAGATCTGAGAACCACTGGCAGCATAGGGACATCTCCACAGGTTCCTTTGTGAGTATGAATGCAGAAAGATCACAGGACCCACTGAGGGGCAGCAGGGAGATCAGATGGGGGCCAACCCTTTAACACAACCTCCCTTGCAGAAGAAGTAAGATGCACCATGAGGAAAACCTGCTACTTGTAAACCCAAATGGAGCTGAGTAAGAACTGGGGCATCAGTTCTGAAACATGGGAGGATCAGAGGAGCCCAACTGCAGAGAGAGGCCATTTTCTATTACCTCCTGGTAACAACAGAGTAAGAAGCCTTTGAGTTGTACAGCGAGGAAAACTACCCTGGCCCATCCACACCCTGAACTTTGGAATTTGTTCCTAAATGCACAGGAAAATGCTTATTTAAACATGAACAACAGGAATAATTATTTAATTATATATAAAGATTTGTGAATAAAAATAGAACCTAAAACAATATGACAGAACTAAAATTTAAAAACGTATACTTTAAAATACATGTCTAATTAAAATACATGACAACAGGCTGGGCATGTTGGCTCACACCTGTGATCCCAGCACCTTGGGAGGCCAAAGCAGGTGTATCACCTGAGGTCAGGAATTTGAGACCAGCCTGTCCAGGAGTTTGAGACCAGCCTGGCTAACATGGTGAAACTGCATCTCTACTAAAAATACAAAAATTAGCTGGGTGTGGTGGCACACGCCTGTGATCCCAGCTACTCGGGAGGCTGTGACAAGAGAATCACTTGAATCCAGGAGGTGGAGGTTGCAGTGAGCTGAGATCATGCCACTGCACTCCAGCATGGGTGACAAGAGTGAAAGTTCATCTCAAAAAAAATAAATAAACCATGACAACAATAATATAAAAGGAGGGAGAGTAGTAAATAAAACTAAAATAGCATAACATTGTTTCATTGTGTGGGAAGGGATTAAAATTGGAACTGAAAATATACTACCTCCTTGCAGTCCAGACAAGATGGTGTGGATTCATCTCTCTCTGCTCCTACCCACTAAGGACAACTGGATAAACCCTGGATATGTATATATTTTTTTGGTTGCCAACTGGCTATCTCCTTTGGAGATGTCAAATGTGGTAGAAAGATGACACACTGGCTTGGAAACCTAAGACTGGAGAAATGGCACTGTGGCAGGTGCCCTGTGTGTTCCCTGTCCCCTTCCCCCTCCCCATCAGAAGATGACTCAAACCTGGAGTTTTCTGACCCTTGATGCAGCAACAGAAAGCAGTCCAGGTAAGCTTATCTTCCCCTGTCTCTAATGGAAGTCCATCTGATTGCATCAGGTAAGCCTGACATCATGAGCAAGGAGATTGCTGCGGATCAGCCAACAATAAACAACTAACTACTATTAATACTTCCCTGCTAGGTTTGAGACTCACCTGTTCCACCAGAGAGATCCCAGGAGGGTGGGACTGAGGAACCCCTTCTGCTCTGATACAGTTTGGCTGTGTCCCCACCCAAATCTCGTCTTGAATTGTATCTCCCATGATTTCCATGTATTGTGGGAGGGACCCAGTGGAAGATAATTGAATCATGGGGGCGGTTTCCCCTGACTGTTCTCATGGTAGTAAATAAGTCTCATGAGAGCTGATGGTTTTATAAGGGGAAACCCCTTTTGCTTGGTTCTCATTCTCTCTTTGCTGCCACCATGCAAGATGTTCCTTTCGCCCTCCGCCATGATTGTGAAGCCTCCTCAGCCATGTGGAACTGTGAGTCCATTAAACCTCTTTTTCTTTATAAATTACCTAGTCTTGGGTATGTCTTTATCAGCAGCATGAGAACAGACTAATACATGCCCCACCAGATACTAGGGTTAATGAAAACAGCACCACAAAGGTTCTGAACATTAAGTCATAGGCTATGGAAGTAGGACAGAATCTGCATGATAATTAAACAGGGTGACTTTTCATTAAAATAAAGGACTTTATAAGACCCAGAGTCTCTTAACATAACAGATAAAATGCTAAGGATATAATTTTAAAAATCACCTGTGGGAAAGAACAAAGAAAATCTGAATTTGAAAATCAAACAACTGACATCAAGACAGAGATAATTTTTAGGGTGGAATTATCTGACAAGTACTTTAAAGCAGTCTTCAGAAGTCTTCAAAAATCAATGACAAATTATCTTAAATGAAATGAATAGAAAATCTCGGCCAAAAAATAAAAGTTATAAAAAAGAGCTAAACAAACATTACTGAACTGAAAAATACAATAGATATTTTAGAAACTTCCAAAGGATAGAATCAGTGAATCTGAGGACAAATTGATACGCTCTTCCAATCTGAATAACAAAGAGGAGAAAGACAAAAAAAAAAAAAAAAAAAGAAAAGAAAAGAAATAACAGAGCTTCACAGATTTGTGATAAATAACAAAAGATCAAACATTCATGTCAAAGGGAATTCCAAAAAGAGGAATGTGAGACTGACAAAATATTCAAAGATACAGTGGCTGAAAACTTGCAAATTTGATTAAAAACACAAACTACAGATTTAAGAAATCGAACAGACCCCAAATAGAATAAACCCAAAGAAAATGACATCAAGACACATTGTATTTGTTTTCTATTGCTATCATAACAAATTGCCACAAACTTGAAACAACACAAATTTCTTATCTCTGGTTCTGTAAGTCAGAAGTCCAATTCAGAGCTCACTGCATTCCTATCTGGAGACTCTGGGGAGAATCTGTTTTCTTAAGTTTTCCAGAGTGTAAAGGCAGCCCATGCTTCTTGGTTCATGGCCCCCTCCTCCATTTTCAAAGCCAGCCGTGTGGGCTTTCTTCAGTCATCATGTCTCTCTCTGAACACAACAGTTAAAAAATTAGGTTGTGGCCAACCAGGTAACCAGGAAAATCTTTCCATCTCAGAATGTTTAACCAAATCCCATCTACAAAGTCCCTTTTGCAATGTAAGCTAATATAGGTACTGGGGATTAGGGTGTGGACATCTTTGGGGGCCATGATTCTGCCTATCACCCACATCATAATTAAACTTCTGGAAACTAAAGGCAATAGTAATAATAATAATAATCTTGGCCAGGCACTGTGGCTCACGCCTCTAATCCCAGCACTTAGGGAGGCCAAGGTGGGCAGATCACTTGAGGTCAGGAGATCAAGACCAGCCTGGCCAACATGGTAAAATCCTGTCTCTACTAAAAATACAAAAAAAAAAAATTAAAAAAAAAAATTAGCTGGGCGTTGTGGTGCATGCCTGTGATCCCAGCTACTCAGGAGGCTGAGGCAGGAGAATCACTTGAACCTGGGAGGCGGAAGTTGCTGTGAGCAGAGATCGCGCCACTGCACTCCAGCCTGGGTGACAGAGAGACTCCATCTCGAAAAAAAAATATGGCTGGGCATGGTGTCTTATGCCTGTAATCCCCGCACTTTGGGAGGCTGAGGCAGGTGGATCATGAGGTCAAGAGATCAAGACCATCCTGGCCAACATGGTGAAACCCCTTCTCTACTAAAAAAAAAAAGACAAAAATTAGCTGGGTGTAGTGGTGCACACCTACAGTCCCCACTTCTCAGGAGGCTGAGGCAGGAGAATCACTTAAACCCAGGAGGTGGAGGTTGCAGTGAGCCGAGATCATGCCACTGCCCTCCAGCCTGGTGACAGAGCGAGACTCCATCTCAAAAAAAAAAAAAAAATTAAAAGTAAATAAAAAATAAAAACAATCGTGAATGAAGCCTATCGTAACATAGGAAAAATCGGTCTTTTTCTTATTCTCTACTCTCACAGTCTTTTTCCTACTCTCTACTCTCATACAGTCTCTTGTAAAAGTTCTCAGAACCAAAATGGTATCACTTGTGTTAAAAAACAAACAAACAAACAAACAAACAAAACAAAACAAAAACCTAACAGATAGATCCCGGAAAGGCCATAATGGAAGATGCCTTAAATCCCTGATAAAAACTATTACAAAAAATTCTGCAAAAGCTGCAACCTTGCACAAAGGCTATGACTACACAAAAACTATACAGGACATTGCCAGGACATCTGCCCAGCAACTGCCTGTCCAACCCCAAACTGGCGCCATTCTTGTTACTGATCCCTGTAGCCAAGGATAATTATGTCAAAAAATATATAATCCTATCAATTTTTCCTTTAAAAACCTTGTCTTCCTTTGCCTCCCAAAATACACACATAGTTTACTATGGCATGCATATTCCCGTTACAATGCCATATTCCTAAATAAATGTCAGCTTCTTTTAAAGAGCCTCTCTGTTTTTTATTTAGTTCTGTCAACAGTTTTGACACAAGATACGGGGTAGGGGGATTCCAACACATCAATCAATTTTCTGGAAGATTCTCCAGAGGCTAGAAGCTGCATATCCTCTAATTTAACTCGATTCTGACACTCAATACCTGGAGGCAGCATTAGGTCCCATGTCAAGGATCAGTTCCACAAACTTGTCCCACTTCAGATGCCACTGAAGCCACTGACTGGCTATGAATCCAGGTTCCCTTAATGCCTCCTTGAGTTTGATTAATTGCTAGAGTGGCTCACAGAACTCAGGGCAACACTTATATTTACCAGTTTATTAACAAAGGCTATAGCAGAAGAAACAGATGAGTAGCTGGATGGAGACATGTGTAGATAAGGCACATAGGAAGAGGTGTGGGGCCTCCATGCCCTCTCTGGATGTGCCACTCTCCGGGAACCTCCACATGTTCAGGTATCTGGAAGCTCATCTGAAGTAGTTGGGTTTTTATGCAGACCTCATTACACAGGCACATTTGATTATATCATTGGCCATTGGAGATTAATTCAACCTTCAGCCCCTCTCCTCTTTCCAGAGGTCAGGAGGATGGGGATAAAAGTTCTTACCCCCTAATCACATAGTTAGTTCCCCCTGGCAACTGGTCTCCATGCTGAGGTTATTCAGGAGCCCACTAAGAGTCACCTTGTCTGAACTGAAGATGCTCCAGTCATCCAGAAAATTCCCAGGGACTTAGGAGCTCTGTGTCAGGAATCTTAGTCAAAGGCTAAAATTAGAACAGAAGATTCTCCTAGTATCCCTATTGCTCAGGAAATCACAGGGGTTTCAGGAGCTCTGTGCCAGGGACTGAGAGAAGATACTAATATAAGTATTTCCTATTATTTCACATAGCCAGAGATAAATGATACAACACCTATAGGGAAACACCAATTCAGAGAACAGTGGATTTCATCTGACACTACAGAGATCAGAAGGAAGTGGCACAGCACTCTTCACATGCTGAAACAAAAAAACAAACAAAAAAACTCTGTTAACTGTGAATTTAATATGGGATAAGACTATTTTTGAGGAATAAAGGAGAAGTAAAGACATTCTCAGATGAAGGAAAATGAAAAGAATTTGTCATTAGTAGACCTAGTACTAAAGATTGGCTAAAGAATGTTATTCAAACAGAAAGAAATTGCTAATAGAAAAAATCTCGGAGCATCAGAAAGGAAGACAGAATGACAGAAAAAACAAGGGTCTAAAGGTACACCACAGGCTAGCCTCTTCCTCTTGAATTGTAGAATGATACATTTTATTTTTAAAATCATATTCGATGATTGAAACAAAAAGTAAGACACCATTTGAAACTCAAAACAATTATATTTAAAAGTGAGAGAAACTAAGGGGCCTAAATGGAAGACAGGTTTATGTATTTGACCAGCAGTAACAAGGAAGCAGTGTCGTTCATCTGGGGTAATACCTGGAGTTCGTTGCCTCACGCCAAGGAAATCAAGGACATGGACACATGTGGAGTGAGGTTAAGAGCGGAGGTTTAATACACAAAAGAAAGAGAAAAGAGAATAGTTGTCTCTCCTGCAGAGAGAGAAAGGTGCCCTACAGGTCTTTGGTTTTGTGGTGAAGTGCATGGGGTTATACAGACTGGCTTGAGGAGATGGTGTTTGATTTACATAGGGGGCAAAGATTGGTTGGACCAGGTGTGACGTTTATGTAGCACATGAAGAAGCTGGCCACCCCACCCTAATCTTATTATGCAAATGCATTTCCTACTTGGCTGGCGCCATGTTGTCTGCTCCTTACTGTGAGCAAGGAAAAGGGCCGATGGAGTTGCCATGTTAAACATGTGTGGCCCCCGGGTAGCCTTTTCCTATTGGCACAACTGCTGATATTCACCCATGCAAGCTTCCAGCTTGCTTATCTGTGTCTGCAGCTCAATTTTACAGACTGCCCTTTGTTAGAAAAGCAATGATTTGGGGGCTGCTTTTCATTAAAAGGAAAACCTTACCGAGGACTTCCTTACCCTTACTACCTGCCTAAATAATTTCTTTTTTTCTTTTTCTTTTTTGAGATGGAATCTCGCTCTGTCACCAGGCTGGAGTGCAGTGGCCTGATGTTGGCTCACTGCAATCTTGGCCTCCTGGGTTCAAGCGATTCTCCTGCCTCAGCCTCCCGAGTAGCTAAGATTACAGGCATGTGCCACCGCACCCAACTAATTTTTGTATTTTTAGTAGAGACAGGGTTTCACCATGTTGGCCAGGATGGTCTCGATCTCCTGACCTCGTGATCCACCCATCTCGGCCTCCCAAAGTACTGGGATTACAGGGGTGAGCCACTGTGCCCAGCCAATAATTTCTTTTTAACTCCTATATCAACAACATGTTGCTAACAGTAAATGGTGAAAAATTTCACATATACAAAAGTTATACAAATAGAAACACTCAAAAACATTATAAACAAATCAAGACAAATTTCTTTAAAAAAATTCAAGTAATCCACAGGAAGACCAGAAAAGGAAAACTGAGCAAGAAACATAGGAAACTGAAAAAAATAAATAAAGTGGTAGACATAAGCACAAACATATGAATAATTACCTCAAATGAAGGCCAGGCATGGTGGCTCATGCCTGTAATCTCAGCACACTTTGGGAGGCCAAAGTGGGCAGATCACCTGAGGTCAGGAGTTCGAGACCAGCCTGGCCAACTTGGTGAAATCCCATCTCTACTAAAAATACAAAAAATTAGTTGGGTGTGGTGTCACGTGCCTGTAGTCCCAGCTACTCCAGAGGCCAAGGCAAGAGAATTGCTTAAACCTGGGAGGTGGAGGTTGCAGTGAGCCAAGATCATGCCACCGTACTACAGCCTGGGCAACAGAGTGAGATCCGTCTCAATAATAATAATAATAATAATAATAATTACCTCAAATGTAAATGGTCTAAGTAAACCAAAAGACAGAGATATTGGGGAAACCAGCCCCCCGATATTCAACGTGGGTCCTTTTCTATTTTCCCTAAGTGTCGGCCAATCTGAGAAATAAAGGGAAAGAGTACAAAAGAGAAATTTTAAAGCTGGGTGTTCAGGGGAGACATCACATATCGGCAGGTTCCGTGATGCCCCTCAAGCTGCAAAACCAGCAAGTTATTATTAGTGATTTTCAAAAGGGGAGGGAGTGTACAAATAGGGTGTGGGTCACAGAGATCACCTGCTTCACAAGGTAATAAAATATCCCAAGGCAAATGGAGGCAGGGCGAGATCACAGGAGCGGGGTGAAATTAAAATTGCTAATGAAGTTTTGGGCATGCATTGTCATTGATAACATTTTATCAGGAGACAGGGTTTGAGAGCAGACAACCAGTCTGACCAAAATTTATTAGGCGGGAATTTCCTCGTCCTAATAGGCCTGGGAGTGCTACGGGAGACTGGGGCTTATTTCATCCCTTATCTACAACTGTAAAAGACAGGCGTTCCCAGAGCAGCCATTTTAGAGACCTCCCTCTAGGAACGCATTCTCCTCAGGGATGTTCCTTGCTAAGAAAAATAATTCAGCAATATTTCTTCTATTTGCTTTTGAAAGAAGAGAAATATGGCTCTGTTTTGCCCAGCCCACAGGCAGCCAGACCTAATGGTTATCTCCCTTGTTCCCTGAACATCGCTGTTATCCTGTTCTTTTTTCAAGGTGCCCAGATTTCAAATTGTTTAAACAATTTGTGCAGTTAACGCAATCATCACAGGGTCCTGAGGCGACATTCATCCTCAGTTTACGAAGATGACGGGATTAAGAGATTAAAGACTGGCATAGGAAACCACAAGAGTATTGATTGGGGAAGTGATAAATGTCCATGAAATCTTCACAATTTATGTTCTTCTGCCATGGCTTCAGCTGGCCCCTCCTTTTGGGGTCCCTGACTTCCTGCAACATCTCTCCCTTTCTTTTTATATAAATGTGCCATGGCGATGAAGGCTTGTTCGTTCTCTCGATTTTGATGCAAGATTCTTTGACTGGTCTGGCACACTAAAAACAAGCCAATTAAACAGAGAAACATAATTCCAAAATTTACTACAGTGGAGCCCCCAATAGACTTAATCCAAGTTGTGGGGTTTAGTCCAGAAAGATTTTCTGCTGCCTGATCTAATGCCTCAGCTCCAGGCACAATGGATAAGTGAGCTTGAGAGGCTGCAAAAATTTGTTTCTTTAATTCAGTTATGTCCAATGATAAATTATCTTCCCTACCCAGAAGGTGTCCTTTGACCATTTCCCATGAAGGATCAGTCTCATTATAGGAATACGGGGTGATACAGAAATCCGAAGTATTCCAATCGCACTGCATTTGCACGCGATGTTCGAGACTCACCACCCTATCTCCAAGCCAAATAACAGACTGTCTTAAATCATTAATTTGATTAGCCAATTTTTGATCAATGCCTTGTTGAGAATTCCACATTTAGGTGGAATTGGCTTGCCAATCATTAACAAAATGAGCCATTTGAATAGAGTGATGTAACGCCATTCCGGCAGTGGTGGCCATTGCAGTGACTGTAATTAGGCCCATGATCACAGAGATTAAAGTGAAAACAAATCTCTTAGATCTTTTTAGAATTTGCTGTAACACTTCATTAATTAAATGTATTGAGGGGGAGGATTCCCAAGCTCTGGGCAAAGTTACTGGAATCCAGATTCCTTCTCGAGCTCGAACCAACATTACACTTTTTCTGGAGTCAAAATGGGAGTTAATACAAGTGTATAAATGACAATTAATGCATTGGATAGTTTGATTGTTCATCAAAATTTTGATATTTCTTGCTAACAGCATGTAAGGAGGCTTAACACAACTCTGTATGGGAACAGTCAGGTTGGAGGTAAGTAAAGCAGAATGTCTGGATCTACGCTGATACTGAGAGAGGGGGACGGTAGTGGAGACAACAGACAGAATAGTTTCCCCTACCCATACTCACAGTCCAGACATGGCAATAGCCAATTTTCAAAGTTCTGGGTGTTCTGGGCTCAGAATGGGGAGTATCATACGAGGCCTCAGTCGGGGGGTAATGCCTTTATCTTCCCATTTTAAGGGAAAGAATGAGCTGAACCTCCTATGCAAAGTAGAATGATGATTCTCATTCTCCCAATAAGAAATAAAATAAGTAGCCTCCAGGCATTCCCTTCCACCAGAGGAGCAATTGTTTTTTAAATAGGCCTTTGGTGTCCAGTCTATTACTAAACCATATGAGTCATTTTTTAATATTACTGCATGTGAGATAACACAGTCTTCCCAAATTAAACTTTTAGATGGGCCCTCAAAATTTTTAGGGCATGGTTTTCCTGCAGGTTTATATTGAAAGTATGGGGTATCTCCAATTACTCCCCCTTTCATTTGTTTTAAAGGAGAAAGGGAGAGGCCAGAGACCAAATGTCCCGGTTCCTCTGTAGCTGATCTCTCTGGAAGATAAGCAGCCCAGATTTGAGTTTCTAGATGGATACAATCAGGTGCATGTCCGAGGCACAGAGGAGGATATTTATAACCCATGGTAACATTAAATGCAGTGCCTTCTTCTCCTGGTTGAGCAGGGCAATGGTCATCTATAGCTCCAGGCATCCACACACTATTATTAGTGTAGATTTCTGCAGGAGCATCTATCCAGGTAAGAGGTCGAATAAGTGGAGGAAAAGGCACATAAGAATAATTATGTGTAGCAGGTAAATCAGTGTGAGAGGAAACTGGTGAGACAGAAAGTATAAGGAGGAGAATCATTAAATAAAACCTACTGTAAGCGAGATTCAGTGCTGAAGGAGGAAGAGAACAGAGGGATGTTATTTTCAGGCTAATAGAAATAGTGAGATTTTTAGGTTTGTAAGGAGAAAAAGAAAGGTAATCAGGAGAAGTGGGATTAGTTAGATGGGTCTCCATTGCCATTAGGGAGGGTTGAATCAGACCCATTGTGATTTGGTGTGCCTGCTTCTGAGGAGTCGGCACAGATCTCACCACGTCTGAGGGCGGTCTCTGACACAGACGTCTTTTCCCTGTGGTTTTCATTGTCAGTATTCACCCGAAGCTTGAGTCTCCTGGTGGGTACCCAGACAGGGGATTGATGATCTCCTGGTGAAATACAAGCATATCCTCTTCCCCACGTTATAATTGTGCCAGGTTCCCAAGTATTACTTTGGGAGTTTTTCCATAACACTGGCTTGCCTTCGTTTAGGGAGAATTTTTTGCCTGTATAATGGCGTTTGGCTGCAGTTAGATTATTATTCTTAGGGACATTTAAAAAATTTAAAGTAAACAATGCCAAATGTAATTGGGAGTGGGGGGTAGTTAAATTATGTTTTTGTTGGTCAGACTATTTGGACAATTGGGCTTTTAAAGTGTGATTGGCCCGTTCCACCACAGCCTGTCCCTGAGGATTGTAAGGGATTCCAGTAATATGGGAAATTCCCCACTGTTGCATAAATAAATCAAAAGCCTTACTAACACATCCAGGGGCGTTGTCTGTCTTAATTTGATATGAAAGCCCCATAACTGCAAAGCAAGAATACAGATGTTTTGTAACATGGGCCGTGCCTTCCCCTGTTTGGCAAGTAGCCCAGTTAAAACCTGAGAAGGTGTCTACAGAAACATGCACATATGACAGTCTGCCAAAGGAGCTCACATGAGTCACAACCATTTGCCATAAAGCATTAGGAATTAGGCCTCTGGGATTAACGCCAGGTTCCTGGTTTAGAAGTACAAAGACTTGACACTGAAGGCAGCTGTGAACAATAAACTTAGCCTGTTTCCAGGTAAGAGCAAATTTATCTTTTAATCCAGCAGCATTGACATGAGTGAGATTATGGAACTCCTGAGCTTCTTGGGTTGCAAAAGAGACCAAACAGTCAACTTTATGGTTACTGGCAGACATGGGTCCTGGTAAACCGGTCCCTCCATTCGGGGTCCCTGACTTCCTACAACACAGAAACTAACCAAATATGTATTAAAAAAAACTAATTATCTGCTGTTTAAAATTCAGTGACATTAGGCAGGTTGGCTGAGGCAGAAGAATCACTTCAAACCCGGAGGTGGAAGTTGCAGTGAGCTGAGACCATGCCACTGCACTCCAGCCTGGGCAACAGAGCGAGATTCCATCTCAAAAAAATAAATACATAAAAAAAATGATACAGAAAGATATACCATGCAAACATGAATTTTAAAATTAAAAGTCTAATAGCTAAAATTGTTAAAAATTTAAATTTATTGTGATATCTATTTCATTCCTGACATTAAGTTAAAATTATTAAAGTGCATTTATTTATTTATTTATTTATTTATTTATTTATTTTTTGAGACGGAGTCTCGCTCTGTCACCCTGGCTGTAGTGATCTCTGCTCACTGCAAGCTCCGCCTCTCGGGTTCATGCCATTCTCCTGCCTCAGCCTTCCAAGTAGCTGGGACTTCAGGCGCCCACCACCACGCCCAGCCAACATCTAAGGCCAGGCATGGTGGCTCACACCTGTAATCCCAGCACTTTGGGAGGCTGAGACAAGTGGATCGCCTGAGCTCAGGAGATTGAGACCAGCCTGACCAACATGGTGAAACCCTGTCTCTACTAAAAACACAAAAATTAGCCAGGCATCATGGTGGACACCTGTAACCCCAGCTATTTGGGAGGCTGAGGCAGGAGAGTCTCTTGAACCTGGAAGGCAGAGGTTGCAGGGAGGCGGAGGTTGCAGGGAGCTGAGGTTGCGCCAGTGTACTCCAGCCTGGGTGACAGAGTCAGACTCCATCTCAAAAAAAAAAAGTTTTTTAAAAAGTAGGCTATATTAATATCTGATCAAGTAGAAGAAGAGCAAAAATATTCCAAAGAAAAAAGACAAAAATAAAGATGAGAGAAAAATAAAATTGAAAATAAGACACTAATAGAGAAAATCAATGAAACAAAAAGCTTTGAAAAAAATTAATATTAATAAAACTTTAGCAAGACTGATAACAATAAAAATATAGAAGATACAAATCATCAATATAAGGAATGAAATAAGGTCTATTACTACAATTCTGCAGTCATTAAACAATAAAAGGGTGATATCACAGAAAATATCACAGTAAGGACCTTTGAAAATTATCTCCTTCATAAAAGCAATTAAAAAAAACTGGCAAAAAGAATTGTCAGAATCAATGTTTTTAGAGCTCTGCAAATTAACCAAAGGGTTGCAACAATTCAGGACACATTAATTCAAAAAAAATGGGTGAATCTTAGAACACTGAACTGAAACTGCCTTTGCAAAAATTAGAAATCTAACCTAACTGATAACATCTTGTTTCTAAACCTCACAAGCTAACTGCCTTTGTTAGCTTTAAAACAAAGATGGTAACAGTCCCTTCCTTGCTATCCCCCTCCTTGCTCAGGACTGAAGTCACTTTTGTAAGACCTATGAAAGACCACAAGATTAGGATTATGGGAGGGGCCTGAATGTTGCTAAAATGTGGGCCTAGTTAAGCGATACCAGCCATTGTTCCCTAGTTTGCCTTTCAATAATTGTTTAGGGCTCTGAAGGTCACAGGATTTGTTTTGTTTGTTTGTTTTAAACTTCCTGTGAACGTTTCTTCTACTTCAAGTAACAAAACCTGTGAAGTTCTATGTTTTCATGTACAGTTATATAATCCTCTGAAATATACAATATACAGAAATCTCTATCAAGTAAACCTAAAGAAACACACTTGATTTTTACGTTTGTGTATTTAAATTAGAAAACAAAACAATAACACACATGCACAAAATACACAATCATTTAAAGTTTTATGAAAATATTTCTAGAGATACACAATAAATTTTTAAAAATTTTTTTACAGTTCAAATTTTAAAAAATTTACTAAAACTCAGTAAGAACTGCAAGAGTCTGTGGTATTTAAAACAAGACCTGCACTGTCTTCCTGCTCCCAGCTCAGCTAGATGGAAACTCAACTCCAGACTAGTACAGCCAAGAACTCAGGGACTCTTTTTTCCTCTCTCCCATGCAAACTGCTAGTCAGAGGGCTATCTTTCCAGGAGGGGCAGGGCATGAGATTTCTCATCCTTCCCCCAGATATTTGTTGCTGTGGCCAAGCTCCAGGTTAGTGCAACAGAGAGAGGTTGGCTCCCTTCCTTTGGCCAGCTCACACTCATGGGATGAAGGCTCTCCCTGTGCAGAAGGATACTGAGAATCCTGGGGTAACAATTGCCTTTGCCCTGGCTTGTGTGGCAAGCTGAGGAGACCCGGTGCTGCTTCCCTCCATCCAGTGAGTGCTCAGCTCTTAAAGCAGGGATGTCACTCAGAAGCTTGCCATTGTCCCTACCCCCAGGACAAGAACAGTGGCTCATAGATTTTGCCCAGGGAGATAAGCAAGCTGTACAACAGAGTTCCAAATCCAATAAAAAAGCAACTGGCTGCAGTTGCAAGAATGTGGAGAAGCTCAAACAGTGCAAGGTGTAGTGACAGGCAGTTGGGAGGAGATTAATAGATTCATTGGAGATATAGGCTAAACTGCAAGCTAGCTATTTTCCAGAAAAAACAAAAAACAAACAAAAAAACACAAAGAGACAGCTTAGAAGAAACTTTCTGGAGTCAGAAAAAAAAAATCTCAAACATATGCAGAGGGAACTATCCTTCCAAAAGACCCCCAGGTTGATTGGATTAGCCTGTGAAGCAATATATGCCCCAGGCTTTGTTGAAAACAATAAAGAAATCAACTGGCAATTACTGAAGCTTAACACCTGGGTATAGTCAAGAAAAAAGAGCACTGCCAAAATTACTGTTATCCCAAAGTCACTGTGGGCATACAGGAGGCTATACCCTCTGCAGAGCAACATCAGACATGAGAGGCTTGACACTGAAGGGGAGATGGGGGAAGGTAGGATGAAAAAAGACTTAATAATCCAGCCAGTCACTAACAAATAAGCAAATAACAATAACAAACCCCAAAGGTGGGGGAGGGACCAGTAGCCAGAGTTACTACAATGTATTCTACTGTTACAGGAGCAATAGGTTCATATGCCCACTGTGCATTGAGACAGCAGGGTTTGCAGCAGAGAAAGACATTAAAAATAGAAGCACAGCCAAGTGAGGAGATGGGAGAAGACCCTCAAATCCATCTCCCTGAGGAGTTCTGGTCTGGGATTTTTAAGGGGATTATGAAGGGCAGGGGCTGGAAAATTGAGGTCATTGATTGGTCAGGGTAAAGGGGATGAAATCACCAGGATCTGGAAACTGCATTCTTTGGTGAATCAGCTTCTTGTTGGGGTCCTGAAGACCAGCTTGCATCAGCTGTTTCATTAGTATGCAGGACCTAAAAGAATCTCTCTTTTTTTTTTTTCATGATCTGTGATTGTAATTATCTTAAGTCTTATGATTGATTACACATAATTTTTAAATTTGCGTATATCTCCTCTACTTTAATCCTTTAAGTTGGCAAAAGCACCATTCCTAATCACAAATACAGAACAGTTCTACAGTTTTATGTTTCTGAATGACTAAACAATCCTAAATTATAACTTAGTCTAACTTAGATAGTAAAGAATTTTAAAGTGATGCTTAACTTGCTACTATTTTTAAAGCATCTGACCTTATAGATCATCACATTTTATAAATGTAAGAAGTATTAAATGATCTTTATTCGATATTACACACAAACCACACTACAATGCCTTTCAATAGGTCAAAGGAACCATTTTAGATACAGGGAGTTGTAATCAGATCGGCACAGTTAAGGCCAAAAATATAAAGTAGACATTCCTACCTTATCTTCAGCTCTTGCCTTTAAGAGGCAAATGGAAACAAAACACAGGTGCATCTTACTTGGTTGTGAGACAGTGAAGGAATTTCCTCAGTATTTAAATATATTCACATAACCGGTTATATAAACCTAAATATAAAACCAATCTCCAATAGATTTTAAGATGGCATTCACCATCTTTATGAAAAGTTAAACATTACTAATGAAGCCCAATCATATCTTTAGAAGGGGTAAACAGTGATAGCTTTTACTGAATCAGAGTTACCATTAAAATAAAAAAAAAAAACTGAACATGTTCATTTAACCACAAGCCAGTCTTTAACCACAAGCCAGTCTTGGCTAAATCAGGACCGCCCAACAAAAATATTCTGTCAGTCATTCACGATCTGAATTCTGGTGTATGAGATCTATTAAATTATGGTACATAAAACAAAATCATTACACATTTTTGTTTTGTAATAAAACAGTGGCCAATTATTACTCATTACTAGCTATCAAGCCTGCCTTTTCTGCCTTCTTCTTAATGCTGGCAAAGATCATTTTTGTTCCAAGGATGCACTTCTTGGGATTCTCCAAATACTCCATCAGTATACCCTCTCCCCAAGTGATGCCTTTGTTCTTATTGGGGTCCATGTAAGAGAATCCAACAGCCTGACCTGTATTCTGCCCAAAGAGGCCATGGAGATTTGTCTCAGTCTTGCGCTTGCCTCCCTTTTCCACGGTATGGCACTGGGCAAACTTCTGAACAAAAATCTTATTGCCTTTCTCAACATCACTCATATTTAATTTTCTCTTTTGTTGCTGGCATTATGAAGGTTCCTGCTCAGAAGCTGGATGTCCTGCTTCTTGAGATATTCTTGAAAGAATATCTCAAATGGGAAACCTAATGTTTCACAGTGCTTAAGTTGTTATCTATAGAGCAGTTAAAAGGAATGATAATCTTTTTTTTTTTTTTGAGACGGAGTCTCGCTGTTGCCCAGGCTGGAGTGCAGTGGCGCGATCTCGGCTCACTGCAGGCTCCGCCCCCCGGGGTTCACGCCATGAGGAATGATAATCTTATAACAGGATCTGCATGATTCTTGGACAGTAGGTAGCTAAAAACTTTGAGGAAGCAGGTCTGAGAGTAGCTGATCTAATGATCAATGCTGAGTGTGCTGCAGGTTTGGTTAGTTTCCCATCTGCCCCTCTCTTGCTCCTTGATTAACTCTATAAAGTTCATAGGTATGGTGTCACTATAAAATGACCAGTTTCTAACAATAAAAATATATAAAGCATACAAAGAACAGGGAAATATGACCCATCCACCAGAGCAAGCAATGAAAACTGGCTATGAAAGTGACTAGATGTTGGATTTAACAGACAAATATTAAAAGTAGCTGTTACAAACCTGTTTAAAGAGGTAAAGGGAACCATGACTAAAGAAGTAAAGGAAGTATGATGACAATGTTGCATAAAGTGTAGAATGTCAATAAAGAGATAGAAATTACACACATATGTGTATATATACACGCACACATACACACACACACAGATGCTCCTTGGCTTATAATGGATAAGTCCATTGTAAGTCAAAAATATGAAGAGTCAAAAATGTATTTTTGCTGGGTTTGGTGGCTCATATCTATAATCCAAGCACTTTGGGAGGCTGAGGTGGGAGGATCACTTGAGCCCAGGCATTCGAGACCAGCCTGGCAACATAATGAGAACCCGTCTCTATAAAAAAATGCATTTAATATCCTGATAAACTAATCACAAAGTCAAAAAATGTAAATCAAACCATTGTAAATCAGGGACTGTCTGCATATAGAACTAAATGGATAAGTAGAGCATTAAAAAGTACAATAACTGAAGTAAAAAATTCACTTGAGTCTCAACAGTTGACTTGAACTGGCAGAAGAATTAGCAAATTTAAAGATATCCCAATACAGATTATACAATCTGAAGAGCAGAGAGAAAAAAAAAGAAGAGTACCTAACAGAAAGTTTATACCTTTAATATACCATTAAGCATATTAACATACATATAATGAAGGTACCAGGAGAGGAGAGAGCAAAAGAAGCAGAACAAAGAGTTGAAGAAATAATGACTGAAAACTCCCCAAATTTGATGAAAAATCATTAATCTACACAACTAGGAAGCTCGATGGACCTCAAATAGGATAAATGCAAAGATATTCACAAATAGATACATCACCATAAAAATGCTGAAAGCCAAAGACAGTGAGAACATCTTGAAAGCAGCCAGAAAAAAAAAAAAACAATCACTGTCCAAGAATCATGCAGATCCTGTTATAAGATTATCGTTCCCCTTAACTGCTCTATAGATAACAATTTAAGCACTGTAAAATATTAAGTTTTCCATTTGAGATATTCTTTCAAGAATATCTCAAGCAGGACGTCCAGCTTCTGAGTGGGAACCTTCAAGGAAACTCACAAGGAAACTCTTATAAGATTATCCACTGACTTCAGTACAAACAATGAGAGCCAGAAGGCATTAGGATAATATAGTCAAAGTGCTCAAAGTAAGCAAAAAAAAAAAAAAAAAAAAAACTGTCAACAAAAAACCCTATATTCAGCAAAGCTATTTTTCAAAAATGCAGGCAAATAGAGCTTTTTTTTTTTGAAAATGCAGGCAAATATCTCATAGATAAGCAAAAAAGGAGAGTATTTGTTATTGGCAGAGCTGCCTTACAGAAAACACTAAAGAAATTCTTCAGGCTGAAAACAAATTATCCCAGACAGTAACTTCAATCCCCATGATAAAGCACAGACCACCAGGAAACATAATCATGTAATTATAACATACAGTATAAATGCATATTTCTTCTCTTTTATTCCCTTAACTGTTTTACAAAGTAATTGTATAAAACTATATATGTGTGTATATATGATATAAATTATATACATAAGTTAGAAATTATATACATGTGTGTATATGTATATGATGTGTTATGAGGGGTCTATAATATATAGAAATATATGCCAATAACAGCACAAGTGGATGAGAGAAAAAGTGTATTTGGCTGAGAAAATGACTCCAGCTAGCAACTCAAATCCAGGCAAATAAAGAGAGCCAGACATAATAAATAAGAAGACTGAAATAACAAAAGCTACACATATATACTTACTTTTTTTCTTTCCTTCCTTAACTTCTGTATTAGTTTTCTGGGGTTGCCACAACAAATTATCACAAAACTAAGTGGCTTGAAACAATGTAAGCTAATCCTCTCACAGCTCTGGAGGCTACAAGTCTGAAATCAAGGTGGTAGCAAGGTTGAGTCCTCCTGCAGGTTTCTGGGGGACAATCTGTTCCATGCTTCTCTCTTAGCTTCTGGTGTTCAGCAATCTTTGACATTCCTTACCAGGTAGATGCATCACTCCAGTCTGCCTTCCCTGTGCTTTTCTTCTCCTTGTGTGTCTCTGTGTCTTCACATGGCATTCTCCTTTTTATGTCTTTCTCACTCCTCTTCTTGTAAAGACACGACTCATATTGGGTTAAGGGCCTACCCTACTCCAAAATTATCTCATCTTAACTAACTATGTTTACAATAAGCCCATTTCCAAATAAGGTCATATTCTGAGGTTCTGAGGCTTAGTACATATCTTTTGGGGGAACATAATTCAACCCATAACAGCTCCTTTAAAATACATAAAATTATAAAAATAATAATTATTAAAATGTAGTGTTACATGTTTAACATTAGTTTATGTATAAAAATAATGCCCCAGAAAGTGAGGAAGTGAATAGAGCTATAGCAGTGACATTTTTATATCTCACTGGAATGAAGTTAGTATGAACAAAGTTGTCAAAGCTTTAACTAGAATTGCCAAGAAAAAAAAGAAGGAAGACAAAAAATACTAGACTCAGAAATAAAAAAGGACATCACAGAAATAGAAAAGATTATAAAGAAATATAATTTGTGTGTCAATAAATGGATAATTTAGATGAAATGGACAAATTCATTATAAACTCATAAACTACAAAAACTGATAACAAATAGACAATCTGAACAGACCAATAGAAAAGAGGTTGAATTAGTAATAAAGAACTCTCTACAAAGATAACCACAGGACCAGATGGATTCACTAGTGAATTTAACCAAACATTTAAAGAAGAATTAATTCCAATTATTAACAAACTCTTCCAAAACATTTAGAAAAAGGGAAAACACTTCCCAACTCATTCTATGAGGCAATTGCTTCCGTGATACCAAAACCAAAGACATCATGAGAAATTGATAGACCACTATTTCTTATGAATATAGACATAAAAATCCTCAACAAAATATTGAAAAACTGAATCCAGAGTTGTATAAAAAGGATTATATATCATCACCAAGGGGGAATTTTCGCAGGCACACAGTGTTTTTTTAAACACTGGAACATCCATTAAATTAATATGCCAAATTAGTAGAAGAAAGGAGAAAACCATTGATTATCTCAATTGATGCAGAGAAATCATGTGATAAAATCTGACAGCATCTTATGATAAAAAGCACTAAACAAACTAGCTATGGAACTTCCTCCATCTGACAAAGGGCATCTACAAAAAGTTCGTAATTAACATCATACTTTATGGTGAAAGACTGGATGCTGTCTCCCTAAAATCAGGAACAAGGAAGGAATGTCGTATCTTACCACTTCTATTTGATGTTGATTGCTACATGCTACAACATGGATGAACACTTTGAACACTTACACTTAGTCATAAAAGCCAGACATAAAATATCACGTTATATGATCTTATTTATATAAAATGTCCAGAATAAGCAAATCTATAGAGACAGAAAGTAAATTAGTCATTTCTCGGTGAGGGAAAAGGTGGGGAAGAAACAGAGGATAATAGTGAAAGAGTATGGTGCTTCTTTTTGGCTTGATAGAAATGTTCTAAAATTGACTAGGTAGACAGGTGCACATACCAATTATACTCAAAACCATTTAAATTGATAAATTGTATGATATATGAAATATATCTCTGTAATAGAGATATTATAAAATTATTTTCACAAAAGCACTTTTCAAACAATTTGACATTTCCCTAATCCACGAAGGAACGCTCAACAAAAAATTAAAAATTTTGTCTACAGTCTGAATTCACTACCACAGTTTAGTGATATGGTAATCATTAAAAGGACTTAACAAGCAAACAAAATACGAATTTCTAGCAACTATACATATTTATGTTAAAGGTATTTTTAAAAATACATCTAAAAAGAATGTCAAAGTCAAAATTCTTTAGGACTAGACAGCAAAAAGACCTACAACTCAAAGACTGTGCTGAGAGAAAAATTAGAGCCTTGAAGAAAATTTTAAAAATTTTAAAATTTCTCTCAGGGAAAAAAAAAGAAAAAAAAAGCAAGAAAATAAACTTAAAGAAAGTGGACTAAAGTAATCATAAAGGAATGAACAAAAATTAATAATAGAAAATAAAATAAAACAGTAGATTTGACTAATAAAAGTCGAAAGCGCTGGGCGCGGTGGCTAATGCCTGTAATCCCAACACTTTGGGAGGCCAAGGCGGGCAGATCACATGAGGTCAGGAGTTCAAGACCAGCCTGGCCAACATGATGAAACCCTGTCTCTACTAAAAATACAAAAATTAGCCGGGCATGGTGGCGGGCACCTGTAGTCCCAGCTACTCAGGAGGCTGAAGCAGGGGAATTGCTTGAACCCGGGAGGTGGAGGTTGCAGTGAGCCGAAATTATGCTACAGCATTCCAGGCTGAGTGACGAAGTGAGACTCCGTCTCAAAAAAATAAAAATAATTCAAAAGACCAACATCATAAGACCAACATTTGAGAAGACCAACATCATAGACAAATATTTAGAAGTATAATTAAGACAAAAACCAGAAAGAAGACAGTAATGAAAAACAGAAGCAATGAAAGGAGGCTTAACTACAGATACAAAAGAGTTTTTTAAAATTAGAAATTAATATTTCTTTACTTCATTGAATTTGCAAGCTTAGATGACATAGGCAACTCACAGGATTATAAAAGTTCCAAAGTTGGTCCAAAGTGGAGTAGAAAGCTTATGCAAACCAACAACCATAGAAAAAAATGAAATAACATTTGAAGAGGTATTCTGTCTGCCAAAGGTTCAAGGCCCATATGGTGGTTTGGGGTGTATTTTCTAAAACCTCCAAGGAACAAATAACTCATAGCTTATGCAAACTGTTCCAGGGCACAGAAAAAAAAGGGGTGGGGGGACAGGCAGGTGATGCTAACCAGCTCCAGCTCATTAGGAGCCCAGTATAATCCTGTGCTCAAATGAGACAAAAGAAGGACAAGAGAATTTCATCTTTCTGGTTTTCAAAAACTGGTTCAAAATCAATGAGAACACTTGGACACAGGGTGGGGAACATCACACACCGGGGCCTGTTGTGGGGTGGGAGGAGGGGGAGGGATAGCATTAGGAGATATACCTAATATAAATGATGAGTTAATGGGTGCAGCACACCAACATGGCACATGTATACATATGTAACAAACCTGCATGTTGTGCACATGTACCCTAGAACTTAAAGTATAATAAAAAATAAATAAATTAATTTAAAAAATTGGTTGAAAACTATGGTTAGTGATACTTCTTGTAATTGTCCTATTCTGTCTGCTCTGTTTATGATGCTTCCTCCTGTAGGTTCCTTCCTCCTGTAGGTTCCTTGTGGGCCTTGCTGCCCCTGTTTATGGTGCTGTTTCCCCTCAAGTGTCTCATGCTCCTTGGTTGTGAGGTTTGAGGTTCCCTGCTCCCATGTCATTAACTGCTGTCTCTTTGCAGTGCCCTGCCTCCAGTGTTTGAGGGGAAGGAGGAGGCATGTCTCTTTGGGAGGAAGGTGTGTAGCAGCTCATCTCCTGAGTCCGAGGCTCCCTGTTCCTCTTTTTTTCTTTTCTTTTCTTTTTTTTTTGAGACAGAATCTCGCTCTGTTCCCCAGGCTAGAGTGCAGTGGTGCAATCTTGGCTCACTGCAACCTCCGCCTCCCGGGTTCAAGTGAGTCTCCTGCCTCAGCCTCGCAAGTAGCTGGGAGTACAGGCATGTGCCACCACATTCAGCTAATTTTTGTATTTTTAGTAGGGGTGGAGTTTCACCATGTTGGTCAGACTGGTCTCAAGCTCCTGACCTCAAATGATCCACCCACCTTGGCCTCCCAAAGTGCTGGGATTAGAGGCGTGAGCCACCGCGCCCAGCCTCCCTGTTCCCCTTGAGCTATGTGGAATCTCCAGCCCTGGGGCACATCCACTCATTACTTTGAGCTGAGGGCAAACACCTCTGCTGTTACCTACTTGGCACAAGCTTGGCAAAGGGCCAGACCTAACTGGGAACTCTGAATGTCGTTCTCGACCCAATCGCTTTTCAGGTTTCCCAGGTTCCCTGCTGCTCCCTGTGTCCAATGTCCCCGAACTTGGAACATTCCCAGAGTAGTGGCCACTCTTTTGCTGCCACAGCCCTTTCTGGGTTTGAGGCTATCATTGTCTTCATTAATCATATTCTGTCTGTTTTCTGTTTCGCAGGGATTACCTAAAATTTGCCTTCAATTGATGACCCTTTTTCTTTTCCTGGCACTAACAGCATTGCTATTAATTTGCTTTACTAGAAAGGTATTCGGTCACTTCCTCTCAAGTTTGGCCTTTGGTCAGTGGGGACCCATACGGGTTCAACATGCTTGTTGAGAAGTGTTATTTCTGTTCGGGGCCCATCTACCCTGGCCACGGCATGATGTTCACCTGCAACAATTCCAAGGTGTTCAGATTTTGCAAATCTAAATTTCACAGAAAGACATTCTTCTGCTATTGCTAGGGAATGTTCTTTCTGCTTCACTGTGCTGCTTTGCCCCCAAGTGTCTGATGTTTCTTGATTGCGCATCACTCATTATTAGGTCTGAGATTCCCTGTTCGCTTGTTGGTAGCTGCTGTTCTTGTTTGCTGTCTCCTGTCCCCAGTGTTTTAGGGGAAGGAGGAGGACTTGTTGCCTGGGTAGGTGGGCAAGAAGAAAGTTGCAAAGAAATAATGAAAGCAAAGGGAAGGAGAGGTAGGTGGGTGTGCTCAGCCAGCCCCTTTGATCTAATCTTTATATCTATACTAATTTCAAGGTGCTTTTAGTTATAAACTACATGTTGTTCTAACACTGAAATAGTGAACTAACTTTCTTAAATTGGTAAAATAGGTACTTATACCAATGTTACTTAAACAATAGAAATAAAAGTAATATTATTACTGCTTATCTGGCAGCACAGTTGTCAACTGGTTTCACCTTACCCCCTTAAAGCCTACCTCTTTCTGTTTCTCCCTCTCTTATGTGGCACATTCAGTGCTCTTGGCGTCCTCAGTGAAATCAGCTCTTTGCTCACCCAACACATCGAGATTCTCAACTAAATGAGAAGAGCATCCTGAAATGACTTCCTACAAGAGGTCCAACTTCTCCACAATTATGTTTGCTTAAATTTACATTTTTCTCATTTACCAAGAGGATATACTAAATGATTAGTTGATTTTAGAATGTACATTCTTAAGGGCCAGAGAGTTCCTATCACTAGATTATTAGCTCTTTGCAGATCATATATTATTAAGCCCTACAAAGGGGTGTTATTTGATGGTGATGATGACAGGGATGATGCTCTATGCAGTGTATCCTTCTGAAAGAGAGCCTGGTAGTGTCCATTTATCAACCTCAAAGTGCTGTGTAAAACCAAAATATTCTACTCTCATCATTAAATTCTATACTTTATTATTTACTATAGCATCTAAGATCTTCTTGATCTTAAGCACATTTTTAGCCTGTATCACCTCCTAAACACAAACATTCAAGGAACTATAGTTAGTTTTTATAGCATTATATCCCAGGATGGTAGCTGGCATTATTGTGTCTACTGAAAAGTACTAAGGAACACACAAAGGTGAAGTAATTAATCATATGCCAAGACAGCAAAAGAACCGCAATGACATGTTTTAGGTGTAGAAACCCCTGTTCTACCTAGTAGACTCGGTGCCAGCCCCTCGGCAAGCACTGAGCACGCCCGTTCCTCATTTTCACAATCAAACTTACCTACCATTACATCAAGAAGACATGCTGATTCCCAAATGAGCAGGACTGGCTGAACATTAAAGCCAAATGATGGATGAGGAGTCCCTGTGGGATGGTGCTATGAACACGGGCCACCACAATTAACATCACGATCACTGTCGTTACATACTGGCCCTTGGCAGACAAGTTTTCACCATCAGGCCCAGATTTACATGATTCAAAGCGTATAAAAATAAACTATGAACAACATCCCACCTGCCTGGGACACAGATGCACATTGAACAGGAGATGGCGTGGATTTCTGTATGAAGTGGCCATTAGTCATTCTACAAGTACAGACCTTGTTGCCAGGAGTGGAAACAAGCCATCATTAGTGTTAATGGAGTTATTGGTTGAGTGGTAATGAGGCTATTGATTGGACAACAGCTCTGTGGCCTTTTTTTCCCTCTTAGAAGTCCCTGAACCTGAGCATGTACAGCATTACAATGGAAATTTCTCGCACCAAATCCTTTGCATGTGTCCTGGTAAATCTTCTTCACAAAGTAGTTCTTATATGTATAACTCAGTTTCACAGATCTCGTAGATATCGGTTGGCATTCTCCAGAATCATGTGGCAAAAAAAAAAAAAAAGCAGGAAGCAGGCTAAAAAGAAATTAGACATAGGCTGGGCATGGTGGTTCATGTCTGTAGTCCCACACTTTGGGAGGCCGAGGTGGGTGGATCACAAGGTCAAGAGATGGAGACCACCCTGTCCAACATGGTGAAACCCTGTCTCTACTAAAAATACAAAAATTAGCTGGGCATGGTGGTGTGCGCCTGCAGTCCTAGCTACCAGGTAGGCTGAGGCAGGAGAATTGCTTGAACCCGGGAGGCGGAGGTTGCAGTGAGGCAGGATTGCGCCACTGCACTCCAGCCTGGGAGACAGAGCGAGACTCTGTCTCAAAAAAGAAAAAAAAAAGAAAGAAATTAAAGACATAAAGCAAGCCTACCCATTTCTACTTCACATTACAGCTCTTTCCACACCTGGTGCCCATTTCTCAGATTCTCTCACTATACACCTTCCTGCCCTTTATTCCTGGCATTAAATGACTGTATCTGCCAGGGTGTTCCCAGCCAGGTACGTTCACATGCAGATTCCCACAAGTAATTGTCACCCAGGCTGGAGTGCAGTGGTGCGATCTTGGCTCATTGCAACCTCCGCCTCCTGGGCTCAAGCGATTCTCCTGCCTCAGCCTCCCAAGTAGCTGGGATTACAGGTGCCTGCCACCATGTCCAGCTAATTTTTAGTATTTTTAGTAGAGACAGGGTTTCGCCATGCTGGCCAAGCTGGTCTTGAACTCCTGACCTCAAGTGATCCACCTCAGCATCCCACCTCTGCATCCCAAAGTGCTGGGATTACAGGTGTGAGCCACTGCACCTGACCCCCACAAGCATTTTTAAAGCCATCTGCCATTAATACCACAAAGACAGAATCAGCAGGATGCTGTGTCTTTGTGCAGGAGAAACATATCTCAGGTGATACAGGCTGAAGGTTGTCAGTGAAGTGTGTACACGATAACATGGGAAGCAAGAAAGCAGTCAATGTGTGGAGCAGAAGGCTTTTAAAGGAAGAAAAACCCTGCTGCATTACATAAAAGCAAAGAATACACTTTATATATCTTTGCCAAGAACGGAAGCTATAGCTGTAGGCTTACTGAAACCAACCTGAGTTATATGGTATGTATATACACGTACACACACATATAAAGCTTTTTCTGAATATCTTGATTTTACTGTTTGCTGGGTTCTTATCAAGCAAGAACATCATCTGGAGAATAATCTGCAACTTTGAGCAATCATTGAATAGAAAAATTGCTCACAAATGCTCCCTGCATTTAGTTAGATGGGTTTTGTTGAAGCTGATGAGCACAACTCTGCCAGGCACTGAGAGGCCTCTTTTTCTAAAACTCCCTCCAAAGCCCTGAGGAGCCTCTATTCAGGCCAAGGTCGGCTAACACCCCTGTGGCTGAGAGTTGCTTTCTTCACTGCAGGTGAAGATACCCCTTTGTAACTGGAACGGCTGCTCTGGGCCCACCACAGGTCACCATTCCTTTCAGAGGAAGACATACATAGTTAGTGTGACTTGTCCCAAGTATTGCTGGGGCAGGCTCCAGGATGGGTAAAATCATGGTGAAACCATACAAAGACCAAAGCAAGGCGTTCCAGATTTCAAACAAATCACTAACACCACCACCACCACCACCAACAAAACCCTGTGGGTTTTAGCAGCCTTTTACTAGGAATTATCTTCTAGGGAGGGAAGCTTTGCATTGTTTTTGAACTTATGATTTAATAAAACAGACAAAATTTCTGTTCCCGCAGCTCTGAGATTTTTGGTGATTTCTGTACACTTGTTTTCCCATTCTCTACCTGCTCTTCAACAGAGAAAAATCTGACCACGTATGTCCTAGGCCTAATCTCCGAACAGCGGTGTTTTGTAACTGTCATGATTGTAGCTTCGGAGAGTACCTTGGTGAGTTTCCCCAAGTGAGTTTACAGAAAGGGAACCTGGCTTTAGCAGGAGCTAGAATAGGAAACAGCGCCCCCTGGAGGAACATGGGGAAATGAAACTGGCAGAGAAACTTCCAAGTGGATAGCTTTGAATGGTAGCCCAAGAACCTCCCTCATTTGTTGCACTTCCTGTTCTTTGATGCCCCTCACTGTAAAATGGGTACTCTCACTTCTGCCATTCTGTTCATCTTCTTATGCTTGGAAGTGTGTAAAATACTATGCAGATCAGAGGTTCTGGACACTTTCCTCCTCAGGAACCACCTTTGATTTATCCAAAATTATATACATCTTCATATTTGCCTCTTTTTAGGATCAATGGGAGGTAACATTAACGGGAATGCTGGAATTGTGAAACATCAGGTACTTGGTGAAAGTGAATCACAAGGCTTCATGCAGACATGCTGGGGAGAAGGATTGTCAGCCTCTTCCCGCTTTCCACATCAGCTGTCATGGGGCTGCCCAGGGCAAGCATGGCCACACCCTTCTAGACTCTGGTCTAGAAGTCTACAGCTTTTGATCATAATTGTCTAATATGTACATATATATTTTTTTCTTTGAGACGGAGTCTCGTTCTGTCGCCCAGGCTGGTGTGCAGTGGTGCAATCTCCGCTCACTGCAACCTCCGCCTCCTGGGTTCAAGTGATTCTCCTGCCTCAGCCTCCCAAGTAGCTGAGATTACAGGCACATGCCACCATGCCCGGCTAATTTTTATGTTATTTTATTTTTAGTAGCGATGGGGTTTCGCCATGTTGGCCAGGCTGGTCGCGAACTCCTGACCTCAGGTTATCCACCTGCCTCGGCTTCCCAAAGTGCTGGGATTACAGGCGTGAACCACCACACCCGGCCATAATTACTAATATTTAAGGATCAACTGTAGACTAGAAAATATGTTGCTGTTATTTTTATAATTAACCTTTTAGTTTTCAGATAATTTATCAGTGCAATTTGCCTATGGCTAATTCTTTAGTTTTATTCTCTCTGTAACATGGAAGTTCAGCCTAGTTTTGCCCTTTGGAAAAGCCATAACATTGATTTTCTTTTCATTAGAAAAAAACATATTTATTACCGGCAATTCCATGCCTAGGTATCCCATGGAAGTGGAAACATATACCTACACCAAGTCTTGTATGCAAGTGTTCATAGCAGCATTATTCATAAGAGCCAAACCTGGGAAACAACCCAAATGTTCATCAAATGGTGAATAGATAAAATTGGTATCTCCATATAATGGAATTCCCACAGCAGTAAAAATGAACTAATTTCTTTTTTTTTTTCTTTTTTTTTTTTTTTTTGAGACAGGATCTCACTCTGTTACCTAGGCTGAAGTGCAGTGGTGTGATGTTGGCTTACCACAACCTCTGCCTCCTGGGTTCAGACAATTATCCTGCCTCAGCCTCCCAAGTAGCTGGGATTACAGGTGCCTGCCACCATGCCTGGCTAATTTTTGTATTTTTAGTAGAGACGGGGTTTCATCATGTTGGCCAGGCTGGTCTTGAACTCCTGACCTCAATGATCCACCCACCTTGGCCTCCCAAAGTGCTGGGATTACAGGTGTGATCCACCGCGCCCAGTCTATGAACTAAATATTGATACATGCAGCAATACGGATGGATCTAAAAGACTATACTAAGGGAAAAAAGCCATACTCAAGAATTTATACATCATATTAATTCATTTATGTGAAATTTCTAATAAAGGCAAAAACAGAAACAGGAGGAAGAAGAGTGGTTGCCTGGGCCTAAAGCTGGACCTCAAATGGGTATTTAGGAGATTTTTTGGGTAACAAATGTGTTCTAAAACTAGATTGTAGTAATAGTCGCAAAAGTACATTTACTAAAACATAGAACTGCATACTTATAAAAGGTAAAATTTATGTTTTGTAAATTACGTGTCAGTTAAGCTGAAGAACAAAAACTAATTTTAAAAAAATCTATCTTTCCAGGTTATTAAGATTTTGTCCCTAAAAATAATATAAGTTTTTGATAACTGAACTTCACAGTTATTAAGTTGACTTACTGACTTTTAGGAATTTATTTTTGGCATGCTAGTTTAAATCAATCATGACAAACTTTGGGCAGCAAAAGCCTCGTATTGTTCAGAGTCTGTGAGACAGGGCTCAGCCTAGAGGGGAGGGAGTGGCAGAGTATGGCAGGTGCTACTAAGTCCTACAGAAAGTAGCAAAGTCCAAGGTGGCAGAAAGCCAGAGCCCAGGAAAGACAGCTAAGGCCAGTTCTACATTATCATCTGTGACCAGGAATGGAGGCTGAGGATGACTTTCCAGGTCTCTCTGGGGTTCTGGAAAATGCAGAGGCCAGAGCCCACGTCAGTGTCCAAACAGTAAGGAGTCTGGGGCTCAGCCACAGAGCCTCCGAAAGTCTGGCAGCAACAGCAAGAGGGGCATTCTCAGCTTATGGAGATCCTGTACCCAAATCCCACAAATTCTGGTCTGTTCATTTCTGTCACTGAGAAAGGAATAGCACGTAAAACACATCACGCAAAATTAAAGATGGGTGCATATATTTCAGATTTCAACATTAGTGTAAAAAATACACACTATGATTTTACATCAGAACACCAGAGACAAACATCATGGATATTAAGGAAAACAAAATATTAAATAACTGAGAAATAAAATGAGTAAACACTAAGCTAATCGGGCTTTTTACTATTGCAACATGTCTAATGAAGTGGTTTCAACCATACAAAAAGGATCAGGACACGAGTATTTCCAGTCTACTTGGAATAAATGGATCTGATTCTATGAATCATTTAATAAAACCTGGTCCTGGATAACAGGACAGGATCCACTTCCCTGGTGGTTAACTTGGTACATTCTGTCCTACGCTAGTTTTTACTTTCAAACTTGAGTACTGAGCAAATACTTTAACCTGTCATTCCTTATCAACATCTTGGTGAAAACTGAGGGTTTGAGGGCAATTCACTTTCTGAAAAACGCAAGGCCCAGAGCCCATTCACTTATTCGTGTAGGGTCATGGGTACTAGTTCTGAATTTACAAAATGGAGTAAATGTATTAGTGTAGAACCAAAGGGCCTGGAAGCCAGATGCTCCAAGTCTATTTCTTGCATAAGGGATCTAGGAGGAAGGTAAAAGGAATTCTCTTTTCCTTCCTTAGCACCTGGGTTCTCAGTGGGTTTTCTATGAAGTCCTTGAATGAATGCTTATTAAAGCGCATTCTCATCCAGCCACAAAGCACCATTTCTAACCTCTACATGTAGACAAATTTTATTACCAGGACCAGTGTGGAGACAGGTGGCCATACTTTCTTCTTTCTGGTTATGCTCAGCCCATTCCATTCCGGCTTAGCTTGCAGGCATAGCTACCTCTTCCTTTAGAACCTCTGGGCCTGGAGGAACTCACTGGGCCTCCAGGTCTTAAGGTGGAGCACGGCCAACTTGGCTGGCTCGAGATGAGATTCCCATGTCTTTTATTTCCAAAGCAGTGGGGCCTGACATGAGTTGAGCTGCTCAATGTTCATAGACAGCTTTGATATTATGTGCAAAGATCTCTAAAGTATATCTTACACTTAAGTTACTTTGAGATTAATGAAAGTGCAAATTCCTATTGTTGTTTTACATCTGGCACTTTTCTAAGGGAGAAGGCAAGAGATGGCCCAGAAAAAGAAAATACACATTTAGAAATTGGCAACCACTTTTCTGTGGGAATGATCTTTTATTTTTCCTCATCCCCATCCTCAAATTATGGGACAGGAAGGGCGGGTGAGAGCTGTTCATGATAGGGTTTTGGAATAGGGTGAGGGTAGAAGGAGTTTCAGTTAATATCTTATTCCCTAGTTGAATCCTGGCAGCAGGGGAAGGGGGGAGGAAGATTCAGTGGTTGCTGCATCCATGCCAAGGTATACAATATATGGGTAGCCAAGGAGGTCAGTGAATGTCCAGATAGAAAATGCCATATCCGCATGAACATAACAAGTCAATTCAACATTCATGAAGCACCTATTGTTTTCAGGCTTGGGTGCTGCTATGGCAAATGTAAATATTCCCTGCCCTGACGATCACATAGTGTTATAGCCTGAATGCTTGTGCGCCCCAGAATTCCTATGTTGAAACTCTAATCCTCAGTGCAATGGTAGTTGAAGGTAAGGCCATGGAGAGGTAATTAGGTTTAGATGAGGTCATGAGGATAGGAACCCATGATCAGATTAGTATCCTTATAAGAGGAGGGAGATCAGAGCACTTTCTCTGCCACATGAGGACATGGTGAGAAGGTAGCTGACTGCAAGCCAGAAAGAGAGCCCTTGCCAGGAACTGAATCTGCCAACCCCATGATCTTGGGCTTCTCAGCCTCCAGAACTGTGAGAAATAAATTTCTGTCCTTTAAGCCACTCAGTCTATAGTATTTTATTGCGGCAATCCAAGTAGACTAAGAAATTACTACCAAGAAGTGGGTGCTGCTGTAACAAATAATGTGGAATCAGCTTTGGAAACGGATGATGTACAGATAATGGAGAAGTTTCAGATGCATGCTAACAATATGGACATGAAATGTGATTCTGATGAGGACTCAGATGGAAAAGAGAGGCTGGGCATGGTGGCTTACGCCTGTAATCCCAACACTTTGGGAGGCCGAGGCAGGTGGATCACCTGAGGTCAGGAGGTCGAGACCAGCCTGGCCAACATGGTGAAACCCTGTCTCTACTAAAAATACAAAAATTAGCCAGGCATGGTGGTGGGCACCTGTAATCCCAGCTACTCAAGAGGTTGAGGCCGGAGAATTGCTTGAACCCAGGAGGCAGAGGTTGCAGTGAGCCGAGCTCGCGTCATTGCACTCCACCTGGGCAACTGAGTAAGACTCCTTTGCAAAAAAAAAAAAAAAAAAAAAAAAATAGAAAAGAGGAGAGCTGTACAGAAAGCATCCATCTTCTTAGAGAATATATACATAATTATGAACAGAATGTTGGTAGAAATATGGAAGGTAAAGGTCATTCTAGTGAGGTCGCAGACAGAAGTGAGGAAAATGACATCGCACAATGCAGAAAGTGTTATCTTTGTTATACAGCAGCAAAGGATTTGCCTGACTTATGTTGACGTTCCAGTGTTTTGTGGAAGGTACAACCTGCAAGTGATGACATTAAGTACTTAGCTGAAGCAATTTCTAAGTAGTGTTGAAGAAGCAGTTTGGTTTCTCCTGATTGGTTGTAGTAAAATGCAAGAAGAGAGAAATGACTTGAAGACTGAATTATTAAGCAAAAAGGAACCAGAGCCAAAAGATTTTGAGATTCTCAGTCTATGTTGCAAAAAATAAGAAAACATGTTCAGAAGAGAACAAGGGTATGGCTGACCTACCATTTGATAAGGAGATTAGTGTGGGTGTGGAGCATGGACCTAACCAGCCATCTCAACAGAGATGGCCAGGAACAGAAATGGGATGATACCAACAGAAACACTGCCAGCTGACACTAACGACAGCAGAGGCCAGGCGCGGTGGCTCATGCCTGTAATCCCAGCACTTTGAGAGGCTGAGGTGGGAGGTTTGCTTGAGCCCAGGAGTTTGAGACCAGCATGGGCAACATAGGAGGTGGGGCAACAGGCCAAGTCATGGGAGTGACTTTGCCACCCCAGTGGTTCTGGAAGGTGAGACCACTGCTCCAGTGGGTCTGGAGGGCAGAGCATCAAACCAAAAAAGATTAATCTTAAGCCATAAACCCTAATGTGATTTGCTTTACTATGTTTTGGAACTGCTTGGGACCCATCATCCCTTTCTTTCCTCTGATTGCTCCCTTTTGGCATGAGGATGTCTGTGCCTGTTGCACCATTGTATTTTGGAAGCACGTAACTTATCTGGTCATAGGTTCACAGATGGACAGGAATTTTGCCCCAGGATGAATTGTATCTCAAGGAAGGGCATCTTGGGCTTAAGAGTTCCTAAATGCTTTCTGAGCTGGATATTAAGGGATGAATAGCAGTTAGCTACCTGAAGAGAAGGGGTGCAAGGAACAGCCTGTGACAAGGTCTGGAGATGACAAGAGGCCATGGCAAACTCATGGAGATGAGAATAGATGGCTACAGCCAAAGCCTATGGGTTGGGCATGGAGTGAAAGTGAAGGAGATGGTGAGAGATGAGACTGCAGAGGAACCAGAGTCTAAATCCTTAAAGACCTTGTACTTTATGTGGAAGAAAATGGACTTTTTTTCTAAGAGCAATGGGGAGCCATTTAACAGTTTCAGCTAAGGAGCAACACAATTAGAGTTTTATTTGACAAAACCCACTCTAGCTGTGGGGTATAGAAATGATTGCAGGTGGGGCCAGGCATGCTGATTCATGCCTGTAATCCCAGCACTTTCGGAGGCCGAGGCAGGCGGATCACCTGAGGTTGGGAGTACAAGACCAGCCTGACCAACATGGAGAAACCCCATCTCTACTAAAAACACAAAATTATCCGGGTGTGGTGGTGTGGTGGCGCATGCCTGTAATCCCAGCTACTCAGGCAGCTGAGGCAGGAGAATCACTTGAACCTGGGAGGCGGAGGTTGCAGTGAGCTGAGATCGCGCCATTGCACTCCAGCCTGGGCAACAAGACCAAAACTCTGTCTCAGAAAAAAAAAAAAAAAAAAGAAAGAAATGATTGCAGGTGGCCAAAATCAGAGGCAGAGGCAGGGGGAGCAGCAGGGCAGGCATCTGTGTTTGTGGGTGTGGCCCGCCTGGGACGTCTAGTGGCCCATACTGGAGAGGTGGCAAAAGGGATGGAAAGAAGTGGCCGGGAACCCGAAACCTGTAAATAGTTGAATCTACTGGAAGTGGTGACTGATTGGATGTGAGGAGTGAATAAGAAGGAGTTGTCCAAGATTCTGACTCAGATTTCTGGTTCAGACACCTGGATGGTTTGTGTCACTGTTCCCTGAAATCATGGCCACATATAAACCAACAGGTTTGAAGGGGAAGATGAAGGTTCTGCTCAGGAATTAATAAGTTTGAAATGAGTGTGGGGCAACCAGGAGGAAATACCTAGTAGGCAGGTGGTATAAGTGTCAGAAGCTCAAAAAGACATGCAGACAGAAGGCACAAACTTGGGTCTAAATCAGCATTCGAAAAGTCTTGAGAACTTTGTGCCAAGCACTGTTTTTAGAGAGTTGTGCTACCACAGCGGACAAAACACACAAAAGTTCTTGGGTCCCCATGGGGCTTATTTCCACACAGATGGTAACTGAAGATCTGCAGGGAGGCCTCCTTGCCCAGAGAGAGTGGTGACAGAAAAGAACTGAGCTAAGAATACTGGGAAGCAATAGAAATTAAAGGATGCACAGAAGAAAAGAATCTGGAAAATTGACTGACTGCCCTGAAAACTGCTAGATTCAAGATGGAGTGGGGGTGACAGGTAAGGCAGGGCCCCATGTGGGATGGGGAAAGAGCTAAGGCAGGATGGTCTTAGGATTCGAGAGCCCTGAACGTGCTTGAATGCCACCGGGAAAGAGCCCAGTGGGGAGAAGGGGTGCAGATACAGGAGCTGGCACTAGAGCAGGAGGGTAATTCGGAACAGATGTGGGGAGGTGCAGAGCAAGGTGGGAGGCAAGCCCCGCCCACTGTAGTAGAAGGGGGAGAGGATGTGTGGATACAGGAAGTTTGCAGGTGTGGAGCCAGTATGTTGGAGAATGCTCATCTGATGGCACCTGTTCCCTCTGTCGGGGACAAGGTCATCTGCCCACAGTAAATGAGAATGGAGTGGAAGTTTGAGAAAAATGGACAATGTTGAAATAGACACCATGGTGAATGGGGAGAGCAAGCTGAGAAGCCAAGGGGAGCTGCTGCTGGGAGGCACTGGGTTGGGGGCCTTGGTGGGGTGGTCAGATGAATGAAGGGCAATGAACCAAAGAACAGCAGGGTTAAAAAAAATGGATTTGAGTCAGTAGAATGTAGCTGGCAGTCAATGCTGTGGGCTCTGGTGTCAAAGTACTGGGACTCAAATCCCCAGTCTGAGCTTCTCAGGTGTGTGCACCATACAAGTCACGGTAAGTGAGTGGGGCAAGGGGCAGATGAAATGAGAAAGGGAATTTGTTATACAAAAACTGTGGGGCCCGGTGTGGTGGCTCATGGCTACAATCCCAGAACTTTGGGAGGCTGAGGCAGATGGATCACCTGAGCTCAGGAGTTCTAGACCAGCCTGACCAACATGGCGAAACCCTGTCTCTACTAAAAATATAAAAATTAGCCAGGCATAGTGGCACATGCCTGTAATCCCAGCTACTCAGGGGGGTGAGGCACGAGAATTGTTTGAACCCAGAAGGCAGAGGTTGTATTGAGCCGAGATCGCACCACTGCACTCCAGCCTGGGCGACAGAGTGAGACTCCGTCTCCAAAAACAAAACAAACATAACAAAAAAACAAACGGTTGAAGCTGAGAGCTACTTGGAGTTCAGTGATCACTTTGACACACACATGTATTTTTGAGAATGAGTTTCACTCTTGTTGCCCAGGCTGAAGTGCAATGGCGAGATCTTGGCTTATTGCAACCTCCGCCTCCCGGGTTCAAGCAATTCTCCTCCCTCAGACTCCTAAGTAGCTGGGATTGCAGGCATGTGCCACCAAGCCCAGCTAATTTTGTATTTTTAGTAGAGAGAGGGTTTTTCCATGTTGGTCAGGATGGTCTTGAATTCCCAACCTCAGGTGATCTGCCCGCCTTGGCCTCCCAAAGTGCTGGGATTCAGGAGTGAGCCATTGCACCCAGCCAACATATATTTTTAAATTTATATAATAAAAAGAAAAAATAAATCCTCCAGAGCCCCTATTACCCAAATGACACCCAAACTTGCAGAGCACAGCCATTCCTGGTCACATCAAGCTACCTGCCCTTCCCCTCCAGGCACCAACTACTTGCTGTAGGGGTGTGAGTCTGTACTGGTGCATGCTCCTCCCTCAGCTTTGGGGACAACCCCCTATCACCCCAATCATCACAGCTGTTGGTTGCCTTGTGTTTGCCCCTCCTCCCGGAGGGGAAGAGCACACCCCTGGAAGCCCTATGTGATGCTGCCCAGCCTTCCTGTCTGGGCGCCCACATTTTTCACAGCCGACCCGCCATACCTTGGATGCAGCTTCCATCCCCCTGGGCATCCTCTCCTCTGGCCAACCCTTCTGTAATGCTCCCCAAGTGTGGCTACCTCACCTGCCTGAAGCCTCCTGACTCAAGCTGGATAGGTGCAGCCTTGTCCTGGCACTTCCCAGGCCTCTCATCTCCTATGAGCCTGCGGTTCTGCTCAGCCCTGTAACTGCACTATCCTGCTGAGGGTCTCGGCATGTCCGAGGAGCTTGGGAAACTATGCTGCATAATTTGAGTTTAGTCCAATAGGCTGCCTTCGCCTCACATTTAGCTGCTGTCTTGATTTTTCCCTTTCTGTTCCCTGCTTCTGGAGATTCCAGATGAGCAAAGCATGCCGGGGTTTAGAGCGAGAAAGCTGGGGGGTGAAAGGGAGGACCCCCCCCAGTGCTGTGTCAGAGGCTCTTCTTTTCAGGAACCCAGGGCAGAGGCCACCTGGGTGCCCTGCAGGCCGTGAGTGCACACCTTCGTGTGCACCCAGTCAGCCACTGTGAAAATCAAATCTCATCTCAGCTCTGGGCATTTCTCTGTAGTGGTTCTCAACACAAGACCAATAAACCTGACACGCGCTAGGAGTGAAATCCAGTAGGAGAGAAGCGGTCTAAAACACAAACCCATTAAGTCAACCTCGTATTATTAAACTTCCTAATTTAGGAACTGCCCTCCGGGCCCTAGCACTTCTTGGAGGCAGGGTCGCTGTTTGTTTCTCTCAAACCCAGGCTGTTAGTGCAGAGGTCCCCCTAGGCCTGCCTACTCCAGCCACCCCCACCCTGGTGTCACTGCCTGGGAATGAGCTGTGCCACCATCCAGCCCAGTCCTGAGGAACGCCCAGACAGGGTAGCAGAGCCCTCCACATGGTGGTGCCTCAGGGGGCAGAAGGAGGTGCACCACCTGCTGTAAGCTGAGGAGGGAGTTAGTGGATCTGGAGCCTCAGAAGGAAGTCAGGGGACAGGGGAGTGGGGGTACTGGCTGTGCAGAAATGAACGGGGTGGGCTGCCGTGCTTGGCGGCATCCTTGCTGTGGACACAGTGAGATGTCCAGGAGATACTATGGTAGCAATCTCCACTTGTGTGGCAAAATATGTTAGGAAAATGACCCAAATGCCAAAGGGGAGGAAGAGACCACCCCAGGGGCCAGAATTTTGTTTCTGAGGGAAAACACTATTTTAATTAAGACTAGCTTTAAGGCCTTCCATTCATATACAGATCCACAGTTAGATTCCAAACAGCAAAGAGGTAATCAATCAGCTCATTTGGTCTGAAATTGTAACAAGACTTTGCTAAACGTTACAGAAAAATAACCCAGTGTGGCGTCCTCGGCCCTGCGTGTCCATGGCGGCTGAAGGCTGGGCCTCCTGCGGTCTGCTTACCCTGAGCAGCTATGCATGCGTGCGCACATGCCTACCCCACCTGCCTGGGGCGCGCGTGGCCACAGGCACCCTTCCCAGAACCGCAGCTCATGTCAGGTTTGGCACATAAATTTTATTTAACTTTCACATTGACACAATCAGGAAACCATTCTGAGAAAAGGTAGAGGCCGCCTTGAAGCGAAGCCTGGCTCCCTCCTCCACCCCGGGCTCGGCGGCACCATGCAGGCTCAGGCTGGCACTCATCCCAGGAAACTGTCCCAGTTCTCAGCGGTCCTGGCTGTGGACGGTATCTGAAATGGTCGCTGCGGCTTGCCCTGCACCAGGGCCTACCTTGTTGCCAGGAAGCCGCACTGCTGGAGGCTACCTGGGCGCTGGGTTTTATTGCTGGTGAACTTGGTTACCCACCTTCCAGTCACATGGTCCAGGATGGTGGTGTGATCAGAAATGGCTCTGGCAGTGCCCATTTTGCTGAGATGAAAGGAATCGAAATGTATAAACTACACTGAATTCTGTGATGCTGGCAGGTTGCCCCTGCTCGTCTTCAGCCCCAACATGGGAGCTCCCTGGAGAAGACAGGTGGAGATTCACTGCTGTCCACCCAGGTAAGGCAAGTCAGAACTGATGCGCCGGGATCCACAGCAGCCTGAGCTCCAAGCCCAACCAGCGCCCCCATTCCTGGGCCATGGTCCTTTTAAGGCCCTCAAAGACACTCCCCTTCTCAGGTAGAAAAAGCCTCCCCTCCCCTCACCTTCTAAAATCGTATGTCTTGTGCTGAATGAAATAGGCGCTTGGCAGACACAGGTTCAGAAGCATGGACCAGCATTACACAGGCATGGATTCTGGAAAGATGGACCCCTGGACACCACACCACCCTCTGGCCATCGCTGACTGTCTACAGGAACAAAATAGTCACAGAAAGAATGCTTTGCCTCCACAATTGTCGCAGCACCAAGATGAAGGCCAGAGGTGCCGTTTTACTCCTCAGATCTGATGCTGCAAAAGTCTCTGCGATTTCAGCAGCCCCCTTGCTTCTCTGTCCCTCCTCAGAGTCCTGGGTGCTGTTCCTGCAACCCACCAGTGATGGGTGAAGCCACCCTGACTAGCCAGGAGAACCTCAGGGGCATCCCCTTCCTTAACACCTGAAGGAAACGGCTCCTAACGCTGTGTGATGCTTCCTCCCTGCTGGGCTGTCAAACTGCAAATCTTTAGCCTTTTCTCCCCTCTGAGGTGAGCAAAGGCCAGCGACATCCTAATGCACGCAGGGGTGTGGGCAGGGTCCTCAGAGCATCTTACATCCAAACTAAGTTGTAACAGTTGGGGTTCTGCGTCATATGCCGAGGCAACTCACAGGCCTGTGGGAGACCCCGGGCGTCCTCAAAGGAGGGGTGTGGTGGAGGAAGGGTCATTTCTGGGCTCAGATCTTCACCTGGTTAGCCCCAGGTCTAATAAAGATATTTGAATTCATAGGTCTTATGCATTAGTTTAGCAAAAAGTCTGGTTTCTGGTACCCAAAGAGCTTAAAGTCCCCTTCGAAACGGGCATACAGGCGTCGGATGTCTCGTTTGCTGATGCCCAGGAAATAGTGCTCCACCTTGGTTCTGTTATACACGGTAATGCCCGGAGGGATAGTCGGGTATGACACCAGGTGGTCAATGCCAGCCTCTTTTAAGATGTATGGGGCATCGTCCTCCAGGGTCTCGTGGTGTCCAATCACACTGTACATTATCTCACAGGGAGCACAGAGCTCTACATACGTCACCCAGTGAATGATGTGGTCCCCAAACTGAAGGTCTAGCCATCTGTGGTTCGGATCGCCGAGGTAGCGCACGAAATCTTCAAACTGGATCCCCCGGGTCTCTGTCCGGTTCCTCCTGTATTTTCTGATGATGCCAGGAGCAATCTCATGCCTGTACCAAGGCTCAAACCGGGGATTGTGAACAAATTTATCCTTAAATGCAGAAATAAGTCTTTCGAAGGGATCTCTTACAATAAAAAACTTGAAGTATGTTTTCAATCTAAGGAAAAAAACGAACAAGAGGTTAACTTGATGCCACAGGAGGTCACAGCTGAGGGGGCGGGAGAGGGAAGAATGAGCGGAGTGCAGCACTGTGTATGGGACCCTCACGTGCCGAGGCTGCCATGAATGCATTCCACACGTCTCTTAATCTACTCCAAGATCCTGTGGATTAATCCTGTTATTACCACACTTTGCAGGTGAGAAAACAGAGGCTTGGAAAACCTTACCTGTCCAAGGCCACAGTACTCATTGTAGGCAGTCACTGTGAAGACATCTATTTAATCTACCTTCTGTTTTACTTGAATGATTCAAAACTTCAAGAATGTTTACAAATTTTGTTCCTGGGCAGAAAATCATAAGGGCAGGAACTCTGAGTCAGGAATAGATGGTGCCAGGGAAAGTTACTTTAAGGGCATATTTTTAAAAGTTCAATTCAAATTGCCAGGGGAAGGGGGGCAAGAGAAAACAGAGAGTCAGGCTTCACGCTCCAGAGGGCAGGAGCAGGTCTGGGTGAGCTGCAAGCGGGCGGCAGCAGAGCATGGCCCTGGGGAGGAGGGCCGGCAGCAGTGACGATGACAAAGACGATGACAACAGTGACATCACAGAACACGGTGTGATTACGACAGGCCAGAAACTGCTCTCTGTGCTTTGCCGTGTCTTCACTCACTGAGTCTCACAAAAGCCCCATGAGTGCTCAGGGCAACAGCAGGACACTCCTCACCAGGAGCATCTCTGGTAAGGGTTGTAAGGATGGGCAGGTGCCATGCAGGTCAGGCGCCATGCAAGGCAGGTGGCTGCAGACCCAGGAGGCAAAATCCAGCTGGTGACCTGACGTGAGCCGCTGCTTTTGCATCCTCACTCCTTTTCAGCCTTGCTCTCCTGGGCCACCTGAGAGCTACTACATGAGAACTTTCTCATCTATTAGCTAAGGACTCCATCTTCTTTTTTTTTTTTTTTGAGACAGAGTCTTGCTCTGTCGCCCCAGCTAGAGTACGGTGGCCAGATCTTGGCTCACTGCAACCCTTGCCTCCAGGGTTCAAGCGATTCTCCTGCTTCAGCCTCCTGAGTAGCTAGGACTACACGTGTGTGCCACCACAGCGGGCTATTTTTTTTTTTTTAGTAGAAACGGGGTTTCTGTCAGTCACACTTGTCTTGAACTCCTGACTTCAAATGATCCGCCCACCTCGGCCTCCCAAAGTGCTGGTATTACAGGCATGAGCCACTGCGCCCAGCCTGGACTCCGTCCTTGCTGCGATCAGGGGTTCCGTCTCTCTACCCTGCCCATGCTGGATGCAGCCCACACAACCACTGCAGGGGCAGCTCCCACAGCAGTGGGCACAATGCCTCTGGGAGAATCAAATACTCAGTGAGATCTCTGCAATCCAAATCCCTTTCTTATAAAGAAAAGATCATATTCAGCAAGCAATCTATAAAACTTTACCAAAGCAGAACAAAGTTGCCTGCTAATTTCTATTAACAAAATGATGTCACCTTCATGTTAATGGACTGTGTGAAGGTAAGGCTGGAAATTCTCAGAAGGAACTGAGAGTTTTGAGGCGCCGAATGGGGGGTGTAGCTTAGCTGCCTCTCACTGATGCAAACCGACAGCCCTCTGTGGTCCTCCGATCAATCTGCCAAGTACAGAACTCAGCCTGGGGTTTTCCCCAAATTTCTTCTCAGGTTTACAAAAACTCCCCCCTCCCCTTTGAGGAAGCTGTTCTCACCGCTTCTGAATTTCTGCATCACTGAAGGAAGAGAGCCGAGGAAGGCCGTTCTTCTCGTGGTCGTGCACCACGTTTTCGGGGATCTCCTCAATGGAAGAAAATGCTCCTGGGAAGTAAACGGAAAGGAAGGCAGGTTGGCTGCTCCAGTACGCCCCTTAGAGAAGGGCATGTCCTTACCTCATCTTTACCTTGGGCCTCATGTTCCCCACGTGTGCATGACAAGCCCACCCCCAATATCCAAGTTTAGGTCTTTGAATTTCAACTGCTTCTGCCAGCAGGATGAACGAGTGAAGAAAAGCTTCTGGGAATCCATAAGCCAACTAGAGGAAACTGATGATTTCAGGGAGGAGGGGGAGGGAGCAGGAGTGGAAATGCTGGCAGTGCCTACCCCTGGCAATGGACCTAACTGGGCTAAATCTGCCATTAGAGGAAGATCGCTGCATGCAAACAGAACTCCTAACACCAGCAACACTTACTCTACTCTGAGACTGGGGGAAAATGCCAGAGAAGCAGGACTTTGGAACGTCATGCTAACAGATGCCCGCAGCAGCTTCACAGCCCCATCCCATAGACAGGCTAAGCTCTCCAAGCACCACATGCCCCTGGCCCACAGTGGCTCTCAGGTACCCCAGCAGCATCCCAGGCTGGCAAAGAGCAAAGACCTTTTGATGCTGGAAAAATCTGACTAAGCTATGGGAGCTGTGATACATTTGAGACAGGAGTCAAAAGAGGACAAGGTATGTCGAGAAGGCAGGGCCGTGCCAACAGCCAGGGTCTGTCATCAGGGACCAGTGCAGGTCCAGGCTGCTGAATGGAACTTGGGCAGAGACCATCCTAGGGTTGGTGGCTGAGCAGGTTTTTCACTCTTTTCTCAATACAGACAAATGGAAATACACTGTCAGTATGCTGAGGTTTTCTCCAAGTTTCTGTAAGCCTTAATATCCATCTTTGTGTTAATCCGGTAGGGTTAAGATTGGAGTCCTGGCAGGGAAGAATCTCCCTGGGCCATCTGACCAGTGGACACAGTCTTGTCTGTTTTATTGATTCCTCCCCCGAGTGTTTAAAGCCCAGTCCAGAACTCTGCGGTACATGCTATGGATGGCTGTAAACTAGGCGTGGGGAGCACTGCTCTCAAGGGGACAATGACAGAACCAGCTCTGTGGGTCCACATATGGGCCCATTCATGCACCTGTCCCCATCCAGGTGCACTAGTGGTTACCGAAGATAGCCACAAGGACCACCCGCTTCTGTATTACATGATCCAGCAAGCCCACTCTGATTTCTATGCTGCCCTTCTAAGTGGGTGTTTACTTCTTAAAGTATGCTGCTTCACACTGTGGTGGCTGATTTGTGAGCCTTTGTATATTCCTTGTTTTCAATTCGATTTGCAGCCTCATTCTGCTTCTGAAAACCCAACATGCTATCCAATCACTGCAGAAGCACATTAATTATATGTGACAACCAGATGATGAGGTGCCACCATTCTCTCTCCCAGCCAACCCCTGCGAAGGCCAAACAGTGGCCAGGAGTGACCACCGACTCTGTGGGCAGCATCAGGAGTGGCAAGCAGGACATGGAGCCTTAGGGCCACCTACCCATGGTGCCCCAAAATCCGATTTCTGACCCAGGAGTCCCACTGCTGTTGACTGGAACTAACTCCTGTCTGAAGCTAAATTTCATAAGCAGAGCCCATAATTATTAGGATCGGTTCAGACTAATTGGAATTTAAATAAATAGACATCTCTAAAAAGAGTAGTGAGTAATCAAAACTGCAGTGTATGAGGTTACTTTGTGATGATCTAATTTGTTCCCTAGCAAACATCAGGTTTCCTGAAGCAAGCTGACTCAATCCTCTGAACACAGATGCTTAGTGTGAAATGGGGTACAATTTCTTCCTGCTCGCTGGCACAGAACGCTTGGTCTGCAGGTAAAGAGGCTCCAGGCCCCGGGCCAGGGCTCCCCTCCCAGGCTCTACAGTGTGAGCCCTTCTCACTGCAGAGAGGGTGACCGTGAGGCTTCCTGGTGGCTCTGCGAGTGTGGGGCCCTGGGGATGTCGGACAGAGTGGGTGACTATAACCATCAGCACAGGGAACCTGAAGAGACAAAGGAGGGGGGCCTGGGGGTGGGCGAGCCACCTAAAGTGAGGATCTGCTGTGACAGGTGAGGAGAGCTGGACTGTGGCTGTGCCCCTTTGAAAAGAATCGGTGTCTAAACGAGCCCCACTAACTTGTAAGGCACAACACTAACAGGAAACAACAAAAACAGGCCTGTCTGGACGGCCACCAGTCCCTTCAGGTCAAACCAGCCCTCTTGTGACTCCTCCTTGCTGTCCTCCCCAGCCTCCTCAGCACCGGCCACCAAGACCCTTCCCAGTGGACATTCAGTAGACCCACACACACCATTTAGAACAATCAGCACTTTCTTCCACTGGGTGTTGCCCACTTTGGGAGTCTGGCAGAAAAGAATCTTGTGCTTGTCACAGACAAATATTCGGTCCAGGACAAACTTGGAGACAGGAGTGTGCGAGAGATTCTTCAGGGCATCATCCCTGCAGACGTTTCTGATGAGTTCCAGGCGCTCCATGTAGACCAGGGGCTGAACGAGCTGGCTGTCTGGAAGCTCCTTCCCAGTTGGCTGCAGGTGACACAGAGCAGAAGAGGCCCAGGGACCATTAAAGGAGGCAGGACCGGGCCAAGCAGAGCCGCTCCTGCTGGTCTATCCCCTCCTTTCCATCTGGAGCCTTCTCTTCTTCCCTTCCTTGTCTGTCTACAGAGTGACACCCACTATCCCCAGCCCCTTCATGAGGCCTTCAGAGCCTCTCCACCAGCCCGATCGGCAGGCTGGGCAAGGAAAATGAATGCAAGCTTGGTTCCTCAGATCTTTGGAGAGAAGTTTGACTTTAAAAAACAAAATAAGGCCGGGCACAGTGGCTCATGTCTGTAATCCCAGCACTTTGGGAGGCCAAGGTGGGCAGATCCCAAGGTCAGGAGTTCGAGATCAGCCTGGCCAAGATAGTAAAACCCCATCTCTACTAAAAATACAAAAATTAGCTGGGTGTGGTGGTGCACACCTGTAATCCCAGCTACTTAGGAGGCTCAGGCAGGAGAATCACCTGAACCCAGGAGGTGGAGGTTGCAGTGAGCCTAAGATCGCACTACTGCACTCCAGCCTGGGCGACAGAGCAAGCAAGACTCCGTCTTGGGGGAAAAAAGAAATTAAAAACCAAAGTAAGAAGTTTGGAATCCTCTAGCTAGGGGGAAAAAGATGAAAAAGCTCAAATTCTACATGCTGGTCCATTCTTTTCAGGGCTGTTTTAGAACCTAAGAGAATACCTGTAATGTGAGAGGCCTTGTGTGTGCATGGGTTGGAGGGGGCACAGGGAGATGTGCCAGTACACACAGAAGTTGCTCAGAGGCCCCCTGTCCTCGGTGAGTTAAAGTCCCCTTGCTGCTCACACCTCCTTGTTCTCTGGAGGCATCCTGAGGGCATTCCTGAATAGCAGGGCAGCCTCCACCAACCCCATCGGCCCCCTCTAGTTGTGGCCCTGTTTCTCAGCATTTTTAAGGCTTCAGCTGCTACATCTCTCTCTCTCTCTTTTTTTTTTTTTTTTTATGAGACGGAGTCTCGTTCTGTGGCCCAGGCTGGAGTGCAGTGGCACGATCTCAGCTCACTGCAAGCTCCGCCTCCCGGGTTCCCGCCATTCTCCTGCCTCAGCCTCTCGAGTAGCTGGGACTATAGGTGCCCACCACCATGCCTGGCTAATTTTTTGTTGTATTTTTAGTAGAGACGGGGTTTCACTGTGTTAGCCAGGATGGTCTTGATCTCCTGACCTTGTGATCCGCCACCTCGGCCTCCCAAAGTGCTGGGATTACAGGCGTAAGCCACCACGCCCGGCCATATCTATCTCTTAAAGCTACACAGAACTTCCCAAAATTTCAAAGCAGATGATCCTTCCAAATAATTGTATTGAATGGACCCAAATATCCTTGTTATATCTTTTAAAATGCACTGGGCTTGCCAGGAAATCCATTTATAGGGTAGTTTTAACAACCTGTCCTCCCAGGGGACAACGTCAGTTAGAAAATGGGAAGGACATAAGACTTCTAGAACACACTAGAACCGGGACGCTGGAACTATCAGGATGACAGAGGTCCCCCCTCAGGGCCCCCCACCCAGCTCTTCCTTTATGGATCTACTGTAACCAAACTCTCTTACACTCATGACCTCTGGCCAGGATGCTTTCTCCCTTGTGTGTTTAAGTGAATTTCCTGGGATTCCCTGGTGGTGGGAAGAGCATCCTGGGGGCTACTGACTGCCTGCTTTTCGAGATGAAGACACTGGGGAAGCGAGAGGCCCCTTTGCAGAGTGGCCTCCGTTCCTCCCCACAGGGCATCAGCGGCTGCCCGGGCCCTCCACCCACCATGGAAAACCAGGAGCCACGCCAGGCACTCTCCTTGCTCTTACAAGAACGGGTCTCGTTTAACCTCATTTCCTCATCCATCCCACCTCTTGCTCACTTATCCCAAAAGAGCCTCTCTGTCTTCTCCTCCCTCTCTGTTCCAAACCTAACCCTGATCATGGATGGCACTCAAGAACAGCGCATCAGGAGAGAGCACCTCCCAACAAGTTCCCTTTAGAAAATGCAGAAAACTCTGCACTTTTAGATACTGCTTTTCTTTGAACAAAGAAAAGATATTAGATATTGCTTTTCTTTTAGCAAAGCATTAGAGACAAAAATTCTTCTTCTAAGAGACGAGGTCTTGTTCTGTCACCCAGGCTGGAGTGCAGTGGCACAATCATGACTCACTATAGCCTCCAACTCCTGGGCTCAAGTGATTCTCCCACCTCAGCCTCCCAAGTAGCTGGGGTTATAAACACACACCACCATAACCACCTGATTTTTGTATTTTGTGTAGAGATGAGGTCTCAGTATATTGCCCAGGCTGGTCTCAAACTCCTAGGCGCAATCGATTCTCCTGCCTTAGCCTCCCAAAGTGCTGGGATTATAGGCGTAAGCCACCATGCCCAGCTAAAGAAAAAAGATTTCTTGTTCAATTGTGTGTAAGAATGAGCATTGTTTTCTTTTTTCCCTTTGGAAATATACAAAGCCAACTTAAAGACAAATATTATTTTCTATTTTCCATTCAAACATTCGGCTACACCATGCACAAAGTAAACTTTTTTTCTGAGACCGAGTTTCGCTCTTGTTGCCCAAGCTGGAGTGCAATGGCACGATCTCAGCTCACTGCAACCTCCGCTTCCTGGGTTCAAGAGATTCTCCTGCCTCAGCCTCCCGAGTAGCTGGGATTACAGGCACATGCCACCACACCTGGCTATTTTTTTGTATTTTTTAGTAGAAATGGGGTTTCACCATGTTAGCCAGGCTGGTCTTGAACTCCTGACCTCAGGTGATCTGCCCGCCTCGGCCTCCCAAAGTGCTGGGATAACAGGAGTGAGGCACCGCACCTGGCCAAAATAAACTTTTAAAGGTGAGCTACAGAATCTGATCATGTTGATAAATCCCCTTTCTTGTGAGAAGACACATGCTGAGTTTTGGTGTCACCTAACGGCATGTGGCCTCAGCGGACATCACCTCTGACATCCCCCACTTCCCTCACCTCCCATCTGAGTCTCATGAGAATGACTGGGGCAGCGGGTAAGAGAGGGGCACAGAGGACACTGAGTTCAAAGCCCAGGCCCACAACTTGCTGTCCAGGGGATACTGACCCAGTGAGCACAGTTCCTTGAGCCTCATGTTTCCCAAATGCAAACAGAATAAAAATATACCTCAGAGGGCGGCTCGGAAGACCAATGAGATTGAAACCCAGTAAAGTACACTGCAAACTGTAAAGCACATTCAGGCGCAGTCTTTTTATTTGCAATGACTCCTGCAGGCTGGCAATCTCTCCGGGAGCACCCTCCACCCGGAGAGGGAGCACCAAGATGACCACCCTCTTCCTCACAGGGTATGGCATCCTTGAGGGAACCTTGTTGCGACACTTTGCCAAAGGCTTACCCTACCTTTGTTTTTATCCATGTAACTTTGATTTCCTATTAAATCCATCCTATTAAAGCCACTCTCCTATTTCCCATAAGATTTTTTGGTTTCGTTTCTGTACCCCATCCAAATTATTTTCTTACCCTGGGATGCCTCAACCTAAAAGCAACATTTAGGCTGTCTCAGAGTTCTGTAAACTTGGCCTCCATTCCATCAATGTCCTACGAGAAGTAACCTCCAGCAGCACTCTACTGACTGGTGTATGTTTTCTATGTTTATTGAGTTCTAATTTATCATCCTTACACTGTGACCCATGGATAGGAGCTGTCCCAACCTCTACGGCTTGATTCTGGGCTAAAAATATTTTTAGGGCTCGCTGTACCCATTTCATTCCTTCTGGAACAATTGCAACTTCAACCCTCTAGATCCAGAATGGGGGTTACGAAGTGAGAGGCCTTCCAGAGTGCACCCCTCATCCCAGCTAGGGAATGATCAGGAATTTAGGTGCACAAGAAGCCTGCAGAGAGCCATGGAGCCAGAATGTCAAGCCAGCAAGGGCTGGGTGGAAGTCAGCAGCCTTGGGCTCCGCCAGGAACTCCATGGGACTGTGGAGGATCCACCTTTTTTCTAGGCTCAGTTCTCTCATCCATACAATTTGGAGGCTGAATTAGTTGTTCTGCTGTCCAGGGCCCCCTTTCACTCTAAAACCCCATGACTGGGTGAGATGTCTTCTCCCACTTCTGGTTTCCTCCTGACCCTGCCCAATACTCTCGGCTCCCCAGGCAAGGCTCATGTTCAGCTGGTCAGGAATGCTGCACAACCAACAGTGACAGAGCAGCCCTGATGCACAGAGCTCTGTGAGGGGCACAAAAATAGACGTGACCTGTGCCTCTCCCAAATGGAAATTAACAAGGTGAACTAACATGGAGAAGTAACACAGGAAAAGGCTCTAACGCAGACGTGATGACAAGCGGAACCAGCCACAGGGGAAGGCCAGCTCCCCGCGACAAGGGTGCCGTGTTCAAGAGGACAAGGACCACGGCCTGGCTGTGCCCACCTTCAGTTCCTCAGGAATGTGCTTCTCTTCTGGCAACTTCCTCACTTCCGGCATGGTTGTCAGGAACAGAAACTCCTGTTTGGCACTGTACACTGGAAGACAGAGAGGTTGAATGTCTTCTCTAAAAGGAAAAGGCACACAGGTGGATGGGACAGAACAGAGGCCCCAGAAATAGAAGCTCTCAAAGATGCCCAAATGCCTTTTGACAAAGCCATAAAAGCCATTCAGCGGAGGAGGGCAGTCTGTCCAACAAATGGTGCTGGGGCACCTGGACATTCACACACGGAACAAACCTTGATCCAAACCTCACCCCTTATTCAACAATGAACTCAAAGTGGATCACAGACCTGAATGTGAAACATAAAACCATCAATCTTTTTAAAAAACAACCAAAGAGAAAATCTACACTGTGAAAGCCCATTTGAAGAGGAGGAAAAGACAAGCTCCAGATAGGGAAAAAATATTTATGAACCACTTATCTGACCAAGGACTCCTATCTAAAATATATAAAGAATCCTCAAACTCAACAATTAAAAAACCAACCAATCTAATTAGAAAATAGGTACGATACACCCAGACATTTCACTGGAGAGTATCCGCAGATGGCAAATAAGTACATGCAAAGATGGTCAAGGCTGCAGAGACCTTCACATCACAGGCTCTGCCCTCAAGCGGCTCAGAACCAATGAGGAAGTCAACCAGGAGAGGAAAAACCAGCGCCTACAAACACAAACCAGGTCCACAAGGGCATCATTTTGAGTCTTGCCATATGATTCCATCACATTCCCTTCGCTGAGGGGGATTTATTTTCTTATGAGAAAGTCTAGTTACAACACCTGATCCTAGTTCAATATGATACTGAAATTTGCTAACTGAGGATAAATCATTGCCACAAATATCACTGGCTCCACTGCTGAGCTGAACAGAAACTGTAACACTAAAAAAAGTAAGTGTTGCTTTAAACAGCAACTCACGACAACCATGCTCTTCCTAGGGGCTCCAGTGGCAGGAGAAACCGGGAAAGGCAGGTAGGTGAGAAGAACATGCACACCACTGATGGGGGTTCTGAGGCTGGCCCTGTCCCAGAGGACAGAGCTGAAAGGAGCAGCCCGGGAGCACTGAGGCCAAGGCTTCTCCACGCACTTTCCAGGAAATGGAACTCCCCACCGTGGACACTGCCGTGTCTGTTATTTCCTGGTCTTGACACTTCACAATGGGCTTCTGGTTCATAATCAAAAACACCGTGAACGTGTGTGAAATAAACTCCAACATGTGAGAAGCCCTTTATGGCCACGAGCTTAGAGGGGTTCCTGTGCTGCCCAAGATCCAGGCTCCGGGACACACTCTCTAAAGCACAGTGCTGGAAGGGCAGGCTCCAGGGGAGAGGCCTACACCACCCCAGCCCAGGGCCTCTCTGACGCCTGCAGGGGCAGGCTCTGAGTGTAAATGCTCTTGATGCTTCAGCCCAGCGTCCTTGTGCACTGGCAAGATGCTGGGTGCCAGCTCGCATCCTGCATCCAGAACTCAGCTGGCGGATATCCACCTTCAGGATCCTAACCTAACCAGGTCCCTTGGGACAATTAGGTAACATCTCACGCGAGTGAGGCAGGCTGGGTAGTGCTGTGGTGGTCACCCCGCAACGGGAGTGGGCCCACAACAGAAGATTCTCACTGAGTTCACTGCACACTGTGCGGCCAACAGCATCCTCACCACCAGCAGCCCCTGCCTCGGGGTCAGGGGCAGCACTCCCATCTCAGTGACCCAGCACCCACACACCACACCAGATCTCACAGGGCAGGGAAAGTGCCCCCTTTCACTCGCCTGAAGGCAGCCGGCTGGAAAGATCTCACAGGCAGTATTAAGGACCGCTGCGGTGCTCCTCTCCAGGTGTAAAATCCGAAAGCCCTTCATCTTTCTTCATAGGTTTTATCTCCTAACACTCCTTACCACTCCTTTTCTCCGCTTCACAAAACCCTGTTCTGCGCCTACACTTGCTTTTTTTCTAACCGGGCCTACCCCTGCTTAGCTTCCAGGATCAGTGTCTACACTGAAAACATTCAGCACAAAACTTGATACATCAAAGGAGAATGAGACCTCATTTACCAGATGCCGCTGGGAAACAAGGCATTCTTTAGAGGCCATTCTGCCAGATAACAGTAAAACACAAAGGCACAAGTCTTATTTAACTATTACCTATAGAAGTCTCACTAAAATGTATTACATCTACTCCTACTTTTTTAAGCAAAATAAACCATAAACAATTTAACCTCATGACCTGCCTTTTGAGTGCCTTCCATACCAGGAGGTGACATTTAGGAGAATCCTGAGTAACACCTATTTCTTATTCTCAGCAGCTCTGTTTCTCTTCAGTTCTCCAGCTAGGATCTACCACTGTGCTTCTCAACTGGGCCCCACCCCTAGTGATTCTCCTTCACTGGGTCTCAAGCAGCAGCAGGTCTGTAAAGTCCCACAGGTGATTCTGAAGTGCTGCGGGGATGAGAACCCGGCTCTAGGGCTTCAGGAGGGATCTCTCAGTGGCATGGCACTGTGCTGAAGCTGCCATGGAAATGTCCAAACTGTCAAACTGAGATCATCGTGTCACATTCCAGCAACCCTCCAAGAATCGACCCTTGCTCTGCTGACGGAACCCCGAGTCCCGGGCGTGAGCTGTCATGCTCAGTGACACCTGCCCAGATACCTGCAGGTGTAATATCACCTCCCGAGGCTGTGCAGACCTCACAGGTTTCTCTCCAGGGCTCCTGGAGGATGAGGCAGGACATGTGATGACAGCCAATCAGGGCCCAACAACTGTCATGGGGAGAACCACCATGTGGGCTAATTTCAGGGTGTCCCTCTTTTCCCTGCAGACCTCCCTTCTAACCTTGCTGTCCCTCTGCAGACAAGGTGGGGCAGAGAGAGGATGGGGCAGGAGGTGTAGGACATCGGGCAGTCCTTGACACAGCCAGGGACATGCCTGGGAGCTCTGTGAGGTGGAGCAGGGGCCTGTCCCACACAGACAGCACAGGTCAGTGCAGCCTCCAGGAAGAACTGCTGGCACAGAGGCATCTCTAACTGCCCCTTTCCAAGGCCACCATCGGCAGGAGGACAAAGTACGGTGCAGAGCACAGCAAAGTGCTGTGCTCATCCACGTTCCCCAGTATCTCCCAATCAGCCTAAAGGAATGGGCCAATCCACGGCACAAATGAGGACTTCAATGACTCCATGTGTCTGGCTTCCTCGTGCTTGCCTGCTTGGCCACTCAATGAAGTGGCCTCGGGGCTGGAGAGCATATCACACACCTCTTTGGACATATCCAGCACTCCACAGACCACAGAGCACCTCACCATGCTCAGGGCAATCATGGGCGGTGCCGGAGCAGGCAGGGTGTCCATTTGGTGGAAGAAACATTGTGATGTAGATAAGCAAATGACAAGAGCACGAAGTAGAATCAGCATTCTGAGACCCAATTTGGCGCTCTTTATCCGTCCTCATCTGAATGCCTACGTTCAGTAAAGGAGAGCTAAGAAAGCCTCCAAGACAACCTGAAGACATACATTTAAATGACCCTCCTCCGCTGCATGGAGGGTGACCTTCAAACATGTGGCCACCACACGGGCATGCCAAGCAGTTGAGGCTGCACCTCTCATGATGACATGAGGCAAAGAGAATTCCCAACTGCGAGCCTGAGAGGCGCCCTGCTGCAAGGCATAAGGCCACTGTGCTGCTGGGAGGAGACCCTGCTCCTTGCTCCTAGGCACCACCCAGGCCTCAGCCACAAAGAGCAGCTTCCTTCCTCCAGAGGAGATGCTTGAAAAGACCCTCCAGCCCCTCCCACCCTACCTCCCCTCACACCTCTGTAACATGAAGGAACGGAGGCCATGACCTCCAAGGTCCCTGCTGGCATGAAAGTCCTTTGACTCTGTGACAGAAGTCATCTATGCATGTACCTAGGAACAGTGTTGCAGCTAGGTCTAAATTAGCCAAAATTCGTTCCACCATGAAGCATACGTACCATCTGGGTCTTTAAAGGTCAACGTGATGAACTTGCTAGCCACCATGAACATGAAAATCACCCAAAAGCATGCGGCCAGCAGAAGCCACTGGTGGTGCATGTTGTCACACCGCAGCCATTCACTGACTCTTCCTGGAAAACACAAGCGAGATGCCCCTGCTGCTTACAAATACATCAAGTCAACAAAGAGGAATGAAAACGACAGGTGATTTCAGTCAGTAAGTATCAGCACAAATATTTCCGTTTTTTTCCACTGCTACAATAGGTAGTTTGACTTGGCATTTAACATTTCATATTGAATTAATAATATAAATGATTGATTCAATAATAAAATCAAATTTAGAACACCCTAATGGAGAGACATGATAATGAGAGAAGACCACTTCCTTGTGTTCTCAGAACACAGAATAAGACTCCTTTGCACATTTGATCCCTGACTCCTGTTGGGCCCAGGCTAAGGTCCCAGTGAGCTCCCACGATGGTCTGGAAGCAGGTGGCAGGAAGAGGCCTGCCAAGGACTAGGCCTTAGCTGAGGGTCATTCATAGTGGGCAGAAGCCATGCTGGGGCAATTAGGAGCTGGCTGTGTTTAAAATTCTGACTGGCTGACAAGATGTAGCCACACCTAGAGAAGCTCTAAAAAAGCAAAGGAATGAACACTGACGCTTCTCGCCTCCGCCCACTTGCCAGCAGCGGCCTGGGTAGAACACTGAGGTGGGTGTTTTTCATGCTGTCACAGCCAGGGAGCAACACGGGGCATGTCGGTCCTCAGCCTGGCACAGAAGCCACACTCTCCTGCAGGAGGCACATAAAGAACTGGGAAGTCACTGTCAGTTCTTGGCAGGTGACACAAGAAAGTGTGTTTCATTTCACCTTTAACACAGTGCTTCTTCAAGCCAAAGCTCTCCACGTACAGACAAGACCCTGGGCTGAGCTGGCTTCCACCGACTGACTGAGGCCATCCATCACTTCTGCATGGCAGGGAGAAGTGGTCCCCTCAACACAGTGCTGATGGCAAATAATTTCAGAGAGAGCCTCCTAACCCTGGGTGGGTCAGAGCTCCATGAAGACCCAGGTGAATCACTCTCCTTGTCTCAACATTTACATCCTAGAATCTCACAGGAACCAGGCATCTGGAATGCAAATAGGATCCATGACACACCCACCACGTAGTTATCCGGCCACACCTGAATACAGCCTGCAGTGGGGAGCTCACCACCTGCCAAGCTGCCTGGGTTTTCTCCGGATGGCTCGCAAACCACCCTCAGGTGCCCGTGTATAAGGCTTCGTGTGTTTCCTGGGGTCACCAATAGGGTTGCCTGATTAGACAAATAAAAATACAGGACATCCCCCAAGTTAAGATTGAATTTCAGATAACATAAAATTTTAGTGTAAGTATAACCCAAATATTGCATAAGACATACTTATACTCCCCCCCAAAACCAGTATTTTTTGTGCCCAGATATGAGGCCCAGTGTCCTTCCCAGGTTCCCCAAGTCGGGTTGAACAAATAAAAACACAGGATACCCAGTTAGATTTAATTTCAGTTAATTTTTTTAGTATAAAGTATGTCCCAAATATTACATATACTTATACTAAAAAAAAACAAAAACAAAAACCTATGTGTTGTTTTCTGAACTTCACATTTAACCGAGTGTACTGTAGTTTATCAGCAACACCACCCAGCAGGGGCATGCCAAATTCCTTGCAAGCCAGCTGTCCTGTCTCCTGTCTCCATCCCACAATCCCCTCCTCCTTCCGCCACTCCATGTCAGAGATAGTGAGGCACAAAGAACCCCAGACTTGGTTCAAATCCCTGCTCACACCCATTAGCTCTGTGACTCCATAAGTCACTTAACCTCTCTAAGCCTCAATGTCCCATCTCTAATAGAAGGCCCTCCTCCTACCACTACCTCAGAGTGGCCATGAGGATTAAATGAGACAATGTAGACAAAAAACCAGCACCCACCTGGCCTGGTGCAGACCCCCAGTAAAAACTGACCAATCCCTTGGCACTCTTCGTGATTTTCCAGCTTAATCTACACCTTTCTCAGTGTGGTTGCCAGAAATTAATGCGACAGTAGGGTCTACACCAAGAAGAGAGAAAAAAACAAGACACACTCTTATTCCAGCAACTGCTAACTTCCCTTCAAGAAACTGAGGCTTAGACTGTGGCCAGAGGATGCAGGGCCCAGCAGTACCAAGTCCACTGAGCTCAGCCCTCTAAGACAGTGCACTCAGGGGGGTCCATCCTCATGGGTCACAGTGAGAGCACCCCCCTGAAAAATGCCAGCTGCAGGCCATTTCTAACCAAGCAGCAGAGGCACCAGGGTGGGTTGGGGAGGGAGTAAAAGGAACAGGATGTACCACGCAGGTTGCATGCAATTCTAAACAGACAGGTCCTGGCTCTGAGTGTCCTGGGGCTTGCAACCCACCCTCTCCTAGGATCAGTGCTATGAAAAAGGGAACAACGATAAGAGGCACTGCCTCCCTCCTGCAGGTGACGCGCTGACTCTGCAGAGCATGTGGCGGGAGGACCTGGGAACTGCATATTCCACTGCCTGCTCTGCTCATTCCCTCCAGGCTTCCAACCCCTGATCACCCTCGCCCGGCCTCAGGACAGCACTTTGGAGGTTTTTATAGTTTAAGAATCAAATCTTTCCAATGGAACTAGTCTTCTGAAGGAATGTAATATGATTTCGCCCACTGAGCTCATCTGCAGGTAAAGTGGGAAGATAATGAAGCCTTACCTGAAAATGAATAGCACCTCTTCTGTTCTCCAGGAAGCCAGGTGGCCTAGGGATAGGATTTCTCCAACTACATGAGTTGAAAACTGAGAGGTGCACTCTCCTGAAGCCATATGTGCCTTCCTAAGTATTGGATTTTCATTTAAAAGTCAGGAGCTCTTAGCTTCTTTCAGCTGGGCGGGGGGTCAGGGGCTGGTCTACACTCACCCTCTCCCTAGCTAGTCTTTCACCTGGGCTGGGGTCAGGGACTGGTCTGCACTCACCGTCTCCGTAGCTAGTCTTTCACCCGGGCAGGAGGTCAGGGACTGGTCTACACTCACCCTCTCCCTAGCTAGGTGGCTGTGGGTGTGTCAATGAAGAGCTCTTCGGGCTCCCATTTTTCATCCACAGGAACAAACAGCTACCTGCACACTCATCAGTCAGAAGACCTTCTCAACAATCATGCAACTGACCATGTATCATCCAATGTGTTCTTTCACATGGGTATTTCATTTTCAAAAAATCCATTTTTAACTTGACTTCTGCAAACTCTTACTAAACTAAGATATACAGAGAGTCCCTTCCCTGGCCACTCCATTAGGATAGGAGAAGGGTGGACTGCAGGGTTCCCACCTCCTTCCCCTGCTTTTTCCCTGCTTCTTGTCCCCGGGATGGTACCAGGACACGTGGAGACTCCAGTGGGGGATGTGGATTTGCAAAGCTTCAGGGGCAAAACCCTAGCCCTGCCAAAACCACTCTCTTGAGAAGAGCATTACACCCCAGGCCCCTATCAGCATTTCAAGCACAGCTGCCTGCCAGCATGCCCATATCTGGCTGTAGAGCCCCTTGCAGGCCACAGAGCCTGTGGGCAGTCACTGCGGGGTCCAGGAGGGAGCTCTCTGAGGAGCTGCTCCCGGCCACTGGGCTTCTTGTACACTCGGGGTAAGCAGGGCCTGCTCCCTTTCCCATGGGCAGCAGAGGAAGAGTCAGCTCTGCCTCATCACCACCCAGGTGGCACCCCCAGCACCGCTCTGCGCCACCTGACCTTGCTCCACTTCCTCCACTACACCCAGCACAGTCCAGATGCTCTCGCTATGTGCCATTTGCTCTCCTTGCAGAATATGGGCTCATGCTGGTCAGGACAGCAGGGACCAGCACAGTGCCTGGCGCACCATGAGCCAACAATTGCTATTTGCTGAATGACTGTGTCAATTGAGCAACTTACTAGAACTCAGGAATGTGGAAAGGTACTTCAGGAGGCAGCCTGCCCAACCCTCTCCCTGAGGGTCTCCAGGCTTTTTCAAGAATGAGGCCCCCTTTCAACCTCAAAATATTTCTCTAGTCTCCACAGAGCAGTTCTATGTTTAATATCCATTAACTGAGACTAGAAAACAACCAAATGCTATGAGGACTTCAGTATTATTTGAAAACAAAATGATCTAAGCCACAGCATGTATATGCATTCAAATACACTTACTACTTAAAACACATTGATTGGGGGGTTTAGGAAATCATGCCGAAGTCCAAAAACATTTTCATTTCAAATAAAACTCTATGATGAAAGGCAAGCCAATGACATAGATCCATATCCAAAGTGTCAAGATATACCAGTAAACAAAAAAGACAAGTTGCAGGATGGAATGTATGATCCCATTTGTTAAAAAAATCATGTATGTGTGAAATATATATGATTACACACATATACAAACATAGACACATATATGTAATACATAGAATAAAATCATGAGAGGACAGTAAGAGCTCTTTTTGTACTTTATACAATTCATATTTTAAATATTTGTAATAAGCATTTTTTCTTTTTTTTTTTTTTTTTTGAGGCAGTGTGTCTCTCTGTCACCCCGGCTGGAGTGCAGTGGTGCAATCTTGGCTCACTGCATCCTGCACCTCCTGGGTTCAAGCGATTCTCCTGCCTCAGCCTCCTGAGTGGCTGTGATTACAGGCACGCCACACCTGGAAAATTTTTATATTTTTAGTAGAGATGGGGTTTCACCATGTTGGCCAGGCTGGTCTTGAACTCCTGACCTCAAGTGATCCACCTGCCTTGGACTCTCAAAGTGCTGGGATTATAGGCGTGAGCCACCACACCCGGCCTAGTTAAAAATTTAGAAAACTGGGACTTGTTCTACAAGTCACATCCTACATGAGCCAATCAGAACCAGTAAGACTACAGCCCAGTACTCTCTCAAAATACCCACTTCCCTCAGGTCCAATATCTCTACAGTTTACAAAATACAGCACTCAAACATGAGTAGGTGTGTATGTGCATACAAGTTTAAGGACAAAATAACCTAAAAATAATGACTTCAAGCTCATTATTCATTATCCAGTATCCAGTGTATTCATTCATGCAGTAAAACAGCTGCCAAGGATATGACCCTGAGTCCCTAACTAAACACACACAGTTCTTGTCCTTACAGAGCTTGTCGTCTAACAGGCCCACACGAAGGAAAGAAGCTATCTGAGGAGTGGTACTTGATGGTGTGAGAGGGACATGGTGCTGTGGGGAGAAAATACAATGGGATGTGCCTTGGGCAGAGTGGTCTGGGACAGCACAGTTACCTAAGGTGAAGGGCAGGGTTCCAGGCCAAGGGAATGGGCCCCTGAGTAACTAAACGCAGGCCCATGTGGCTGGAGTTCTGGGGCACAGGCTGAGGCAGATGCAGGCCAGACAACATGGGGCCTGCCAGGGCTATTATGGTCTTTTCTTTGCAAGCAATGGGAGCCCCTGAAGAGAGTTTTACATGAAAAGAGGGGTGGTGATGTCATGATCTGATTTAAATTTTGAAACAGTTTCTTCAGCAGCAGAGTCAGAGGTACAAAAAGCAAATGCCCACTCAGCCACTGCCCAGTCTCAAGGTCATTTTCATTCATGGAGGAGGGAGAATTCTAACCCGGCACAAGCAACCCCGGTTGGGTGCTCCACATCCCATCATCTCTGGCTGTGGCTCTAGAAGCCAGCGGATGAGCTACGAGGATCCACATTATCTGGTGTGGTGGGTTTTGATGAATCCTAAAGAGTGGTGTGCCCAGCTAAGCATGGTGTCATTTGCTTCGGGATTATGTGCCTTCTGAATCTAGACATCTACCTGAAGGTGTCTGGCTTTATGTCTGGGGCGGTACCTGGGAAACTTCCAAGAAATACAGTGATACCCCGGGCCCCAAGAATACCCCAGCCAAGACAACACAAATCTCTGGAGGCAGTACCCAGGCATTTTTTAAGAGCTCTGTTCGTGACTCTAATGAGCAGCTGGGACTGAGAATTGCTGGTCCAGGACCTCACCCCTTCTTAAATTTTAATGCCTACATGAATCCCCCTGGGGATCTTGTTAAAATGCAGACTCTAGGCATTCTGGCATAAACGCCATTCTCCCACCACCTCCTTCCATCTTAAGAAGGAAAATTGGCAGCAAAAAAGCATCTAGTCAACGAGAGTCTATTGATGCTCTGAATTACAAGTGTTCCAAATACACAGCTAAAAGAGGTTTAATTAGAATCTAAGACCTTCCATCACTGCCTTCATCTTACTCTCCTTTACAGCCCTCCCATCTACGGTTAACTAGACTCTGTAGAATCAGGCTTTGTCTGACTTTGGAAAACAACACAAAACTCTGCCCCATTTTTTTTTAAAAGAGAGGCATTCCAAATTCACTTCACCCCAGCTCCTCTAAGTCCGCCCCATTCTCTGCATTGTTTCCTTGAATACAGAATTTCACCATGGGGTTTGCCTCCTATCTGAGGATGACACCACCAAGGCTCATTATTTCTGTCTACAAGAGGACTGCGGCCTGACATAAAGAGTCTTTCCTCAGGGCTCTGCCAAGGGCTGCTGCTCTCCCTACAGCTAGGGGACAAATGGCCTTTAAAAAGCCTGGCATTTTCTGTAATTAACTCCCCTTTGTTCAAGGAGCCAAGACAACTCTCAGAGTGCCTCTAGAGCTAATGGTGGGAGCAGAACCTGAGCCCCTACACGCCCTCCCTTCGGTCATGGCGCAGGCCCTGAACAGAGCCTCCTGACCCCTAGAATCTGCATATCCATCTTCAGAGCTTTCCTACTTCCAGTCATTAAATGGGATTTTCACAAGTCAAGATGTCAGGATCTGAAACCAAGCCAGAGGGTTTGGTTCCTCAGTTCAACCCACAAGGATGAACTGGCAGCTGAAGAACTTAAGGCCTTATGGGGAAAGCAGGGTCAGGGAAGGAAGAATCTACAAGAAGCCCTAATCTTCCCCCTTCCCCACCTTAAATAAAAGATAAATAGCACACATTGTACATGTTTGTAATAACTAACAATGGAAATGTTACTATTACCATCTCTTGATGCAAATCCTTCCTCCCCTGCATTTTGAAAAGGAAACTTGTAAATTCATTTTGCTCAGCTGCCAATACCATTCCCGCCAGCAGCTTTTCCCCATGTCTGAGTTGTCATCCAGAAGCACAGCGCCTTTCTTACTCTGCTGATGAGTTTGCCTCCCACCTGCCAGGCCCCACTTTTAATATGCGCATTCACTTACTAAAGTTTCTGAAAAGTCCCATGGTAAATAAGCCCACTTAACTCTGCTTAACCAGGCTTTTTCCAGACATTTTTTCATTCAGCAATATTTACCAAAGCCCTCCTCTGAGCCGGGGCTGTTCTAGGCCCTGGGGATATAGCAACACACATTCCCTGCTCTCACAGTGCTTCCTACTAACAGACATAGACGGGCCATAAACAAATCAAGTGATCAATGTATATGATCAAGCCAGGTGACAGGTGCAGTGGCTAATAAACAAGGGCATGGGCAGGATGTTGAGAAAAGGCAGGACAGATTGTGGGAGCAAGCCATGCAGACCCCTGGGCAAAGACTGTGGTCTGGGTCCCAGAATTCCAAAAGTGGCAAGAAGGCCAGTGTTCCTCATGCAGAGTGGGCAAGCAGGGACAGGGGTGGGTCAGATGAGGAGGCCTGTCAATGGCCCTTTACTGACAACCTCACCTCATACACATACCAGGGATCACATGTCCAGGGCTCAACTTTTAAAACACAGCCAGACTCTAAAGGAAACTTCACACACACACACACACACAAAAACCTGGTAATGTACAAGGAACTGGTAACCCCAGGAGGATGACAGGTGAGATGAGAACTAGACAGACCAGGGCTGCAGAAACGGGGACATTTCACCATCAACCCTGAGCACATTCTGAACTACAATGCATTACCCTATCAATAGAATCATTAAATTACAACTCCATAATGCAAAGTGTGGCATATGAATTTATACTATAAAGTTCTATTGCATGTCACTGAGACTTTCAAATTCATAGTAAAGGTTTCTCTCAATCTGCGTACAGAAATTTCCTTTGTCTTCTCTGTTGTCATCCTTACAATTTACCGCCTTGGAACGATTAACCACCCTTAGTTAGGAGAATGAAAACACTCTTAACTGTCCAGTGAGAAATACACCTGTAGTTAAGACAGGTTTTCATGAACAATAATAATAATATACAGTAAACACCTGTATGGGGTTCACTCTGTACCAAGCACAGGTCTCAGCAGGTACTAACTCACATAATCCCAGCCTCAGAGCATGCTCCTATTATTATATTTAAGGAAACGTTTCTAAGCACACATTTACATACTCCTAATCAAGAGTTTACAATCTGCACAGGCAAGAAAAAAGGCAGGAACAATACTGAATGGCATGCTCAAATAACTGATGAGCTCACATTCTCCTTCACGTACCTTCTGCAGCCTGGGGCTCACATTTCCTTGCTGTGTTTCCCCTGAACTGAGGTTCTTGGTTCCTCTTGTCACTGGATAGGAAAATTAAAAAAAAAAAAGCATTATTAAAAGTTACAAGATCAACTTACTTAATACAACTTGGTTTATACTTAGGAAGGAAATAGTGAACCATTTTGATGATTCAAATATATTTGGCAGAATGGGTCTCTTACAAAGGCAGGTTATATTTGGATTTCTTGGTAAATGAATATTCTAAATGTACCAAAACCACTAGCTGTTTAAAAGACTCTTCCATGTAACTTAGTGTGAAAAATGAAACATTTTTTGTAGCAAAAATAATCAAATCCAATTATGCCTGTTTCGTATGTTTGAAATAGTTATAGGATTCCTATACAAGATGATCAATTCTTCCAATGCAAAATGTTCTCTGGATTTTCGTACTCCTTACACCTTTAGCACCTGGAAAATTTTAGCCAAATGCCATATCATAAAAAACCAGAAACAAGCCAAAGTCATGGAATTAGATCATGGATTTAGGAGATCTACCAAAATAAACATACAACTCATTTAACATACAATAAAGCCCAAGCTGACTGGGACACATGCAGCACGGTCTCTCTCTGCCTCCCTTTACTCTAAGAACTCAATGCTAAAATTAAAAGCAATTTCCTATTATGTTGATTGAAAGATTAAGCTTTATATACAGTCATTCATCACTTAACAATAGGGATACCTTCTGAGAAATGTATCGTTAGGCGATGTTCTTCTGCAAACATCAGAGCGTTCTTACATAAACCTAGATAGTACAGCTAACCACACACCTAGGCTATATGGTACAGCTGACCACACACCTAGGCTATATGGAATCATCTATTGCTCCCGGGCTACTAACTTGTACTGCTGTTACTGTACTGAATACTGTAAGCATCTGTAATACAATGGTAAGTATTTGTGTATCTAAAATTAGAAAAGGTAGAGTAAAAATAAGGTAGTATAGTCTTATGGGACCACTGTTGTATATGTGGTCCATCATTGTTAGAAACATCATGTACGGCATTTGATGGTCCTCACATCCAGGTTATCCAGAAGTGTATGAAAAGAAAATGAACTCCTGGGTTTCTGCAATCTCTAAGGTCCTGCAACCACCTCTCTCCCCTGTTTCTATTCCTGGCTCTCTCTCACCTTTTTATTGTATGAACTCCTCAAACACTGAAAAATGATCCGAATATAACTGCAAGTTGCCTGTGATGTTTACAAATTCTTTCCTTTCTTTGTTCAGTTTTGCAAACACTCCAATTTTCATTTCAGCGAAGAAGAGAATTTTCTGCTCAGGTATTTCTTTGAGATTCTATTCTTCAGGGTCAAGAGCAATTCTGAATTCTGAATTCCAATTCTGAGCCAAGATGGACTAAGCTCTTAATTATAATGGGGAGGGAAGGGAAAAGACCACTTCTCTCTTTGTGTCTTTTCATTTTAACCCAGTCACTGAAAAGAGTGAAGGAGGAGGTGGTTGGTTATCAGAGAGCCAGAGCTAAACTGAGCTGCCTAATTTTAACAGCGTCTGAGACATTTCTCACTCTGGCACTCTAAGCAATGCAATAACCCAACTCCTCATGGCCCAAAGCCCCAGACTCTGGTTTTCAGACAAAACAACAACAACAACAACAACAACAAAAACCCACCGTTATGACAGTCCTGCCGCTGAGCTAACCAGAACCTGGCTGCACTACTTTCCATTCACTGCCCAACCCTTTCCTGCCTTGCAGACTTGGAAAGCAAAAATGACATTTTGGAAAACCTGGTTCACCTTCCCAGCCAGAAGTGCAGAACTGCATGCCTCAACCTCCAACTTCGGACAGGCCTCCTGACAGCGAAGATCAGAGGCTCAGGGCACCCCGGGGCCCCTCAGGCAGGGAACGTGCATTCCCACCCCTGACTCCCCTCGCACCGAAGCTGCACATGCTCCTTCTTCCCTGCCTTCCTCTGCATGCTCCTTGGACCCAAGCTGAACCCTTTCTTCCTCTCTCCATCTACAATTACAAACGCAAATTCTCAGCCAAGGATGAAAGAAGTAAATTGTAGGCTCGCACAATATCAATAATTCCGCGGGTCACAGCATCCCGCACAAGGACGCCTTCTTATTGCATAATTAACGCGAGGAAGGCTCTTCCCGCTACTCCCGCGAACTAGGGAGGTCTTCAAGTCGCCAAAACACACCGGGATGTGGCTCGCCAGGACAAAACCCGCGGGTTCCCCGGTTTTTCCGTGCGCCCCGCGGCGGGGAGAGGGGCCCAGGCGCTGAAACCCACCCGCCTGCGCGTCCCCGAGCTCACCCTACTGGAGCGGCGCTCGTCCGGGTCCTTAGGCTCCTCCCCTGGCCCTGGGGGCGCCGCGCGGGTCGGGCTTCGCCGGGCCTGTGGGCGAAGCGCGCGGGGTCCTGGGAGCTCGGGAGGCCCGCCCCACCTTGCCCCGAGGCCTCCGCGCCGCGGCCCGTCGGGTCCCGGGATGTGGCGGCGGCGGCAGCGGAAGTAAGGAAGACGCCCGGCGCGCTAGACCGGCTTTGGGGGCCAGAACGCCGGCACCGCCTCACGCGGCCCCCTCGCGCCTATCCGGCCGTGCGCGCCGCCTGCCCGCGCGCGTCCCCGCCGCCGTCCCCGGCCGTGCGCGTTCCAGCGGGTCGCGGGGAGTGGGGAGGGGCGCGGCCGCGGGACCCCAGGCCCGGATCCCGAGTCTCCCTTTCTGCCGCTGCAAAAGCGTTCTTTCTGACCGAGACCTGCGGCCGGAACAAGTCCCGCTGGGCCTCCATCCAGAAAACAGGTTCGCTTTTTGAGAAAGAAAAAAAATCCCAAACTTGGAAAAAGGCAAAAAACCAAACCAAAACAACAACAAAGTCACACACACACACAAAACCACCTTGGAAAAATACAAAAAATAGATAAGTAAATTTCTTAAATCCCCAACTTGGAAAAAGGCCACTTGCTTGCGTTAAGGGTAACTTCTAGCATTTTCTAATAAGCCTACTTAGTAAAAGGGGGACGTTCTATTCTTTAAAGAACCCCCTTGGCTGTCCGGGTTGGGGATGTAACTGTTGTCTAGGTACAGTGGATTAACGAAGGACAATGATAACGGCCTGACCAGTTTACAGACCTGAAGAATTGTAACTTCTTAACCTGCAGAAATGGATAAGGCCTGAGTCAACCTCAAAGGTATTGGGATTTTATTGCCCCAAAGAAGATAAACTAGTTTTATTTTTATACAACCTACATGTTTGTTAACTACCCGACTATATCTGTGTCTATTTAGCAAACAAGTAAAATAGATACGTGTATGTATACACACACACACACACACACACACAATTTTTCAAAGCTTTCAAGGAACAAGCGTTTTTGTTTTTGTTTTTTTTCTTTTTTATTGGTTCCCTCCTTAATGAGTTAATAATATTGAGGGAGCTGGCTGTTTGAGTATTTCACTTCTAGCCCCATTACTAATCATGGTTTAAAGGTTCTGTCCCTCATGCAGAAGACGTTTACTGAGCCCTTTTTTGGGGCCCTGTGGTTGAGATGAGACATTGGGTTTCCCTTTGAGGATTTGAATCGATACACGTGCACGGCAGAAAAGAAGTAAGTAAATGTGAAGCTTGGATGTGATGCAGCATATTATGCAGGATTTAAGGATCAAGGCTCTGGGAATCAGACCACGTGGATTCAGAGCCTTAGTCACTGCATATGACTGTTGACCTTGTCACACTCTCATCTCTCTGTGTCCCAGTCTTCTCATCTACAGAATGTGGTACTAGGCCGGGCGTGGTGGCTCACGCCTGTAATCCCAACATTTTGAGAGGCGGAGGTAGGTGGATCACCTGAGGTCGGGAGTTCGAGACCAGCATGACCAACATGGAGAAACCCTGTCTCTAATAAAACTACAAAAAAAATTAGCCAGGAGTGGGGGCACGTGCCTGTAATCCCAGCTGCTCGGGAGACTGAGGCAGGAGAATTGCTTGAACCCAGGAGGCGGAGGTTGCGGTGAGTCGAGATCTCGCCACTGCACTCCAGCCTGGGCAACAAGAGTGAAACTCCTTCAAAAAAAAAAAAAAAAGTGTGGTACTAAAGAATATTGTAGAGGATGCATTTAAAATACAAAGCACAGTCATCCCGCAGTAGTAAACACTGCAACAAACACACACTATTGTCACTGTTATTACTGCATTCCCAAGATACTGTTCAAAACTTTAAAAGATGGAGTTTGTTCTAGAGGCTTACACATTGACAACTAAGGTAACTGAGGTTTTTTGGTTTTTTTTGTTGGAGTTTTTCAAAATAGTTCCTCTTTTTTTCCTATAAATGAATGTCTAGGAAAATATTAGTATTTAGTCTTTTTTTTTTTTTTGAGACGGAATCTCGCTCTGTCGCCCAGGTTGGAGTGCAGTGGTGCCATCCCAGCTCACTGCAACCTCTGCCTCCTGGGTTCAAGTGATTCTCCTGTCTCAGTCTCTCAAGTAGCTGGAATTACAGGTGCGTGCCACCACACCCGGCTAATTTTTGTATTTTTAGTAGAGACGGGGTTTCACCATGTTAGCCAGGCTGGTCTCAAACTCCTGACCTCAAGTTATCCACCCGCCTCAGCCTCCCAAAGTGCTGGGATTACACGTGTGAGCCAAATATTTAGTCTTTGTAGCAGGAGGATTGTTTCTAAAATAGCAGTTCGCAAAGAGTGATCTCCAAAAAGTGGATCTTTAGGAGTCTCCAAGATCCTTTCAGAGGATCTGCAATGACAAAACTGTTTTCATAGTTGAACTGGGACATTATTTGTCCTCTTTACAATGTAGACATTTGCTCTGATTGTGCAAAAGTAAGCACAAATCCCAGCAGTGGGACAACACCAAATCAGTAGTAACTGCATCCTTCACCACCATGCACTTGCAGTAAAAACAAACACAAAGTGTCACTGAAGAATGTCCCCCGTGAAGCAGTCATGTCCCTCATGACAGGGTGGGAAATGCACAGAAACAATCCTGCTGCATCCCAAGGATGATGGTTGCTGAAGGCCGTGCCATTGTGCAATGGCCTGCAATGCACAAGCTGCAGCTCTTTTTTATGGAACGCCAGTTTTACTTGAAAGCAGAACTGACAGACAAACTGCAGTTACCCAGATTTGGGCATTTGGCAGACATTTCCTCCAAAATGAATGACATGGGCCTGTCACTTCAAGAAAAACAAATGATAGTGTTTGTTGTCTGTGATAACATTCAAGCTTTCAAGTGAAAAATCAGACTTTTGCAAAACCTGTATCCATCACTGTAAGTTTGACAGCTTCCCAATATTTAAAGATTTTTCTGATGAGATCAGAAGTAGTACTAACAACTAGTTGTAAAAAAATATTGTATAGTGATCAACCAGTTGTAGTGTAATAAGAAATATGTATTTGGCCTTTGACCCTGGTTCCTGACTGATACAGTTTGGCTGTGTCCCCACCTAAATCTCAGTTGTAGTTTCTGTCATCCCCACGTGTCATGGGAGGGACCCTGTGGGAGGTAATTGGATCCTGGGGGCAGTTACCCCCATGCTGCTGTTCTCCTGATAGTGAGTGAGTTCTCATAAGATCTGATAGTTTTATAAAGGGCTTCCCCCTTCACTCAGCACTCATTCTCTCTACTGCCGCCCTGTGAAGAGGTGCCTTCCACAATGATTGTAAGTTTCCTGAGGCCTCCCCAGCCATGTAGAACTGTGAGTCAATTAAACCTCTTTTCTTTATGAATTACCCAGTCTTGGGCATTTTTTCATAGCAGTGTGAGAATGGACTAATACACTGACATAAAGCACTTAAATCCCTTGGAGTTTCCTGGGTGATAGGAGTATCTTTTGTTCTAATGAAGCAACTCTTGCTGGGCCCCTAAATATTTTCAGATGGAGACTGGTCACTGGAAAAACCAGGCCTCGTATGGAAGCCTCCAATTTTTTGCCCTATACCCAGTCCTCTGGAGAGATGAGAGGGGCTGGAGATTAAGTTAATAATGGATCATGTCTGCATGATAAAGCCTCCATGGAAACCTCTAGACCACAGAGTTCAGAGAGTTTCCAGGTTGGTGAACACATTCAGGTCCTGGGAGAGTGGTGTGCCCAGTGAGAGCAGGGAAGCTCTGCACCCTTTCCACTTACCTTGCCCCATGCATCTCTGCCATCTGACTGTTCCTGAGTTGTATCCTTTATAACAGGACATAAACTGGACATAGTAGGACATAAACTGTCTTCCCAAATTCTGTGAGCTATTCTATCAGATCACCAAACAGGAGGGAGGGAGTCATGGAACCCCTGATTTATAGCCAAGCTGGAAAGAAGTGGGATAATCTGGGGACCCAATTCTTGCAACTGGCATCTGAAGTGAGGGAAGTCTTGTGAGACTGAGCCCTGAACCTGTGGAGTCTGACTGTAACTCCAGGTAGTTAGTGTCAGGATTAAGTTGAATTGTAGGACAGCCAACTGGTGTGTGGAGAATCAGATAAATGGTTGTTGGTGTTGGAAAACATGCCAAAGTGATGAGTTTTAATGTCACCAAATATAAAATATTTATTGATAGGGTTTTGGATTCCACATTGTACTAACCTTTAGACGGCTACCACTTGTTGGGTTTAGGTGTGGAAACTCAAAATACCCCCAAATTATCTGAAAAGATTTAAATATTTCTTCCTTTTTCTACTTATCTGTGTGAGGAAGGAGTTTCTTCATATTCTTTGACCAATATATTGCAACAGATTGAGTGCGAAGAGAAGTATATGATTCCAGCTGTCTTCTATTAAGCCAGACATTAAAGAGATTTGCAAAAGGGTAAACAATGCCATATTTTTGTTTTGAAAAACATAGCTGTTTTTCCTTAAAGTATGCTATTTAAAGTAACATATAATGGGAATATTCATTTTCTAAAATGGATTACTAAAGGTTTTTAATTTCTCATGTTATAAGTATAGATGGATATCATCCAGATTAACAAAAGCTCTTTGGGTTCCTTGATAATTTTTAAGAGTGTAAATGGGTTCTCAGGAAAAAATGATTGAGAACTTCTGTTCTCAAAGAAACCCAAATTCTTAATAGTAAAAGGAAAATATACCAGGTTCTTTAACAACCCGCTACTCCCACCCCACCCACTATGAAGTGAATATTTCTGTTTTGAACCAAACCAAGGCCCTTCCTGAAAGTGGAATAATAGAACAGATGCATCTAGAAAAACCAATATATCTCTTACAGGGATGGGGTCATGTGGAGAACCATCTCCTACACAGGTAGGGATTTGCCAGTTCCCCTCAGCATTCTAAGACAATTTGATAAATTTCTCCCCTATTCTTCATTTTGGGTTCAACCTGTATGAACTCAGGGTCCTTTAGTGCTAGGTGCTAGAATCTGACTTTGTTTTCCCTCCGGCCTCTTCCCCAGCTCCTAGCTGTGCTACAGAGAAGCTCCTGCAGTTTCCATGTCAGCCACAGGAGGGGACAATTCCTAGAATCCTGGCCCTCCTAGTCCTGAACTCTCCTCTCAGTATACACAGTGGCTACCAGTCACTCAGGCTTTCTTGGGGTTCCTTTAAGAAGTGGGTTTGGAAATGACTTCTTGGCCACTCTTGGCAGTAAATGTAATAGAAAATTGCAGAGAGTACATATCTCGGTTCCTTTCTCTGAGCACACTGAAAATTTCCATTTGGCTCACTTGGTGGGTATATGAGAAGCTTACCAGAGTTGAAATGAGACTCTGTCCAGGGTAAAGTTGTAGAACTGTAGGGACCGCAGCCAGGCATCTCTGTGTTGTACCATAACTGAGAAATGTTCAGCCAGAGGGCCCTTTTCAGTAGACGTAGAGTTGGAGGCAGGGATTACAAACCTACAGAAGTTGATTTCCCTTTCCTATTTATAGATGGCAATGCAGTTCAAAGACTTTTTGTTTTTAAGTAGGAGATGGCTGAATGAAACAAGCTGGATTCCATACTCTAGCCCTTGGAAACCTTTGGTGTGTTTATTACAGTCTTAATGGGGAGCTGTTTTGCCTTGTTAAGAACTTCTAAATTATCCAAAACATAATAGGGCTGCACATTTGAAAAAATTAGACAAGAGGAATTATTTCATATTTTAAGCCCAAGAGACATCTTCAATACCTACGTTTAATTTTTATTTTCACTAGAGATGATGTTTTGCTATGCTGCCTGGGCTGACCTTGAACTCCTGGCCTCCAACCATCCTCCTGCCTCGGCCTCCCAAAGTGCTGAGATTACAGGAGTGAGCCACCATGCCCTGCCAAGCCCTACATTTTGAATTCCTGAAAATATATTTTAACACTTACCAAAATAAGAAAATTTTAAAAAGTGCTGAATTCTTGAGGTGAGATCACAGACACCTCCCACTGTCAAGTTAGACTACATTCCCAGTGGAATTGGCTAAGGATACAAAATTATGCTGTAAGTAAGGTGACTCCACAGAGTTTGTTTGGGCTGCATGACTGGGTTCTGGCCAGTGAGATGTGCATAGATGTGATCTAAGCCACCCCTAGGGCTCACCCTTAAGAACATACCTATGATCCTGAAGTTTTCTTCCTCTGATATGTGCCATGTGTTCTAGAAGGTGGACGCACAAGATGAAAGCAGCTGTGATCCCTACATCACCATCTGGAGGAAAGTTGCATTATCCTCATGGAATGTGATGAGCAAGTAGTTGATACCTATTGTTTTAAGCCAAGGATAATTCAGGACATATGATTTACACAGCACAGCCTGCCCTAATACAGGATACCAGTTCAGTGATGAAAACACTGGACAGAAAGTCAGGAGGCTTGTGTTCTATGATGTTGAACTATAAGAATTTGTTGGTTTTTAACAGTTTTTGATGTTCAAGTGGCAGTTTCACATGATTCACCCCAGGAATTCATGTGACCCCTGGCCAGCTTGGTATGTGACATTGAATTAATCCATTACTCCCATCTGGATCTCATTTTTCTCATCTATAAAAATCAGATCTAATAAACATCTATAGAACACTCCACCCAGTAACAGTAGGATATACATTCTTCTCAAGGACACATAGAACATTTATCCTCATATATATGCTATAGGCTAATCTGTAAAATAAGCCCCAGTACATTTTTTAAAATTAAAATCATACAAAGTATGTTCTTTAACCACAACAGAATTAAACTTGTTAATAATTTGACAACAGCAGGAAATCTAGGAAATTTACAAATAATGTGGAAATCAAATAATGTACTTAAATAACCAATGGGTCAAATAAATCACAAGTAAAATTAGACGTACTAGTTCGTTTTCATGCTGCTGATAGAGACATACCAGAGACTGGGCAATTTACAAAAGAAAGAGGTTTAGTGGACTTACAGTTCCACATGGCTGGGGAGGCCTCACAATCAAGGTGGAAGGCAAGGAGGAGCAAGTCACGTCATCAATGGATGGCAGCAGGCAAAGAGAGAAAATTATGCAGGGGAACTCCTCTTTATAAAACCATCAGATAGTCAGGAGGTGGCTCCAGTGGCTGTGGTGGCAGCATGAGTGCCAGGAGGTGGTGGCTGCAGTGGGACAGGTGGTTGCACAGTGGCGGGCACAGGTGTAATGGATAGGTAACAGAGAAGACCTCATCCCTTCCTAGTCAGGGCATCAGCATGACAAAGTGCTTCCTGCCCCCCACCAGCAGCCCCAGTGAACACCACAGGGTGGAGCATGGCAGTGGGCTTACCCAGACCCCCAGCTCTGAAGAGATCAGCCCTACTAAATTTCCTGGATTGTACCACACTGGTGAGCCCTCACCTCCCCATGACATCCTCCACAAGCCTCCTGATATAGTGTCTGATGATGAGAAAGACCATGGGAAGAAAAAAGGAAATTTTAAGAAAAAGGAAAAGAGGACCGAAGGCTATGCAGCCTTTCAGGAAGATAGCTCTGGAGATGAGGCAGAAAGTCCTTCTAAAATGAGGAGACCCAAGGGAATCCATGTGTTCAAGAATCCCAGCTTTTCTAAAAAGAAGGAGAAGGATTTTAAAATAAAAGAAACCCAAAGAAGAAAAGCATAAAGAAGAAAAGCACAAAGAAGAAAAAAAGAGAAGAAGTAAAAAAAAAAAAAAAAAAAAAAGAAGTCAAAAGACTTGACAGCAGCTGATGTAGTTAAAACAGTGGAAGGAAAAGAAGTAAAAGAAAAAGCCATTTCAGGAGCCAGAGGTGCCTGAGATTGATGTTCCAAGTCTCAAACCCATTTTTGGAATTCCTTTGGCTGGTGCAGTAGAGAGAACCATGATATATGATGGCATTTGGCTGCTGGCCGTTTTCCGTGAATTACGTAGAGAAGTATGGCATGAAGTGTGAAGGCATCTACAGAGTATCAGGAATTAAATCAAAGATGGATGAGCTAAAAGCAGCCTATGACCAGGAGAAGTCTACAAACTTGGAAGAATATGACCCTAACACTGTAGCCAGTTTGCGGAAGCAGTATTTGTGAGATCTTCCGGAGAATTTGCTTACCAAAGAGCTTATGCCTAGATTTGAAGAGGCTTATGGGAGGACCACAGAGACTGAGAAAGTGCAGGAATTCCAGCGTTTACTCAAAGAACTGCCAGAAGGTAACTATCTTCTGATTTCTTTGTTCGTTGTGCACATGGACCATGTCATCACAAAGGAACTGGAAGCAAAAATGAATATACAGAACATTTATATAGTGGTCAGCCCAACTGTGCAGATCAGCAATCTAGTCCTGTATGTGTTCTTCACACATGTGCAAGAACTCTTTGGAAATGTGGTTCTAAAGCAAGTGACGAAAACTCGGCGATGGTCTAACGTGGCCACGATGCCCACGCTGCCAGAGACCCAGGCAGGCTTCAAGGAGGAGATCAGGATACAGGAGTTGCTTTTGAATTGTTTACATCAAGATCTGCAGGGTGGGATAAAGGATTTGTCTGAAGAAGAAAGATTATGGGAAGTACAAAGAATTTTGACAGCTCTCAGAAGAAAACTGAGAGAAGCTAAAAGACAGGGGTGTGAAACCAAGATTGCACAAGAGATAGCCAGTCTTTCAAAAGAGGCTGTTTCCAAAAAAAAAGATGAATGAAAATGAAGAAGTTATAAATATTCTCCTTGTTCAGGAGAAAGAGATCCTGACTAAACAGGAGGAGCTCCTGGGCATGGAGCAGTTTCTGCGCCGGCAGATTGCCTCAGAAAAAGAAGAGATTGAGTGCCTCAGAGCCGAGACTGCGGAAATTCAGAGTCACCAGCAGCAGGGCCTAAGCGAGACTGAGGAGTACTCCTCCGAGAGCGAGAGTGAGGATGAGGAGGAGCTGCAGATCATTCTGGAAGATTTACAGAGACAGAACGAAGAGCTGGAAATAAAGAACAACCATTTGAATCAAGCAATTCACGAGGAGAGTGAGGCCGTCATCGAGCCGCGCATGCAGCCCTGGCTGCTCCAGTTGCAGCCAGACAGGGCCAAGCAGCAGGCGCAGGAGGACGAGGAGCCCGAGTGGCGCGGAGGTGCCATCCAGACGCCCAAGAATGGCATCCTCGAGCCAGTAGCAGCTAAATAGCCACCAAAGGCAGGCAAGAAGCCGGCAAAGCCATTGCCCAGCAGGCACAGGAAGGAGACGTCCATCTGAGCAGCCTCCGTGGCCATCCGGAGTCCGTGAGACTGAAAGGACTCATGCATCTTACTGTAACCCGGGGGCCAGGCTGGCTCTCTCGCTGTACATTCTGTAAAGGTGTCTTCTCTTCTCAGACTCTTCCTCGGTCACACGTCTGACTCCTTCGCGTCAGGCTTAGGTTCTATGGGAGGACGAAGCAGGGGATGCATTGTGGGCTTTAGGGACAGATGAGTTTTCCAGGTAGTGTCAGCATATTTGAAGATTTTAATTTTCTTCCTTAACTTGAAATAACTATTTTAACCCTTGAGTGGCTTCTTTTTAAACCACAAATCGTCTTTCTTTGCTTTTTTATCACAGCAGAATCAGGATCATTCAAGTGGGGAACCACACCAGGTCAGTGCTGCGCCCTCCGTGATCTCTGGTACCTTCACTCTTGCTTGTGCCTTCAACACCTTGGTGCAGATCCCTATGGGGGAACTACCTCAGGTTCTCTGAGTGGTCAGAGCAGTGCATGGTGGGTGTTCCCTGGTCCACCCTCCTAACTCTCTCCTTCTGCAGTTCTAAACCACAGTCCATAAGCCAGAGTCACCAGGACGGCCTATCTGGCCGCAGACGGGCTGCCTGCGGAGCCAGCCCATCCACCCCGGGCAGCGCAGGCCAGCCGAGAGGCCGCCCGTTCCCGCCGGTTTCTTACTGTGGGGACCAGCAAAGGCCTTCTCACTGGGTTGATCAAAGATAGTCTCCTTGGCCTGGTGCATCCACAGAGGATGTTGCTCAAACCAGAAATCTTTTAAATGACTGACCTTTCTTAAAAACAGAATGACTCTGCTTGCTTGGGCTAGAATGTACACGTCTTCTTGCCTGAATAAGCCATATATATGCTCTTAAACAAAAGTTTGATACTATCCATATCGTCTCAGTGAACCTACTAGTGGACTCCCAATTGACAAGATCGAGCAATAAAAAAATTCCTTTCCTTTGAATGATAGTTGTGATTCACCCCGTCCCATTTTCTTGTTTCTGGTCCATCTGCTGAAATGGATGCTCTGATGCTCTGAAGCTTCTGGGAGGCCGGGCTCTGGAGGCAACGTGCTGCAGGCGCACTCTGTCAGAGTGAACAGCACCCGCGAGACAGGCCAGGCTCCTGGCTCAGAAGACAAACCCCACACCCACTCAAGGAAATGAAAACAAACCCCACACGAGGGCGCTCTCCTCCTCCTCCTAGGTAGTATTTATTTTCAGCACCTCTTTGATGCAGTTTTTAATCCTCTACCTATTGCACTGTTGTGACTCGTTGGCCATTATTTGATTTTTGTACGAAAAAAAAGCTTTGTTATAGAAATCAGCATACTATTTTTTAAATCTGGAGAGAAGATATTCTGGTGACTGAAAGTATGGTCAGGTGTCAGATATAAATGTGCAAATACCTTCTTGCTGTCCTGTCAGTCTCAGTACATTCACTTTATACCTGCTGGCAATATTGAAGGTTCCTTTTTTGTTTGTGTAAACTCTAATTTCTATCAAGGTGTCATGGATTTTTAAAATTAGTATTTCATTACGAATGTCTCAGCATTGCTTAACTCATTTTTGCCAGAACCATTATTGATCAAGCAAATAAATTCAGCCATTTGGGAAAAAGAAAAAAAAAACCCATCAGATCTCGTGAGATTTATTCACTATCACGAGAACAGCACGGGAAAGACTTGCCCCCATGATTCAATTAACTCCCACTGGGTCCCTCCCACAACAAGTGGGAATTTAAGATGAGATTTGAGTGGGGACACAGCCAAGCCATGTCATTAGAAAATACTTTCAGATGAATGAAAATGAAAGTACCACATACCAAAACTTATTGGGATGCACTGAAAGCAATGTTCAGAAATTTATAGCTGTCAATGTCAACTTTTAAAAAGAAAAAAATCTGAAATCCAACCTAATCTTTCACCTTAAAAAACTATAAAAAGAATAGCAAATTAAACTCAAAGCAAGATGAAGAAATAATAAAGAGTAGAAACAAATGAAGGAGAAAATAGGAAAACAATAGAGAAAATCAACTAATGAAAAGTTGGTTTTTTGAAAAGATCAACAAAATTGATACACCTTTGCCTAGACTGACCAAGAAAAAGAGGAATCAAATTACTAAAATCAAGATTGAAAAAAGGAGCATTATTACAAACCTTACAGAAACAAAAAAGGTCATAGATCAATTGTGTGCCAACAAATTAGAGGACCTAATGGAATATACAAATTCCTAGCGAAACAAACAGGTAAATTAACTCAAGATGAAATAAAAAATTTGGATCAAACCTTAAGAAGTAAGAGATTGAATTAGTAACTTAAAATTTTCCTATAGAGTAAAGACACAGCCCACTTAACTTCACTGTTAAATTCTACCAGACATTTAAAAAAGAACTAATACCAGCACCCACAAACGCTTCTAAAAAACAAGAGGATGAAATACATCCTGTATTCATCCATTTTCATGCTGCTGATAAAGACACACCTGAGACTGGGCAATATACAAAAGAAAGAGCCTTAATGGACTCACAGTTTCATGTGGCTGAGGAGGCTTCATAATCACCTCGGAAGACAAAAGGCACATCTCATATGGCGGCAGACAAGAGAAGAGAATGAGAGCCAAGCAAAAGGGGTTTCCCCTTATAAAACCATCAGATCTCATTAGCCTTGTTCACTACCACGAGAACAGTGAGGGGAAACTGCCCCTATGATTCAGTTATCTCCCACTGGGTCCCTCCCACAACATGAGGGAATTATGTAAGCTACAATTCAAGATGAGATTTGGGTGAGGACACAGCCAAACCATATCACATCCCAACCCATTCTCTGAGGTCAGTATTACCCTGATACCAATACCAGACTTATACATCACAAGAAAACAAGAAACCAATACCACTTATGACTATAGACACAAAAACTCTCCACAGAATACAAGCAAACTGAATCCAGCAACATATTAAAGAATTATATACTATAGCCAAGTGGATTGTATCCAGGAATTAAAGGTTGTGTTAATATATATCAGTAGGTCAAAGGACAAAATCATATGACTAAATAGAATCAGAAAAAGCAGTTGACAAAATTTAACTCCCTTCATGATAAATACATGCAACAAACTAGGAATAGAAGGCAACTTCCTCAAACTGATAAACGTGATCTACAAAAACCCACAAATAACATCAATGAGAAAAGACTAAAAACTTTCTCTCTGAGATCAGGAACAAGACAAGGATGTCTGTTTTCATCATGTCTATTCAAGATTCTGCTTTCATCAGTTTTTTTCAACATTTTATTGGGGCTCTAGCTATGACAGTTAGGCAAGAAAAAGAAAGCATCTGTATTGGAAAAGAAGAAGTTAAACTATCTCTATTTGCAGATGGCATAATCTTGCATGTAGAAAATCCCAAAGTCTCCACCAGAAAACTATTAGAACTAATACATGAGTTCAGGAAAATTGTAGGCTATAAGGTCAAGATATAAAACAATTGTATTTTTATAGACCAGCAAAGAATGACCTGAAAATGAAATTGGGAAAATGATTATATTGAAAATAGCATATAAGGGAATAAAATTATTAGGGATAAATTTAACAAAAAGAGGTTCAAAACATATACTCTAGAAATATTTTTGAAAGAAATTAAAGAATACCTAAATAAATGTAAATGCATCCCATGTTCATATATCAGAGGACTTAATACTGTTAAGATATACTCTCCATATTGATCTACAACTTTATTGCAATCCTCATCAAAATTCCGGCTGGCTTCTTGGTAGAAATAGCCAATCTGAAGCTAAAATTCACATGAAAATGTAAGACACTCAGAGTGGCCAAAACAATCTTCAAAAGGAAGATCAAAGTCTGAGGAATCACACTTCCTGATCTTAAAATATACTACAAAGCCACAGTAATCAAGACAGTGTGGTAACAGCATAAGAACAGATATATAAATCAGTGGAATAGAATTGAGAGTCCAGAAATAAGCCATTTATGGCCAATTGGTTTCCAACAGGAGTGCTAAGACAATAAAATAAAAAAGGAATAGCTTTTTCAATAGATGGTACTGAGACAACTGGATATCCACATGCAAAAGAATGAATTTAGATGCCTCTCTCACACTTACACAAAAATTAACTCAAAATGGACCATAGACTTAACAAGAGCTAAAACTAAAAATCTAGTAAAAACACAGGCATAAATCTTATAACCTTGGGTGAGACAGTATCTTCTTAGATATGCCACCAAAAGCACAAGCAACAAAAGAAAAAATAGATAAATTTTAAAAAATTTGTCCTTCAAAGGATACTATCAGGAAAATGAAGAGAAAATCCACAGAATTTTTTTTTTGCAAATCATATATATGTGTATTAGTCCATTTTGCATTGGTGTAAAGGAATACCTGAGACTGGATGATTTATAAAGAAAAGAGGTTTATTTTGGCTCATGGTTCTGCAGGCTGTTCAAGCGTGGGGCTGGCAAGCATGGTGCTAGCATCTGCTTCTGGTCAGAACCTCAGGAAACTTTTATTCATGGTAGAAGGTGATGGGGGAGCAGGTATGTCACACGGTGAGAAAAGGAGCAAGAGAGAGAGCGGGGAGATCCTCAATTCTTTTTAACCAGATCACACATGAACTCATAGAGTGGAAACTCACTCATTACCATGAGGGGGGCACCAAGCCATTCATGAGGGATCCACCCCCATGACACAAACATCTCACACTAGGCCCCTCCTCCCACATTGGGGATCACATTTGAACATGAGTTTTGGAGGGGACAAACATCCAAACTATAGCAATATGGTAAAGGACTAACATCTAGAATATCTACAGAATTCTTACAGTGTAATAATAAAAAGACAAATAGCCCAATTTAAATATGGGTAAAGGGTCTGCATAGACATTTTCCAAAGAAGATATACACATGGCTGATAAGCACATGTAAAGCTGCTGAACATCATTCATAAGTAGGGAAATGCAAATGAAAATCACAATGAAATACCACTCCACCCCAGCTAGGATGGCTATAATGACAAAAGACAATAACAAGTGTTGGTGAGTTGTGGAAAATGGAGCCCTTACACATTGCTGGTGAGAATGTAAAATGGTGCAGTTGCTTTGGAAAACTTTTTGGCAGGCTGGGCATGGTGGCTCACGCCTGTAATCCCAGCACTTTGGAAGGCCAAGGCAGACAGATCACCTGAGATCAGGAGTTCGAGACCAGACTGACCAACATGGTGAAACCCTGTCTCTACTAAAAGTACAAAAATTAGCCTGGTGTGGTGGCATGCTCCTGTAATTCCAGCTACCCGGGAGGCTGAGAAGGGAGAATCACTTGAACCAGCAGGTGGCGGTTGCAGTGAGCCAAGATCACGCCACTGCACTCCAGCCTGGGCGACAGAGCAAGACTCCGTTTCAAAAAAAAAAAATACTTTTTGGCGGTTTTTAAAAATGTTAAATGTAGAGTTACCATATAACCCAGCAATTTCACTCCTAGGTATATACCCAAGAGAAATGAAAACATATGTCTATGCAAAACTTGTACGTTAATGTTCAAGACATTGTTATTTTTAATAGCCACAGCAGAAAAATCACACATTTCCATCAAGTGGTGAATGAACTTTTATTTTATTTTTATTTTTTTGAGACAGGGTTTCACTCCTGTCACTCAGGCTGGAATGCATGGTGCTATCTTGGCTAACTGCGGCCTCTGCCTCCTGGGTTCAAGCAATTCTCCTGCCTCAGCCTCCCGAGTATCTGGGACTACAGGTGTGCACCACCGTGCCTGGCTAATTTTTGTATTTTATGTAGAGACAGAGTTTCACCATGTTGGCCAGGCTAGTCTTGAACTCCTGGGCTCAAGTGATCTGCCCACCTTGGCCTCCCAAAGTGCTGGGATTACAGGCATGAGCCACCATGCCTAGCCCAGTGGTGAATGAATTTTTAAAATGTGGTACATTCATGTACTGGAACATTATTTGTCAAGAAGAGTAGATGAAGTACTGACTCATGCTGCAACATGGAGAACTTGAAAACATTATGCTAAGTCAAAGAAGGTAGTCACAGAGGACCACAGATTCTGTGACTCCACTTACATGAAATGTGCAAAAAAGGCAAATCTATAAACAGATCATAGGTTAGTGGTGATTGGGGGCTGGAAATTGAGAATGACTACTAATAGGTACAGAGTTTCTTCGGGGGGTGATGAAAATTCCGAAATGAGACTGTGATTGTTGCACAACTTTGCGAACATCCTAGAAACCTTGGAACTACACACTTTAAATGGGTGAGTTTTGTGATATGTGAAATTATATTTCAATAAAGGTGTTATCTAAAAATGTGGATGTGAGCTAGATGTGGTGGCTCACGCCGTAATCCCAGCACTTTGGGAGGCCAAGGTGGGCGGATCACAAGGTCAGGCGTTCAAGACCAGCCTGGCCAATGTAGTGAAACCCTGAACCTACTAAAAAAAAAATACAAAACTTAGCCGGGCATGGTGGCGTGTGCTTGTAATACCAGCTACTTGGGAGGCTGAGGCAGGAGAATTGCTTGAACCCAGGAGGTGGAGGTTGCAATGAGCTGAGATAATGCCACTGTACTCTAGCCTGGGTGACAGGGTGAGAATCCTTCTCAGATAGATAGATAGATAGATAGATAGATAGATAGATAGATAGATAGATAGATAGATAAAATGTGGGTGTGTGGTGATTTAAAAAATACCCTGACTGTGATGGTTCATTGTATATGTCAAGTTGACTGGGCTAAGAGATGCCCACATAGTGATGAAATTATTTCTGGGTGTACCTGTGAGGACATTTCTGAAATAGATTAGCATTAGCATCAGTAGACTGAGGAAAGAACATCTGAGCAGCCATCACCCCATCCATTGAGGACCCAAAAGAACAAAAATGTGGAGGAAGGGTGAATTATCTCTCTCTCTCCTTCACCTGAGAATTCATCTTCCCCTGCCCTTCAACATTGGAGCCTCTGGTTCTTGAGCCTTTGAACTCAGAATAAATTGCTTTCCTGATTCTCCAGCTTGCAGAGGGCAGATGGTGGAACTTCTCAGCCTCCGTGATTGTGTGAGCCACTTCCAATAATAAATCTCTCGCTCTCTCCCCTCTGCCTCCCCAACACACTCACACATCTATGTGTACTACTATGTATATTGCATCTATTATGTGTATGTATGTAAATATATACACACACATATTACATATATATACACAGTATGGTTCTGTTTCTCTGGAGAACTCTAATACCCTCACGCATACTCCAGTTCACTTCGTTGCATGCATCAAATGAATGGAATGGTAGGTGGAAAGAAGGCTCAGCTACTGTTCATTTCATTCTGTCTTTGTTGTTGACTCTGGTAAGTCACTTAACTTCTGGGCTTACGTTTTTTAATAAGAAATCAGTCTGTTATTTTGAGTGACTGCTGGGTTCCCTTCCAGCTCTAATACCCTATTATTCGATAGAAGCTAGACCTGAATCCATGCAGTCACTTTAGGGAATATACATTTATATCTGGATCTATGTCCTGTAACAAAAGTAGCAAAATATGGAAGGAAAAATGTAGAAAAAATGAGGAGAAATAAGGAGAAAATGTAAGAAATGAGTAAGTTGATTTTTGTGTGTGGCATATAGCTAGATAATTACCCATCCAGTTGGTTGAAAATATAATCACTATTTTCTCTCCAATCATGGAAGGGTGAGACCTATTTTTATGTGTCTTATGATAAACAGAATACTAATTAAAATAAAGTTAACTATTTTCTTTTTTCATACAGGGTATGTTGCTCAGAATGCAATTGTGAGACCATCTCTTATAGTAAAGTAATGTAGTGCTAGGTTGGCACTTGAAAAATTGGTCCTATCTCTCTTCTAATATTGAGCTCACATAGCATGAAAAAATGTATCCCTCTGAGATGATCTATTAATAATAAAGCATGAATAGACTCTAAGTATAAAAAAGTAACAAACTCCTGCTGTCTCATTACTGAATATTTTAGGGTTGATAGCAGGAAAGCTCTGCGTCAATTGCAAAGTTGGAAACTCACCACGCATGTGCTTTATTTTCTTTACCATCCAAATCTCTTCCTGATATTAATTTAGCTGCAAAGGAGGTGCATTGATTCTTCTGAGCAGGGGGGAACCACTTGGAGCATGTAAAAGAAGTGCAGATCTGTGGGCCAGTGTTACTCAAGTAGGTCCAGGTGAAACTGGGAGAACCTCATTTTTAAAAGCTCCCTAAACAATTCCAGTGAGCAGCCAGGTTTGGGAACACTGACCTAATCAAGGCCCCAAACTGATGGATATAGTCAGTACTCACATGCCATTGACTATAATAAGATTCTATGTTCATTTACAAACAGTTTTTGTAGGAACAGGGCAGAGAAACACTACACTGATTGTACCAAAACTCTTTTTGCGAAGTAATCACATATACTTGCAATTGCATATTTTTTTTTCTTTCAGGACAATTTTCAAAGTTTTAGCCTAAGTCCTCTTTGTTTTTAGAATCTAAAGAGACTTCCCTGCTTCCCTGGCAATAATACACAGCATTGTGGAAGCGAGCTGCCCTCCGTAATCTGAGTGTGTGATCTTGATCCTTGAGAGTTCTCAGAACTGAATGAGTGATTCTGAAGCACATCAAAGAATACTAGCATTTTATCTGCATTTTCTATTTGGTAAAAATAGTTTTTTACACACCCTTACCTCCCCTTAATTGGACCACTCATTACTGGATGTTTAAAAGCTCTTTTTTTGGACTTGGCTGGAGGCTTTTGACAATGAGTAATCCAAAACACTGAAATAGACCATTGCAATGTATACATTGGTTACCATTGGTTATAATCACCTCTCCTAGCTTTGGGCATTCTGTGATATGAGAGGCCTGATAATTCCCCCAGCCTTTAAATTGCTTTGCTTTGTACACCCAAAGACACTGTTTCAATGCTGCATTGTAGTTGTAAGGCTTTTCTTTTTAAATGAAAATTAAGAATCCAAATTCAAGTTAAAATTCAGCCACACTCAATGCCTGTAATCCCAGCACCTTGGGAGGCCAAGGTGGGCAGATTGCCTGAGCTCAGGAGTTCAAGACCAGCCTGAGCAATATGGTGAAACCCTGTCTCTACAAAAAATACAAAGTTAGCTGAGCGTGGTGGCGCATGCCTATAGTCCTAGCTACTTGGAAGGTTGAGGTGGGAGGATTGCTGGAGCGCAGGAGGTCGAGGCTACAGTGAGCTGAGATCATGCCACAGCATTCCAGCCTGTGTGACAGAGCAAGACCCTGTCTCTTAAAAAAAAAAGAAAATCAGCCACATATGGGTCCTCCAAAGTAATTTACCTAATTGAGGTGACAATGGGATGAACACTGCCTTCATGAATGAGTTTGTGCAGGCTGTGGCAACTATATTTTCTTCTTTCTGGTGGCCAGCAAATTTCTTTGCTATCAGTCGTAAGAGGCCAACAAGGATCCAAGTGATACCCTAATTCCTAGTAAGAGTCAAGGTAAATAATATCTTAGCAGAAGTCACTACTCTCAACCCTCTATTGAAACCACTCTATTAAAAGCCACTGATAAACAAAGTAATTTGTTCATAGATGTTTTTCAAGTGCATACTGTATGCCAGGTACTGCGCAAGGTTCTAGAGAGCCATAAATTACTAATAACAGTAGCGAACACTTACATAGTGCACACTGTATGCAAGCAATGTTTTTCAAACTGCACATAGCAACCTATTAGTGGGTCACAAAAATCAAGTTCGTGCTTCACACCCACCCATCATTTAAAAGAATAGAAGATAATTGAATCAGAAATAGTAGAGTGCTTCCTTCTTATGAAGGGTAAGAATTATTTCATAAGGCTGGGTGTGGTGGCTCACACCTGTAATTCCAGCACTTTAGGAGGCTGAGGTGGGAGGATCACTTGAGCCCAGGAATTCAAGACCAGCCTGGGCAACCTAATAAGACCCCATCCCTACTAAAAGTAAAAAATTAACTAGGTGTGGTGGCATGTGCCTGTCATCCCAGCTACTTGGGAGGCAGAGGTGAGAGGATCACTTGAGCCCAGGAGGTGGAAGCTGCAGTGAGCTGTGATTGCACCACTGCACTCCAGCCCGGGCAACAGAGTGAGACCCTACTAAAAAAAAAGGATTGTTTTACAAAACCTTTATTTTATACATACACTCACACACTTCACACACTCACAGATCTACGTGCACTGATCACAATATAACATGTATTTTGTATTGTTTTGGTCAAAAGTTTTAAAACCAGTGATATAGAGCATAATTACAGAAAAAAATATGCATTTTTTCACAATTTTAGACACATTACAAGAAAATAAAGTTATAGAGCAGTATTTCTCAAAAAGACAGAAAAGTCTTAAGTAAAATAATAGCAAATTGAATTCAATTATATAGAAAAGGGTTAATGCATCATGACCAAGTAGAGTTTATTCCAGGAATGCAAGGCAGGCTTAATATTTGAAAGGCAACCAATGTAATTCACCACATTAAAAGAATAAAGGCAAGAACAGTGTGATTATTTCAACAGATGCAGAAGGCATTTGATAAAATTAAATACCCACTCGATAGAATTCTCAGCAAACTAGACATAGAGAAGAAAATGTTCATAATCTGATAAAAGGCACCTACAAACAAACAAAAATAAAACCCACAAATCTTATAGCTAACACTATATTTGTTGGATGAACAAGGCAAAGCAATACACTATCGCCATTTCTATTCAACATTATGCTGGAGGGATCTTAGTTTAGAGAGAAAGAATAAAACTATCTTTACAAACAGATGAAATGATTGAGTACAGAGAAAAACCAAACGATTAGATATATTAAGTCGTTTAATCCTCACAACAACGCTATAGCTGCAGAGAGATTTTCTGAGATTAATATTTTCCCTTCTTTAAATGTTTGGAAGACTTCACTAGGGAAGTTTGCTGCTGAAATTCTTTTGTGAGAAAGTACTTAATTACAGACTCAATTTTTTAAACAGATATAAGTCTATTCCAAATTTTTATTTTTTATTTAAGTTTTAATATGTGGTGCTTTGGAGAAAATTTTTCCATTTATCCAAGTGATATGGTTTGGCTCTGTGTCCCCACCCAAATCTCATCTTGAATTGTACTCCCGTAATTCCCACGGGTTGTGGGAGGGACCCAGTGGGAGATAATTGAATCATGGAGGTCATTTCCCCCATACTGTTCTCATGGTAGTGAATAACCTCGTGAGATCTGATGGTTTTATCAGACGTTTCCGCTTTTGCATCTTCCTCATTTTCTCTTGCCACCGACATGTAAGAAGAGCCTTTCGCCTCCCTCCATGATTCTGAAGCCTCTCCAGCCATGTGGAACTGTAAGTCCAATTACACCTCTTTTTCTTCCCAGTCTCTGGTATGTCTTTACCACCAGCATAAAAACAGGCTAATCCACCAAGTTTTCGAATTTATTTGCACAAAGTTATCCATAATGTCTTACTATCTTTTAAATTATCTGTCAAATCTGGATTGAGGTTTCCCTTCTCATTCCTGACATTCACCATTTGTGTTTTCTCTTTTTTCTTGTCCAGTCTTGCTAAGATTTCTAATTTATTAATATTTTTTAAAATCCAACTTTTGGTTTTATTGATTTTCTCTGTTCCAGCCTATTTTATTAATTTCTGCTTTTATCTTTAATTCCTTCCACCTCATCCTTTTATTGCCTGTTCTTTTTGGTTTAGAAGCTTAGATTATTTATATCCAACCTTCTCTTTTCTGATATTTGTACTTAAAGCTCTAAATTTCCCTGTAAGTACTACTTTGGCTGTACCTCCTAACTTTTGATATATAAGGTCATCATTCAATGCTTGTTCTATTTAATTTGGCTCACTTTTTCTGTCAATGTCCAGTTATTGTTTCTCTTGTCTCGGGGAGTTCAGAAGTAGACAGCATAATTTTGCAAATGTCAGAGCAATATTCACATAGTTTCACAAATCGTTTTTCCTTATAATGTATCTAACAAAATATCTTTTGGCATTGAGTCCTGAAATGGTTTTGATCATGTTCTGATTCTTCCCTGCTTCTATAAAGTCTATGAGAAACAGCACCACAGAGTCTTTTAAAATATAAACTATTAGGCTGAGTGCAGTGTCTCACGCCTGTGATTCCAGTACTTTGGGAGGCCAAGGGGGGGTGGATCACTTGAGGTCAGGAGTTCGAGACCAGCCTGAGCAATATGGCAAAACTCCGTCTCTACTAAAATACAAAAATTAGCTGGGTGTGGTGGCATGTGCTGTAGTCCCCGCTACTTGAGAATCTGAAGTGGGAGGATCACCTGAGCCCAGGGAGGTCAAGAGTGCAGTGAACCATGACTGTGCCACTGCACTCTAGCCTGGGCAACGGTGTGAGACTCTGTCTCAAATTTGTGTGTGTGTGTCTGTGTGTCTCTGTGTGTGTGTGTGTGTGTGTGTGTGTGTGTAAGAGAAAGGGAGGAGACAGAGAACTAAGCTTTAATTTTTTTTAACATGCCCAAATTCCTACCTAAGGGGTCTGAGGAGTCACATCTTACAAACCATAAAGTCTCATCAGAGGGGTTTTTATTTTAAGCCTATAGAGCGAGGTCTGCATTCTAACCTGACTCTGGCATAACATCATATAACAAATAAGGCAAGAAGTCAAAACATTTTAACCCCAAATATGTTTCCTTGCCAAATCTTGAAATTGCCCTGCAAAGTTTTCTCTTGTGGGAAAAAAAATCGCATTCTATAGAGAATCCCCTTTCCCCTCTCTTTTTTCCTTCCTTGCTTTCCAGATCCAGGAAATCAGCTAAGAGCTAGGCACCCTTTTAGGTCCGATGAAACATTTAACAATCTAGGCCGGGTGCAGTGGCTTACGCCTGTAATCTCAGCACTTTGGGAGGCCGAGGCGGGCTGATCACGAGGTCAGGAGACAGAGACCATCCTGGCTAACATGGGGAAACCCCGTCTCTACTAAAAATACAAAAAATTAGCCCGGCGTGGTGGCAGGTGCCTGTAGTCCCAGCTACTCAGGAGGCTGAGGCAGGAGAATGGCGTGAACCGGGAGGCAGAGCTTGCAGTGAGCCAAGATTGCGCCACTGCACTCTAGCCTGGGCGACAGAGCAAGACTCCGTCTCAAAAAAAAAAAAAAAAGGAAAATCTTGATATTGCTCATGTAACCTTCAGAGTTCAATCAAAGAAGCACATGGCCACTGGGAATGATATAGAGTATGAGACCTATTACAGGGCTTTGCCCTATAATAAATCTCAGGAAAGAAAAGAAGAATGTAACAGGGCAGGCAGGGACAAGCTGGGACCCACAAGGAGGGACTCCCACCAGCATCTGCCTCCTCTCCCGCCTCCACACCTCAGACTTGGGTGATGCGTGTGACCAGAGGGAAAGGCTGGTGCCCTTTGCCACAGAGCTAAACATGTACCTGGCCCAGGAGGCAGAGAATCCCGAGGAGAAATTCAGCAGGACTGGAAGAGCTGTGGATCAGCTGCTGCCCCACACCGAGGTGTGCCCGCAAAGCCGCAGCACCGTTCATGGGCTGCACCCGCGCGCGACACCTGACTCACTACCGGTCTTCCTACTACTTCACTTCCAGCCTCACACACGTGCCTCCCATGGCCACACAGAAAGGGGAATTCTAGCCATACGGCTTAACTACTTTGCCCTGGTAAAAGCCACCGCAGTGCCTATTTACTACTGACCTGCTGGAGGATCATGGACAAAGTGACTTATCCTCTGTGGCTCCCCAAACCTCTCCACCGTAATCAGAAAACAGCACTAGCCCCTTCTTGCTGGGTACATATAGAGTAAAAAATGAGAAAGAACAGAAAAAATTTTAGGCGACTGTTTGTATTCATTTTGTACCATCATTTTAAGTTGTTTTACGTGCATTGGTTGTTCTCTGAAATAGGCCTGTGTGTGGATATGCTGCTTAATGTGAAGCCAACTATTAAAATAAAATGTTAAGATCCAGTAGAAAGAAGCATGTGTATGTGAGCCAAGAATAGCCCTTTAGGGTATGTAGCCATCCCTGAAGAGCAAGTGAATACCTTGGGACTTCCAACCATGGGAAAAGCGGGAAAACACTGATAATGTTTTATCATTGGTAAATATCCCAACAGGGAGAAAATAATGTCGTCTAGAGTTTCTAGCTGACATGCATCAGGAAAGACATTGTGTTGACATTTGACACAAAGAATGCGTAGGATCTGGGCAACAGGAGATGTGAAAAGAAGACATTTCAGGTGTAGAGAAAGGCAGGAGCAAGCATTGGAGTTGGGACAGTGTAGGGTTGATTGGGCTGGTGCCCTCAGATAAGAAGGGGAACAGTGAGCTGGGAAACAACGGTGAGAGAAAGCAAAGGGGGAAGAGCCCCTTATAAAACCATCAGATCTCATGAGAACTCACTCACTGTCACGAGAACAGCATGGGGGAAACAGCCCCCATGTTCCAATCACATGGGAAACAGTGATAATATTTCTCTTAACTATGTATGAAAACAGCAACTCACAACTCCCTCCTCTGTCAAGCTGTAAACATGGCAAGCAGATTCCCTTTCACAATAATCATGCCCACTGAACCCAAGTGTGACTTGTTATCATGTGTTGAGTGTCTACTGTGTGTCAGGTCCTGGGCCAAAAATTGTGGGATTTTTTTTGTTGTTGTTAATTTAGAGGGATATTTAAAAAATTTCCTTCTTTATAGATTTCTAATTTCATCCCATTGTAGCCAGAGAAGGTACTTTGTAGGATATCTGTTTTTAAAATCTGTTGAAACTTAACTTGTTGCTTAAAATATGATCTGTCCTAGAAAATATCCTGTGTGCATTTGAGAAGAATGCGTGCTCTGTAACGGTAGGGGCTCTGAATATGTTTGTTTTATCTAGTTGGTTTATTGTGTTGCTCACGTCCTCATGGGCCCCACTCAGACCTAATCTACAGGTTCAACAAAATCTGCAAGTAATTTATGTGCACATTATATTTTGAGAAGTAATATTCTATATATAATACTATCCTACACCACAAAATAAGGTTGGGAGGTCAGATACTCTTCTATTCAAATTAGACACTGATTTTTTTCTGGGCTTGATCAGAAGGTGATCTAATTGATAGTCCTTATTTAATTTAAGCTTTGCCTGGTGTAAGCTTCCAGGATCTAGTTCCCATGCATGCTTGGAGTAGCATACCTGTTACATAGTTTGAAGTTATATGTTTGAAACTTCCAGTGGACATGCCAAAAACACAGTGATTGTACCTTCCTCGAGAGAGATGTCTCTGATCTTTTTCTTACTCTCTAATCTGATGGATTTTCTAAAAGCTTGCAAATGAAACAGGGTACTATCAAAACATATGGTCAAATTTTAAAAAGCATAACTGTAAATTATTCAAACCACCCTCTCTCCAGTCCAATCTCAAACTGCTAAGAATGTCTGCATTTTAAAAGAGAAGCTTGGAAATGAAATGATTGAAGGAGGCCTTCCTGTGGATATGCTGCTTGATGTGACTCTATCTGTGGTAGGTAGATGATCTATTGGAGCAAATGTTTTTGGAGAAGATGGATACATATTCCTCTTGTCCTTAGCTTTCCTCCATTAGCTCCAATCTCCACATTTTATCAGCCATCAGATCAGCAACTGGCATCTTTCAAAGTTCACAGTGGCAGCCTAGGAATAGAAGGGCTTTCAGTTTATGGAATCATTACCTGAGGAAAGGCCTTTCAAAGGTAACCAAAATAGATCATGCTGATTTTGACATAAGGAGCACATTTCAAACGAATATTTTCACAGTCGTCCTGACTAACTCACCCTTCCAGCCTCATTTCCCAGCTCAGTGTTGCCTTTCTTATCTGAGGACACCAGCCTGACCAAACCCTACACTGTCCCAACTCCAACACTTGCTCCTGCCTCTCTCTACATCTGAAATGTCTTTTCATCATACCTTCTCTTGCCTAGATCCTACCCATTCTTTGTGTCAAATGTCAACACAATGTCTTTCCTGATGCATGTCAGCTAGAAACTCTAGGCGACATTATTTTCTCCCAGTTGGGACACTTACCACTATCTTGACATCATATTTGTCTTAGAACTTCCCTCCCCTAGTCGACTGTGAATTACTTGAGGGCAAAATCCTTGTCTAATTCATCTCTGTATCCCCACAAATGCCTAACACAATACCTGCCTCGCCAGCCCTCAATAAATAGTTTCATCCTTCCTTCATGGCTAATGATATCCAATACTTTTTATGTGCTTAATTGGCATCTGTAGTAGTCTTTTCCTTTTTCTCATGTTCTAATTGAAATTTTTGTTTATTATTGGGTTTTGAGAGTTCTTTATATATTCTAGATATTAGTCCTTGATATGGTTTGGCTGTACGTCCCCATTCAAATCTCATCTCAAACTGTAATCACCATGTGTGGTGGGAATGAGGTGGTTGGATCATGGGGGCGGTTTTCCCCATGCTGTTCTCATGATAGTGAGTGAGTTTTCATGAGATCTGATGGTTTTACAAGGGGCTCTTCTCTGTTCGCTCCTCACTCTTCTCTCTCCTGCCACCATATGGAGAAGGTCCTTGGTTCCCCTTTGCCTTCTGCCATGATGGTAAGTTTCCTGAGGCCTCCTAGCCATGTGGAACTGTGAGTCAGTTAAACCTCTTTTATTTATAAATTACCCAGTCTCAGGTATTTTTTATAGCAGTGTGAAAATGGACTAACAGTCCTGTATCAGATATGCGGTTTACAAATATTTTCCTCTAGTCTGTTAACTTGCCTTTTTATTCTCTTTGCAAGGTGTTTAGTAGAGCAAAAGTCTTTACTTTTGATGAAATCCAGTTTTATCAGTTTTTCTTTTTAGGACTCATGGTTTCAGTTTCAAGTATAAGAATTCTTTGCCTAGCTTTAGCCCTTGAATATTTTCTCTGATTTCTTTCTTCTAAATGTTTTATAGGTTTACATTTTACATTTAGATCCAGGACCTGATTTGAGTTCGCTTTTGGGTAAGGAATGAGACTTAGACTGATGGTCACTTTTTTGCCTATGGATATTCAATTGCTTCAGCATCCTTTGTTGAAAAGGCTATTTTTTGCTGGCAAGGTTGCGGAGAAAAGGGAACATTTATACACTGTTGGTGGGAGTGTAAATTAGTTCAAACATTGTAGAAAGCAGTGGGACGTTTCCTCAAAGAACTAAAAACAGAACTTATATTCAAGCCAGCAATCCTATTGTTGGGTATATACCCAAAGGAATAGAAATTGTTCTACCATAAAGACACATGCACACGTATATTCATTGCAGCACTATTTACAAAGGCAAAGACATGGAATCAACCTAAATGCCCATCAATGGTAAATAGGATAAAGAAAATGTGGTACATATACACCATGGAATACTATGCAGCCATAAAAAAGAATGAGGTCATGTTCTTTGCAGAAACATGGATGGAACTGAAAGCCATTATCCTTAGCAAACTAACGCAGGAACAGAAAAACAAATACTGAATGTTCCCACTTATAAGTGGGAGCTAAATGATGAGAACACATGGACACAAAGAAGGGAACAACAGATGTTGGGGCCTACCTGAGGGTGGAGGGTGGGAGGAGGGAGAAGATCTGAAAAAATAACTAACATGCACTAAGCTTAGTACCTGGGTGACAAAATAATCTGTATAATAAATCCCCATAGCTTGAGTTTACTTATATAACAAACCTGCACATGTACTCTTGAATCTAAAATAAAAGTAAAAAAAGAAAAAAAAGAAAAGGCCATCTTTCCTCCATAGAATTGCTTTTGCATCTTTGTCAAAAAATAGTTGGGCATATTTATGTAGACCTCTTTCTGGATTCTCTATTCTGTTTCCTTGACCTCTGTGTTTATCTCTCTGCTGATGCCACACATTCTAGATTGCCAAAGCTAAATAAGAAGTCTAGAGATTGGTTAGATGCAGTCTTCCTGCTTTATTCTTCTTTATCAAAGTCATTTTAGCTGTTCTAGTTTCTTTACATTGCCATATAAATTTTAGTATAAACTTGTCTATACAAAAATTCTTGCTGGAACTTTGATATCAATTTGAGGAGAATTGACATCTTTACTATGCTGAGTCTTTTAACTCTTGAACATGGTGTGTCTCCACTTATTTAGAATTTCTTTGGTTTCTCTCATCAGCACTTTGTAGTTTTCAGCATCCAAATCCTGTATCTGTTTTGTTAGATTTACACCTTTGTGTTTTATTTTTTCAGCAGTTGTAAATGGTATTGTATTTTTAATTCCGGTGTCCACTTGTTTATTGAAAGCATATAGAAATACATTTTTTATGTTTACCTTGTATTCTGTCACTTTCTTGAACTTGCTTGTTAGTTTTTGTTTGTTTGTTTGTTTTTTGAGATGGAGTTTTGCTCTTGTTGCCCTGGCTGGAGTGCAGTGGTGCGATCTCAGCTCACCACAGCCTCTGCCTCCTGGGTTCAAGCGATTCTCCTGCCTCAGCCTCCCTAGTAGCTGGGATTACAGGCATGCACCACCATGCCTGGCTAGTTTTTTTGTTTTTTGTTTTTTGTTTTGTATTTTCAGTAGAGACGGGGTTTGTCAGGCTGGTCTTGAACTCCCAACCTTGGCCTCCCCAAGTGCTGGCATTACAGGCGTGAGCCACTGCTCCCAGCCTTGCTTGTTAGTTTTAAGACAGTTTTCTTTTTATTCCTTGAGATATTCTGAACAGACAACCATGTCCTCTGAAAACAAGGACAGTTTTCTTTTTATTCCTTGAGATATTCTGAACAGACAACCATGTCCTCTGAAAACAAGGACAGTTTTCTTTCTTTCCTTCCAATCTATATGTGTGTCTTTTATTTCTTATTCTTGCCTTATTGCACTGGCTAGAATTTGTAACACTATGTTGAATAAGAGAGGTAAAAACAGACATGCTTGGGTTGTTCTTGATTTTAGAAGGACATCATTCAGCCTTTCATCATTAAATGTAATGTTAGCTGTAAGTTTTTCTTAGATACCTTTCAACAAATTGAGGAAGCTCCCCACTATTCCTATTTTTCTAGGTTTTGTTGTTTTTGTCATGAATGGGTGTTGAATTCTGTCAAATGTTTTAATGCATTGATTGATATAATCATGTGGTTTCTTTCTTTCTAGACCTTTTTACATGGTAGATTACAATGAACAAATTTCAAATGTTGAACCAGCCTTACATACTTAGAATAAATTAGGCTTTTCTTTTTTGATCAGAAATTTGTTGACATTTGGCTGGGCACAGGGCTTCACATCTGTAATCCCAACACTTTGGGAGGCCAAGGTGGGCAGATCACTTGGAGCCAGGAGTTTGAGTCCAGCCTGGCCAAAATGGCGAAACCCTGTCTCTACTAAAAATACAAAAATTAGCCAGGCGTGGTGGTGCACAGCTGTAATCCCCGCTACTCGGAGGCTGAGTCATGAGAATCGCCTGAACCTGGGAGGCAAATGTTACAGTGAACCAAGATTGTGCCACTGCATTCCAGCCTGAGCAACAGGGTGAGACTCTCAAAAAGAAAAAAAGGAAAGAAAGAAACTTGTTGACATTTCTGGGTCACTGACTCCTCCAGTACCTAGTCAAAAACCCCAGGAACTCACCACCATGTCAATCTTTGGGTCCCAAGGTTCCCAGTTGGTGTGCCTTCTTCTACTTACTTTTCAGGGACCAGGCCGTCCCAGTGATTGGTATTGGTATTGTCTCCTAGACCAAGGAACCCTGAAGCTGGGGTCTCTTTATGAATAAAATAGCTAATGTAATCATATATATAAAATAGACAACTTCAAATATTGGCAATCTTGACTTTGGTTTGTGGATTCCAAATGTCCAAAGGAAATAATAGTCTGAATGTTTCAGGGCTGATGTGAAAGAAAAATAAATCCTAATTTTCCATTCGCTGATACATTTCAAGATTCATAAGATAGCCCAGAATCTTTTCATAAAGATGCTTAATGGTATGGCATGGACTTAGGATATGGATTTGTGCTTTCTGATAAATATAGTGGTGTCAGATATTATAGCTGGGTAATTATAATTGCAAGAATTGTGTGGCCTTCACACAGTAAAAAACTGAGTCAGCCCATGAATTCATCTGCAGACTCTCCAAATAGAAAATTACTAACATGAGAAATGGAGGAATCATTGTGTTGTCATAGTTAGGCTTTATTTGCTGGAACTGATGGCTTCCTCCATAGTGAGTAATATGTATGCCTCAGTGCATTCTGGAAAACATGCTCCTGTGGTGTCATGACGGGCAATACAAACACAGAATCCCAAGGAAGATCATTGCTAAATGGCATTAAAGTATAGACCTGGGATGAAAAAGTGAGCTCGTGACATCTGACTAGGGAGTTGGAGCATTGTGCAAATTATTCATGGTGGGTCATAAAATGAAAAGACCAGGATGCCCACAGAGCAGAGGAGCCAGCAAAGCTTGGTTTGCATACTGCCTCTCTAAACGACGAATTCTGGTCATAAAAGGCTCCTTGAAACTTCCCATCCACCAGGGCTGCTTAAATGAGCGCACAAATGGTATTTAAAGTGGTCGGATAACTGCACATAGACAGCATGGATGACAGCAGCTGCGATGGAGCCGGGCTGTGGCTCGGGTCACCCAAGATGTTTCACTTGCCTTATGGAAGTTGTCAGTTATTTATCTATTTTTGGCATAAGACTTATCTTTGAGTTTTTTCAGAGCCAGCATGAAAAATACCTTTGCACGTCCTGAGCATCCCTATGGGAATGGTGAGAGGAGAGCCCAGGATCGTGCTGGTTAGAGGCAGAAGGCAGAAGGGATCCAAAGCAGGCTGAGAATGAACCGTTGAGCGAACCTAAGAAATTGCCTAGTTCTACTCAAACTGAGATTCTCACCTATAAGCAGGGGTTCTCAAACTTAGATTGTAGCGAATCTTCTAGAAAGTTTACCACTCAGATTCCTGTTCATGGCACCCAGCAATACTGATTGAGAGTGTAGAACGAGACCCAAGAACCTGCATTTTTCATGCATGCCCCACATGTTTCTGAAGCAGGTGATCTGGGGACTATATCCAGAGAAACCTTCTCCTGAGAGTAGGTAGTTGTTTGTGTTGGAGGTTCACGGAGGGAACTGTAGAAAAAAATCATGTGCCTGAATTCCTGAAATGGTACCAAAGCTAATGATTGCATCTCAGTTTCCAATGGAGCTGTTTAACTAATTCTCCCACTTCCAGCCTCAGATTGCTCCCTGAGATCCATCCAGCATCTCACAGAGACATGTTCTTGGCACCAAGAGAAGGTTTTGGTCATAGAGAATGGCTGAGTCTCTGTGACTTTATCTTCACTATTGAAAAAGTGATTCAAAGGGGACATCCTGCTGAGGTGGATAAGCAGCTTGTCTCTGCAAACAGAGACAGCTGTGCAGTCATTAGCAAGTCAGCCCCCTAATGGCTTCCAAAGAGCAAGAGCAGGAAGAAGCTCCCCTTGATGCTGCTTTTCCTTCGTCACAAACGACTCATGGAGGTGGCCCAAGCATCAAAGATCTGACTAGAAAGAAGAGGTCCTTTAGTCCTTTGACTTCAGTTTCAGAGCCCCTTTTATGCCTCCCTGGGCCCCGAGAATCTTCTTCACCTGCCCCCTCAGCTGTGCAAAACTGTAAAGAATGGTCCACAGTTACACAGGGCCTCTCCAATGACATGCTAACCTCGACCCCAAGCTTAGTCATGTTTTCATTTCTCACGTGTCTTCTCAAACATTTAATTATAAAATACTTAAACGTTAATTTAGATGAGTTATTCTTTCAAACTCTTTGTTTAAATAAGATACCCCAAAGAGTCATAAGTTTTAGTTTATTATTATTATTTTACCTTTGTGCAAATAAGATATGATGGAAGTGCTCATAATCCTCTTCTGACTTAGCAGAGAAGATGCACAGGTACCCATACCTTCCAGAAAACAGATCTCAAATGGAATGTTACCAGAGCAACACATTTTAAAGCAACATCAGTGAGAATTACAGCCTTCACAGAAGCTACAGATTACTTCCACAAGCCATAGCAACAGTCTCTGAAGTTAAGATCCATCATAAAACTCTTCTATTAGAAATATTAATAACATTGGCAGCCATAATTAAATGATGTAGAAGAACATTTTGTGTTTTCATTTAGTTTTATTTGTTTCAGTTAGGGAAAGAGGGATATATTTCCTTCTCCTTAACTAGCTATGATTTTTTTCACCAGCAATTGAAAGTGCCTGTTATTTCAGGGTCTGGATTTCCATTACCTAGCACTGAGAGAAATAAAATAGGCCTGCTTTATTAAAGTATCAAAATATTTTTAAAATAAAATATGGAGAAGGAAAAAGTGAAAAGAGAATTTAATAAATTGAATATGGGGTTTGTAATGTTTTGCATCTGAATGATCCTTTCTAATGCCTGGCTTCTTCCTCCCTGCCTCTGAGTGGGTGATTTAGCTGTCCATCTCCTGACCTGGCTCCAATGCCTGCCCACCACACCCAGACCCATTTGCACCTTCCTCTATCTTCCCTCCTGTTTGTCAGAGGCACAAGAAGACTCATCCCTCCTCTTGGCTTATGACTCTCTCCCCTTGGCTTACGACTTTCTCCCATTATGTTACTACACTTGGTTCCTTAATTTCCCTTCACCTTCCCATCTCCACCAATTCCTCTGCTCTGTCTACCCACATGCTCAAGTCTACCCCACCCTTAAGCCGATACCAGCCTTTTTCTTGTGCCAGGGCCTTCCTTCTGTCCTTGCAAGACTGGCCTGCATCTGCTTCCTCTGCTGTCACATTTTCTGCCACCCACCACAGCCCCTGCTCACCCATGACATCCTGAATGCCAAACCCAAAGCCTTCCCTCCAGGCCCCACCCAGCTTCGATGCTTCTGAGCCCGCTCCTCCTCGAATGCTCCTCCTCTGCAGGGTTTTCTCCCTGACAAATCCTTCTCCAACACCTTATTGACTTCTGTTTCTACCCTGTCGTTGAGCCCTGATATTTTCCTGGGTCTCATCCATCCCTGGTCTCATGTTCCTTCACTCACTCATTCTCCTAAAGCAATCTCACCCTTTCCAGTATTCAGCCACCATGTATGTGCTTCTGGTGATTAAATCTACACGTGACTTAGGTCTCTTTCCTAAGCGGAAGGCACACATTTCCACTGACATCCTAACACCTCCATTTGCCTCCTCCACAGGCAGGAATCCAACCTATCAACCCACGGTTTCCCTCCAGCCCTCAGTTCCCAGTCTCCGTCAAGACCACCACCCTCTTCTCTGCCTTGCAGGCCTGACCCCTTCCTGTCATTCGGCCTCCACACAATCACTTCTAATTTCTGCCAGTTCTTCTGCTAAAATGTCTGTTGTATCCACCTCCTCCTTTTCCATTTGTGGCAAAATTACCATGCGTCTGGCCCTCACACTTTTTCCCCCTGCACACGCCTCCCAACTGATTTCTCATTTCAGCTCCTATGTCTGCCATAAGCTTCTCTCTGTAGCCACAGCTGGGTCAGATCCCAACATCTCTGCTTTCAAACTCCGATGTCTTCATGACACTTACACAGCATGTCCCCACTGCCCCATCAGGCTCTTTAAATACAATGTTCAATGCCAGCCTCTTCTGTAACCATTGTATTCCCCTTCCTTTTCACTTCCCTTCTCAATCAGAGGTGAGGTCAAGTTCTAACATCAGAGGATACCCAGCTGATGGTGGGCAGTGCAGCTTGCAAACAGAGACAGTAATCGTATAAAAAGAACACCACTTGTTTACCACTGTCTCTACAATCTGCAACCTGAAAACCTGTTTCCCTTGGGCCCTTCTTACTGTTCCCCTAGCATCCTCTGGCCCAGTTCTAGCAACCTTCTGGAAGATGCCGCAACTCTCCTTCTCCCTCTACTCTAGCTGTCAGCCATACTTCAGTCCCCGCACACCAGGAACCTCAAACTTCACTTTTCTCTGGATGCTTTCCAACCTCCCTACCTCTCCTGTTGTTTCCCCTCCCCTGGCTTCCCTGTTCCCCCTCCCCTCCCTTCTCTGCTTGGCAAACCCCCACTTGTCCTTAAGCCCCCTGCCAAAGTCAGCTCCAGTTCAGCTGTAGAACTTTGCCTACTTCCTTGCCTCTTGATGAATACCTCTTTTATAGCACTTCTCGCATGCTCTTGTAGGGAACTACTGATATGTCCATCTTTCCTGCTGTGCTGTGACCTCCTTGAGCTCAGGAATTATGTCTTCATCTTCCTACCCCTGGAGACTGATACGGAGTAGGAGCTCCATAAATGTTTAAAGAAACGAACGAATTACTGTCATTGTTCCTAGGGCTGTGGAAGAGCAATGGAGCTAGAAAACACAGCCCCCATCCTCCTGAGGGTACAGGTGGTAGGGGCTGCAGTGTGAATATATAGGAAACCCCATAAGACAAGGCGGTGTAAGCAACAAATACACGGCAAGGTTGAGAGGAGGAGGCATTGTGTCCAGCTTCTCCACACACAAAGCAAGAGTCCTCCTTTCCTCCCAAAGCCAATAGTCCCCCCTTCTCCTCCAGCTCCTTCCCTAATCAGTGGGATAGAAGGACTCGTGTATCTGCCTACAGCAAACTGACTCATACCACCCACCCAACCCAGTCACCAACCCAGAAGAAACAGGCTGGGCAGGCACCACAGCCAGTGCCTATGTCACTGTCAAATCCATTTCTGAATCTGTCCAAGGGCACATGGGCTGCTTGCCCCGGTTCACAGCCTTTGTTTCTCTATAATCTGCATACTTTGTAATATACTGTTCAGAGTTTATTGCAAGCCACTTATATTTTCTCGCCTTCAGTTAAACTTTTAGGCTAATTGATCCCCATGAAACTCCTCCTTCTTCAAACTTGCCCTTGGAAACTCTCTCCATTCTTTGTAAGCCATTATCTTTTCTATTGATTGCCATTCCTATTCAGTCTTTCTTGTTAATTACCTGACCTTCATCTGTACTCTCCAATTACTTAGTCTCTCTTTTCAAACACCAGCTACTTACTATTCTTTCCTGCTCTTAAGTGGTTCTCATTCCAAGCCTCTGAACCTTCCCCTGTGTATTTGTTAGAGATTCTTTTATTGCTTCTTTTCTGTGCCTATGTTTAAAATAGAGTTTTTGTAGTGTCATTTCATCATAGTCTCTGAATGCCTAGACATGATTCTTACTTTTTCAACCTTTTATATCCCTGAGAGCTTTCCTCTAAATAACTCATTAATTCATTCATCTAACAGGTAGTGAGTGTTGAGTCACCTAATACTTGTATTGAGTCATCATCCCACTAGGAAGAAAGAAGTCACTGCAGGTGTTTTAAACAGAGGTACTTTAATTTAGGGAACTGGTTACAAAAATGTTGGAAAGAGTAGAGCTGCTAAAATTAAAAACATTAATTATACCAAGTGTTGACAAGGATTTGGAGCAAGTGGAATTCTTATACACTGCTGGTGGGAATTTAAAATAATACAATTTTGGTTGTTTCTTAAAAAGTTAGATATATGACTACTGTATGATTCAGCCATCCCAAACTTAGGTATTTACCTAAATGAAGTGAAAGCAGATACTCATACAAAGTTTTGTACAAAAATGCTCAGAAGCTTTATATATAATGGGTCAAAACTGGAAACAACCCAAATGTTTATCAACACAGTTGTAGATAAATAAATTGCAGTATATTCACATAATGGAGTACTATTCAGCAATAAAAAGGAATAAACAATTGAAACATGCAACAACAGGAATTAGTTTAATTATGCTGAGTAAAAATTCAAAAAAAATTAAAAGAAGTGCATACTATATAATATATAATTCCATTTATATAAAATTCTATAAAATGCAAGCTGTAATCACAGAAAGCCGATCAGCAGGCAGGATTGCCAAGAAGCATAATAAACTTTTGGAGGTGATGGACGTGTTCATTATTTTTATTGCAATGATATCACAGTCTATACTTATGCTAAAGTTTATCAAATTATACACTTTAGATATATATATATAGTTTATTGTATGTCCATTGTGAAAGGTAAATAAATTTGCCCCAAAATCACTAAGCTAAAGGGAGAAATCAAGCTGAGAATTCCATAGGGCCAACTACCCCCCATTCTATTCAAAGTCACCCACTCTGTTCACTGAGATAAATGCATATCTGATTGCCTCCTTTGGATAAGCTAATCAGAAACTCAAAAGAATGCAACTATTTGTCTCATATCTACCTATGACCTTGGAGCCTCCACCCCGCTTCAAGTCTCCCTGGCTGTGCTTCAAGTTGTCATGCCTTTCCAGACTAAACCAATGTTTATATTGCGTGTGTTGATTGTCTCCCTAGAATGTATAAAACCAAACTGTGCTCTGACCACTTTGGGCATATGTCATCAGGACCTCTTGAGGCTGTGTCATGGGTGTGCAACCTCAACTTGGCAAAATAAACTTTCTAAATTAACTGAGCTGTGTCTCAGATCTTCAGGGTTCACATTTTAGTAACTACAAGGGGGTTCTAAGTGGCAATATCCCTGATCTTTAACAATTCTCCTATTGGTGCTTGGTACCAGCATGAGCTAACTTTATGGCTCAAACCTACAGGACAATTTGCTGAGGTCTGAGAGTACACACTCTAGAGAGTCCCTGATCTTCCAAAATTTGGTTGAGATCTAAAGTTTATTTCACTGTACAACTCCTCTTTTTTTGGAGTTTTGCTTGCTTCCAACAAGGAAGGCAAGATTTCCTGTTTCCGTGACGATGGAAGGCAGGTAACTGCTTTATGGAGTTTGAGCTCGCTTCCAATAGGGAAGTTGAGTTTTGTTTTTTGTTTTTTTTTTTCCTGCTTTTAGGATGGTAGAGAGCAGTCTACAGCTTGAGACCCATCCCTAAGTAAGTTACTGAATTGGGTTTTGTCTTGGCTAAAGTTAAGATCAACAACCAGCTGGTCTTAATTTCTCTTTACCATTAGATCATAATGACCATATAAGTTGTGCCATTGTTTGTTTTGCTTAACTGTTTGTTGTTGTTGTTTGTTTCTGTTTTTGTTGTTTCAGTCTTTTCCCATTGGGTTTGATCAACTCTATCTGACTTGATCAAATCCAAAGGAAAGTTCCAAATTATGGGGAACAAGACCTCTGAAGTGGCAAAATTACCCTCACCACACACACAAAGGTGGTGTAGTGGGGGAGAGAAATGGCCAGCAAAAGGTAGAAAAAAAAAAGAAGGATTTTTAAATTTTAACTGCTAGAGGGTCTTTATTTACATAACGAGGCCACCTTTTTGCCAGCCAGGTCAAATTGAAAGCAATGACTGTCACCCCACACTGCAGTTCCACGGCTAAGTTTCTGTCTTTTTTTTCCCACCACGACAACCTCAGTTTGGTTCCTAATTCAAGCCCTTTCGGGTTTGATACTTGGTGCTTCTAAAATAGCAACAATTTGTCCTAGCTGAAATATAGTAATGAGAATTTAAAAATTTTTTTTGACAAAGAACTCAATGGTTAAAAGTCAGCTTAATTAAAAGCTCATATCCAAGGTGTGTGTGTGTATGTGTGCATGTGTGCATGTTTGTATTTAAAAGGCCTTAATGTTTTGGGTTTCTTTGTTTTTTCTCTTCTAGGACCTTGTCCTTTTTTTGAGCAAAAGTGTTTTTTTTCTTTCTTTCTCAGTTGACTGGATTCTGTTTTCTTCATTTACTTCTGCTGTCCCTCCTTTCTCTTGCACCCTCTGCTGCATGAGGGACCTAAAATCATTTATAGTAGTCTGGGGTTCCTTAAAAAAATGGTGAATGCACCAGACTCCCTTTGGAAGAGAAACCTGTTTTTCCTTATGGAATACCAACAGTGTAAACAGACAAGTTCATCTCAGCTCTTAAACTGCTTGCTTTTGTATTGCATTACATGATTTATTGAATAAAATTATTATTACAACAGAGGCTGCCCTTGGGTTTTTTATGTTTTAAGAAGAGTGTAGTTTAGACACTTAGAAATGTGTTTGTTTAAAAAAAAATTTTTAAGTGCACTGTAAAAACATCACATGGTCTAGCCTCATAATAATTCTCCCTTTTTGGGAACCCAGGATTCAGTGTGGGCTCTGCCCAGAGCTTAGAGATCCAGTTAAAAGACAGGTAGTCAGCCAGGCAGTGGTTCATGCCTGTAGTCCCAGCACTTTGGGAGGCTGAGGTGGGTGGATCACAAGGTCAGGAGATTGAGACCATCCTGGCTAACATGGTGAAACCCCATCCCTACTAAAAATACAAAAAATTAGCCGGGCATGGTGGTGGGCACCCATAGTTCCAGCTACTCAGGAGGCTGAGGCAGGAGAATGGCATGAACCTGGGAGGCAGAGCTTGCAGTCAGCTGAGATCGCGCCACTGTACTCCAGTCTGGGTGACATAGCGAGACTCCATCTCAAAAAAAAAAAAAAAAAGATAGGCAGTCCATATCTAAATAAAATTGGTCTCTTTATACAATCTGATGATAGATTTTTATGATTTTATGTTTGATTTGGTGTTCATCTTTAATCTCTGTCTAGCACACCATACTTTTTCTCTCCATACCTTATGATACAAATTTTGCTATTTGATTTTCATCTGAGTTGTTTCCTTTAATATGCAAATTTAAAGCTATTTAGCTGAGAGCTGCCTAGGGTTGTGAAACAGATTATCAAGAATCTGAAAGTCTAAGATAGGGTAAAAAAAGGTTTTTATGAATCTATAAGATGTACTTCTGTTGGTATGCCTAATACTTCTATGCATTTGTGTGTTGTGTACGAAAGTTTTCAGTGGTTTCACTGCTGAAAAATATATAAAGGAGCTCTAATTAACTGGCTTAAAGAAAAATAAAGGCACTTAAATCAAATACTTCATCAGAAAAAGGAAAGACTAGTCAAATGCTTTTTCAAGTTTACATGACTTAAGTAAAATCTTTAATAAGTAAGCTAGCTTTAAAATTATTGGTAAAGTAACATTAGAAATGTCTTAAGAATTGCCAGCATATATTTTTGTTTGCATTTATCAATCAAGTAATTTCATACTTATCCCTGCCAAATACTATAAGGTGTTAAAATTTGGCATAGGAGTTACAAAACTATAAACGCAGCCCAAGACAGAATGATCTTTGCTTGTGTAATCTTTAATAAATAAGACATTGACATTGGTTTAATGAAAATAGCTACATCTTGAATTATTTAGTAAAATTACCATAACTTCTAATCTTGTGGTTTTTGGCAGTCGAGTCCACAGGCAGTAAGGAGGTTTGTTTTGGGAAAGGACTGTTATCATCTTTGTTTCAAAGCTAAACTAAGTTTCTTCCAAAGTCCAAGAATGAACAAGGACAGCTTGGAAGTTAGAAGCAAAGTGGAGTAAGTTAGGTCATATCTTTTTCACTGTCTCAGTTAGAATTTTGCAATGGCGAGTTTCATAACTTTACATCATGACTATTACAATTTTCATAAACAATCTAGGTAAACCAATAAAATAAAATATGTGGGAAAATGTAATGGGATAAATACTTGTAGAGAAACTTGTCATAATTTAGACTCTAAAGTTATATTAAATTAAATAATATATATTTCATTATTAGGGTATTTTTCTATAAAAAAATTGTAGGAAAATATTCTTTCTAAAAAAAGTGTCCTTTTAAAAAAGGTGAACAATTTTTGTCTAGTTCAAAAGTTACATATAAAACTAGACTAAAAAACAGGAAATAAGAGAGATGTAAAGGAAGTTATAGAAATAAAGAGGTGTTTTTTGGAAATAAAGCTTAAAGAGAAATAATTTTATATAAGAAAGAAACTTGTATGGTAAATTTAGACCTAGAATAAAATGACTGGTTGTTTAAGAAAGAGGGATATTCAGGACAAACCAGAAAGTCCAAGCATGTCATGAATGGTCTGTGTAAGTCACAATATAAAAGGATTTATTAAAAAAAACTTTTATATGATCAAGTTGTCTATAATTAAAGGGAAATTATAATGGTCTTTCTAGAGATTGGGTTTAATGTAAAAAAAGCACTTATACACTAAAGAATTAATTAGAACAACCAAATTTCCTTAAGGGATTGATTTACTCTTAATAAATTATAAGAGATTTTAATTTTTTGTTTAACCCAAAGTTTAACTTCTATTGCATCTCACCATTTTCAGTTTTCTCTCCCCTTTTAAAAGGCATGAAATAACACTCTCCTTCAACTCATTTTCAGCTCATATAAGTTTTTCTCTCAAGTTCTTTTTGTTGTGATATGATGCTAATATTTTCTTAAAGATCTAAAGGAAATGTTCTCTTCCAACATAATATTCTATATACTGCAGAAGGTCTTTTCTTTTGCCTTTTGGTAACTGGCCTAGCAGATTTTATGTTTTATTGAAATAATTCCTATGCCATTATTATTATGTTTGGGTTTGCTTAGGAAAAAAAAACAAGATTAAAAAACTATTTTTTCAAATTAAGGTTATTACATCCGTGTATCTTTCTATATGTGCTTTTAAAGTACTTGTGACATTAAGTTACAGAGTTTTGACTCCTGGGTCTAAAAAGGACACCAAGTCCAAATCTTAAACACTGACAGCAGTTACAGCCTCATCTTCAGGCCCCACAGAAGATGCCAATCAAAATAAACTGCATTCCCCAGACACAGGGCCAGAAATTAAAGCCATTCAACTCCTCAAGGCCCAGGGACTATCATGGAAGAGGTGGGCATATGAGATTGTAAGGGATGATTTTAAGAGATAAAATAAGTTCCATTTCTTTATAAATTAACCATTGGTGTGAAAAGCACACTGATGCAAGACCAGGATGTAGGCCCCTGTGTCGGATTAACAAGGTTTTCTTGAAGCATTAACCAACTCATTAATGAAGGTTATATAGGTTATAAATGTTTATGGAAGTTATATCTTATGATCATGATTAAAATTTTATAGATTGTTGGTAAAATTTAAAAAAATTTAATTGGCTTCATGCTTTTTTTGTATACTTTAAGTTCTAGGGTATGTGTGCACAATGTGCAGGTCTGTTACATACGTATATATATGCCATGTTGGTGTGCTGCACCCATTAACTCATCATTTACATTAGGTATATCTCCTAATGCTATCCCTCCCCCTCACCTCACCCCATGACCGGCCCCAGTGTGTGATGTTTCCCACCCTGTGTCCAAGTGTTCTCATTGTTCGGTTCCCACCTATGAGTGAGAACGTGTGGTGTTTTGTTTTCTGTCCTTGTGATAGTTTGCTCAGAATGATGGTTTCCAGCTTCATCCGTGTCCCTACAAAGGACATGAACTCATCCTTTTTTAGGGCTGCATAGTATTCCATGGTGTATATGTGCCACATTTTCTTAATCCAGTCTATCATTGATGGACATTTGGGTTGGTTCCAAGTCTTTGCTATTGTGAATAGTTCCACAATAAACATATATGTGCATGTGTCTTTATGGCAGGACTTCATGCTGTTACTATTAGGCTTATTGTTTGGAAAATTAAGTGTCCTCTCTCAAAGAATAAATGTTTTCACCTTTTTTTGGAAATCTTTATCACTTTGGTTAAATGAATGACTTATTTTACAATGACCTATGATCAAGTGTTTTAAACCTTTGATATTTGACAAACTTTCCAAATCAAATTATAAACTATGTCTTTTTCTGGCCTAATTAATCCTTTAAGATATTAGGGTCCCTAAAGTCCAAAAATGACATATTTGGCTTATTTGGTATAAAAATTTTGCAGGAAGCATTGTCAAATATGAAACAGTGTTTGGTTTTCTTTGGACTGTATTTGTATAAATATGTTATTGGTATGTGTTCCAAAATTATGAGAAACTCCTATAATTCTGATATGACTTAATGTACATTATAAGTAATAATTATAATTATTATGTTAAATTATTGTGTGCCACAGAGGTAACAAATTTCCTTGTCAATTGTGTCTTTGACTACGGCTGTCCTGAAACTTTTTGTCATCCACAAACAATTGTCTTGTTTAGGTCCTCTTTAGAAGGTGGCTTCATAATCAACTATAAAACTCTAACAGGTGCTCTTGAATGCAGGTTTCTGGTAACTCTGGAGGTTGTAACATCAGAATAGAGGAAAAACTTTCAGGATTCACAGACAGCTGAAATGTTCATAAATACCAAGCAGAACAAGCATTAACTGCATGGACTAAACTAATAGAAGTCTGAAGTAATCTTTTTAAATTTTTGCATAAAACGTTGCTGATCCTTTGTTTTGTTTTTCAGAGTCAAGGGAACTTTTCTTTTGAGCTATTGACAGCTTTTAACAATTTAGTATACTCCTGTGAACAGAATTTGGAGCATACTTGTTTCTCTCTACCTGATTTCTCTAGAATTTGGAAACTATTTGTGAGTATTCTTAACTTATGGCAATAGAGTTATTTGCATAAGTGCAATAAAAATCTGTTTTCATTTGTAACAGTACACAATTGGAGAAACTGGTTATTTCACAAAGGCTTTGAGTGGAATGGTGTGCTTTCCTTTAAGGAATCAAACTTGACTTATGGAGCCAATAAAATCCCCTTTGGGAAAACTGGCCTCATGCCTTGTCTACACAGTATTTGTACAGGGTTTCTGATCTGTGGTAAGTAAAGAATGTCACTTTCTGACAGGCCCAGGAGCCCCAAGTTTATCTTGGGACCTCAAGAAGAGAGGAATTCACTCAACTCATAGGTATTTGATGGTAAAAATCCATGGCTGGGCTTGGCTTTACAAAAATCTCATCTGAGATTCCTTCTATGGAACAAAGTTCCATCAAAGCCAATTTAAAAGCCTATGTAAAAAATATATATATTCTGGCTGCAGTGTATACAAATAATCAGGCCAAGTATAATAAAGCAAATTAGTCCTACCATGACTTGTCTTTAGTAAATATGGGAAACTGAAGAGAAAAATTATATTTCAAAAACTATAGTACACCTGTTGTTAGATTCTAGTCTTGCCTAATGTTTTTCAATTTTTATTATTTTCTACAGTTTGGACTGAATTCTAATTTATTTTGGCTGCAAGTCTTCAAAATAATGTTTTCCATTTTTTTCCTTTTTTTCCCCTCATTTTTTCTAATTTGGAGTCACTGAAAACTAAGCTGTGCTTCTTTTAAGCCCTGTGAAATGAAGCCAGGCAACTTAAACTTCAGAAGAAAATAACAGCAACCTATTTACATACATAAGCCACTTTCATACCTGCCTACTGATATACAGGCTTCAGAGTAATATGGCCTATGTCAATTTTCCAGGATTGTTGTTTTGTTTGTTGTTGTTTTTCTCTCTTCTTCCCCCTATTTTCTCTTCATAGGACATGAGAATTCAAAACATGCTAAAAATGAGCTTTCCTAATAACTTGGGACCTACCTGTCTAGGAATAAACCATCCTAACCATGAGAGATCAGACAAAACCTGAGACCACAGACCCATTTTCTTCTAAAATGCTTTCTCCAAAAGATTTTTAAAAAGAAAAGGGGGGAAATGTGAAAGAAAATAAATCTTGGGGCCCCAAAATCACTAAGCTAAAGGGAAAAGTCAAGCTGGGAACTGCTTAGGGCCAGCCTACCTCCCATTCTATTCAAAGTCACCCCTCTGCTCACTGAGATAAATGTATATCTAATTGCCTGCTTTGGAGAAGCTAATCAGAAACTCAAAAGAACGCAACCATTCATCTCTTACCCACCTATGACCTTAAAGTCCCCTCCCCACCTCAAGTCTTCCTGCCTTTGCTTCGAGTTGTCCTGCCTTTCCATACCGAACCAATGTTCTTGCATATGTTGCTTGATGTCTCCTGTCTCCTTAGAATGTGTAAAGCCAAACTGTGCTCTGACCACCTTGGGCACATGTCATCAGGACCTCCTGAGCCTGTGTTATGGGCATTTGTCCTCAATCTTGGCAAAATAAACTTTCTAAATTAATTGATTCCTGTCTCAGATCTTTGGGGTTCACACAGTTATATCTCAACAAAATTGTAAAGAAATCATCCTGGATGGAGGCTAGAATTACAAAATGGTAAAAAGAAACATTACCCAGGGATTAGCAACCACAGAAAGCCTCATTCATGCCTAGGGTTTGAGGAACTTAAGGAAAAATGGTGTGTTTGCAAAGCCTGTGTTTACTTGGCCACTAAGACTGATGGGACCCCACTGGTGCTGCTGTTTTAATTATCATCTCTACTTCTCTTCAGGAAGCTAGGAGCACACACTCTCATTACCCTGCAGGACCTGGGGAGCCTGAAGTCATGCATAGGTGTTGTTTTTGCTGCTGGAGCTAGAACCCATGAATACTTCTTCCACTGGAAGCACAACCCCAGGCAGAAAAAAAAAGACTTCTTTCTTCCTTTTGTTTTCCAGCTTCTTTCCAGCCTTCTCTCCCATTGACAGAAACAAACTGCAAGCCAGCTAGGAAGGGAGTTTATTTTGCATGTTTACAGCTCTGTATGATGCGGTGAGGGGGAAGTAAGGAAAGATGTTTATGGAGTCAAAGTCCAATGGGCAATTAGCTGGCACAACTCTCTGATATATTACTTTTGACAAGGAAAATATAAAAGGGTATGTGGTTCTTGCTTTGAGGGATCTTTGTCAGAACACCCTGGTTCTTCCAGCATTACATAACTCTCTAATCCCCTGCCATTTCTAAATAGCCCAATGTAAAAGCAGATATAAAGCCCAGGAGAAAGTGCAGGACTCAGGCACAGAGGGTGGGAGGAAATGAGAGAGTGTATTCATGTGGGTGGGGACAGTATCAGCTAATGGGGGAAGCTGGCCTTTTCTGCCACCAAACAGCTTTGGGGGATTTGACAGACAGGCTCTAAATAGACTTTTCTACAAACCCTTGCTGTGTAGATAAATGCTGTTGGGGCTCAGAATATGCCACCCCAAAATATGACAGTAGTAGACCAGAATATGCCACCCCAAAGTGTGATGGTAGAGGACCAGAAAATGCCACCCCAAAATATGTCATTTTGGCATAAAGTTTATTTTCAGCTGATTATTTTTGGAAGCAGCAGACACAGGAGAAGCTCTAAAAACAGCGACATTATCCCTTTTAAGAAAAATGTACTTTTGTAAAGAAATCTCCAGTTGTAAGAGTGTCTCTTTGCAGCAGGATGAGAAGGATGACTCTAAATCACTAGAAATTCTTATCAATGGAGAAGGCACTGACTTAAATCTGCATAACAAACTTCACTTACCTTTATGGTGCTTTCCCTGGCCTTCCTTATTCCCTTCTTTCTTTGTTTCAGCTGAGGATGGTATTTGAGCCACTTCTTTGAGATGTGCTTTTTCCCTGGGTATCTCCCATCGACACAGGCAGAATCTATATTTCTTAGTCTACTTGTATTGCTCTAACAAAATACCTTAGACTAGGTAATTTATAAGGAACAAATGTATTCCTTAACAATTCTGGAGGCTGGGAAGTCCAAGATCAAGGTGCTGGCATTGTCTGGTGAGAATGGCTCTTTGCTTCCAAGATGGTGTCTTATTGCTGTATCCTCTAGAGGGGAAGAATGTGAGGTATTCACATTGTGAAAGGAATGGAAGGGCAAGAGAGTATGCCCTTCAACCTGGAGCCCTTTCATAGGGATACTAATCCTGCTCATGGAGGCTCTGCCCTTTTAGGAGATAATCACCTTCCAAAGACCATGTCTCTTAATACTGTTACCTTGGGGATTAAGTTTCAACATGAATTTTGGAGGGAACACCATTATTCAAACCATAGCACCATGGTTAAACTTTTGCTTGTTCTTCTCCTGTTAATCTATCTTTCTTTATAGGGGTCTATCCCAATTAAAATCTCAGAAAGTGTAGAGGAAGAATTATCTTTTTCCTCCCTTACAGTGCTCTCAAATATTCTCGTATCTACATCTTAATTTAGTTTAGACTTTTAAAAGAGTTCTTGAAGGACATTGGGTATCACTGAGTCACTCAGAGAGTTATGCTTTGAATACAGAAAGTTATAATCGATTTAGAAATTCCATTTTCTTGTATTTTATAAATAAAATTGAGTTCCTTGAAAGCCTGCTGAGTTTTATCATAATAACCATTCACAAAGCGGAAGCTAATTTAAAGTGAAAAGGAGGAGGCATTTTTAGTGTAGTTCTCTGACATTTTAGTGTAGTTCTCTGACATTTCCTTGTTTCAAATGGTCTGGGAACTCTACATGGTGAGTTCATTTATTCAAAAAAGTTATATCTTATTAAATTGGCTTGGCACTGACAAATCCACTCGTTACAGCCTTTTAAATAATGACTAAAAACTGAAACACTTTGGAAAAAATAAATGAAATAACATAAAGGAAGGAGTTGATCTTTTTTTCCCCTTCAACTTTTATTTTAAATTCCAGGGTACATGTGCAGATATTCAGGTTTGTTACATAGGTAAACATGCGCCATGGTGGTTTGCTGCACAGATCATCCCATCACCTAGGTATTAAGCCCAACATCCATGAACTATTCTTCCTAATGTTTTCCCTCACCCCACCCACCCCCCAACAGACCCCAGTGTGTGTTTTTCACCCCTATGTGTCCATGTGTTCTCATCATTCTGCTCCCACTTATAAGTGAGAATATGTGGTGTGTGGTTTCCTGTTCCTGCGTTAGCTTCCTGAGGATAATGGCTTCTAGCTCCATCCGTGTCCCTGCAAAGGATATGAAAGCAGTTGATCTTTTATATATGCAAGTTTAGATCTTTGAATATTTATCCATATGCTTATGAGTGTTTCAGACTATTAAATTTTTTAAATTTAGTTTTACTTATACAAGTAATTCATAAATAATCAATGCAAGAATTCAAAAATATAGAATGCAAGAATTTAAAAGCTTATTTTTTTTTTTTTGAGATGGAGTCTTGCTGTATTGCCCAGGCTGGAGTGCAGTGGTGCAATCTCGGCTCACTGCAAGCTCCGCCTCCTGGGTTCACACCATTCTCCTGCCTCAGCCTCCCAAGTAGCTGGGACTACAGGCGCCCACCACCATGCCCGGCTAATTTTTTGTATTTTTAGTAGAGACAGGGTTTCACTGTGTTAGCCAGGATGGTCTCAATCTCCTGACCTCGTGATCCGCCTGCCTTGGCCTCCCAAAGTGCTGGGATTACAGGCGTGAGCCACTGCACCCGGCCAAGAATTCAAAAGCCTTTAATGATTCCTCACAATCTCACTACATGAGAACCTCTGCTATTATTTTTGGGTGTGTGTAGCATCCCATTCTTTTACTTTGCATTTACCTACATCTGTACATACATAACTACATGTTCTATTTTTTTAAAACTTTTACATAAGTTGGTAGATTGCAAAATTGGCCATAACACTTTGTGGCTCATCTCATCATTGAGAGGTAAAATTTATTTTCCCACCCCTTGAATCTGGGCTAGCTTTGTGACTGGCTTTGTCGTTACAATGCAGAAGTGATGTAGTGCCCGTTGCAAACCTAGAGGCCGTTGCAAAGCTCAAGAGGCCTTGTAGCTTCTCCTCTCACTGTCTTAGAACTCTGAAATGAGCGTGAGATCAAGCCTGGGTTAACCACCCTGAGAATGAGAGATTACATGGAGAAAGGTCTCAGGCACCCTGTCTATTCACCAGGTGGTTGCAAATGTGTAAGTGAGTCCACCTGAGAATAGCTGCCCTGTAGAACCCAGCCCAAATTGCTGACCTTCAGAATTTTGAGCTAAATAAATGGTTGTTTAAACAACTAAGTTTTGCAGTGATTTGTTATGAGCAGAAGCTAACTGATACTGGAGCGCATGGCATGCAATTTCTTTTTTCTTTTCAGACTCCTCATTTATGGCTGTTCTACATGTGCTAGGAGCCTCTAAGTGCTCCTAGTATTTTCTTGTACCAAGAAAAAGAAGCAATGTGTAAGAATATAACAGAGGGGTCCCATATGAGTGCAGCACACACCAGGGCTTCAGGTAGCTTTTAGTCTCCTGCTGGAGAGAGGTGTGCCAATCGCTCTGATGTAAAGGAGAGAGTAGTCTGGAAATAGAGACACAAGGCTTCCCTGCTCAGAGATCACAGCAAAGGCAGAAAATGAGCCAGATAGTTCCACATGGCTGGGAGGCCTCACAATCATGGCAGAAGGCGAATGAGGAGCAAAGTCATGTCTTACATGGTGGCAGGCAAGAGACTATGACATGAAATTTTGTAACATTTTTTCTTTACTCATGTTATAAAGAATTTTCCCTGTGAATACATGTAGACCTATCTTATTCTTCTAAATAGTTACATAGGCCAGGCATGGTGGCTCACGCCTGTAATCCCAGCACTTTGGGAGACTGAGTCAGGCAGATCACAAGGTCAGGAGTTCAAACCAGCCTGGCCAACATGGTGAAACCCCGTCTCTACTAAAAATTAAAAAATTAGCTGGGCATGGTGGCACGTGCCTGTAATCCCAGCTACTCAGGAGGCTGAAACAGGATTGCTTGAACTCAGGAGGCAGAGGTTGCAGTGAGCTGAGATCACACCGCTGCACTCCAGCCTATGCAACAGAGTGACTCCAAATCGAGAATAAAAAAAAACTCAGTTACATAAATTTCCATATTATGGATCCCTTAGTTTATTTAATATTCGATTCCATTGTATGTATATATCAGCTTTTTTTCCCATTCACCCCTTAGTGGACAGTTACGTTGTTTCTTCATTTCTTCCTTTCCTTGTTCCTTTTTTGCCTTCCTTCCTTTCTTTCCCTCTCTTTTTGTATTATCAGTAAGTACCCCTATAGCTTTTGGAAACATTTATCCTATGGTGTTTTGTTCTTTGCTAATATTGATTATGGCATCTTTTTACACAGAATTTTAAAAAAATACTTTAAAATGTATCAATCTTTTCCTTATTGTCGTCCCTATTTTAAGTTTTGCCCTACAGCAATTTTCCTATAAAAAATTTTGCTCAATCTTTTTCTAATACAGGATTTTATATAAGTATCTGTGTGTCTGTGTATGTGTGCTTCATTTTCTTTTACGTGATGATCAGTCAGGTGTGACCTCAAGAGGAGACACAGGAGTGGCACAGGAAAAAACAAAGTGTACTAATTCACAGGTCCTGGAGACAGGAGGACCATGTGGGAAAGGCACCAGGGTGGTCAGGAGGTGGAAGACAGGAGCAAAGAGAAGGTCTAGTCCACCCCCTTTACGGGGTTTTATGGGGAAGGGCAAGGCAGGGCAGGGTGAACAGTTTAGGACTGGCTAATGTGAATAATTGTGGAAGGTTTGGGGCTGTGGGAATGGTTCCTAGTTGCCTGGAAGCTGATCCTGGGATGTTTAAGGCAGAGGGATTTTGCCTCCTAGGGCTCAGGGGCCAGATAGAGGATTTATGGCCCTGCACTGCTTAGTTTATCATCACAGGCGTGCTCCAGGCTGAGCCCTTGCTATCTCTAAGCATGGCTAGCCCTGGGAGGAACAGTCTCTCTCCAGCCACAAAGATTTTTTTCTAAGATCTCAAAACAGCATAATGTACACAGAATTTTAAAATATTTATAATACTCTGTGTGTGTGTGTGTGTGTGTGTGTGTGTGTGAATCAGGTTTAGTTTATTGTTCTTCTGGAATTTATTTTAATTTACAGTAGTCCCCCCACCCTTTTTTTTTTTTTTTTTGGAGATGGAGTCTCACTCTGTTGCCCAGGCTGGGGTGCAGTGGCGCAATCCTGGCTCACTTCAACCTCCGCACCTCCACCTCCTGGGTTCAAGCGATTCTCCTGCATCAGCCTCCCGAGTAGCTGGGATCACAGGCACATGCCACCACGCCCAGCTAATTTTGTATATTTAGTAGAGACGGGGTTTCACCATGTTAGCCAGGCTGATCTCGAACTCCCGACTTCAGGTGATCCACCCGCCTTGGTCTCCCAAAGTGCTGGGATTACAGGTGTGAGCCACCGCACTCAGCCTACAGTAGTCCCCTCTTATCTATGTTTTCACTTTCCACAGTTTCAGTTCCACTAGTCAACTGTGGTCTGAAAATATTACATACGGCAAATTCCAGAAATAAGCAATTCATAGGTTTTTCAATTGTGTGCCCGTCTGAGTAGCGTGATGAAGTCTCTGGGTCCTGCCCCGCTCTTCTTGAATCCTCCCTCTGTCCAGTATCTCTGCGCTGTCTACGTGCCCATTAGTGACTCTGCAGCAGCCCTGGTTAACAGATTGATGGTTGCGGCATTGCAGTGCTTGTGTTCAAGCCACCCTTATTTGACTTCATAATGGCCCCAAAGCACAAGAGTAATGATGCTGGCCATTGAAATATCCGAAAGAGGGGCCACAAAGTGCTTCCTTTAGGTGAAAAGGTGAAAGCTATTGGCATAATAAGGAAAGAAAAAAAATCATATGCAGAGGTGGCTAAGATCTACAGTAAGAACAATTTTCTAGCTGTGAAATTGTGAAGAAGGAACAAGAAATTCATGCATACCGTCTACAGGGTTTGGTACTATCTTCAGCTTCAGGCATCCACTGGGGTTCTTGGAATGTATCCCATTTGGATAAGGGGAGACTACTGTATAGTGTGGAATAGTGTATTTAATTTTCGCCAAATAGCCAATGATCCTGGACACCATTCAATGAGTAATTCACCATTTTTCACTGATTTGAAATGTGCCTTTATTCTATATTAATCTAATCTGCTTCAACTCTCTCTATCCCATTCTGTGGATTGGTTTGCCTGTTACTAGATCAGTAACAAAATGTTGACCACAATACCACAGTTGCTACCACTTTATGGTACATTTTGGCATTGGTAAAGTGTCAAGTTTTTTCCAAAAAATTGGTCAAATGTATATTTTCTCTCCCAAACTACTTTCAGAATAAGTCTTAAAATTTCATGAAAGGTCATTTTGAATTTAATTAGGATTACACTGATTTTGTAAATGAATTTTGTCATCAATTGAATGTTTAACAACATTGAATCTTGCTGGTGAGGATAATGATATGTTTATTCACACATTCTTTAATGTCCTTCAGTACAGTTTTGTGGTTTTCTTTTTAAATGTATTGCACATTTATTCTCTAGTTTTGCCCTCAGTATTTCATAGTTTTTTAAGCTATTTACATTTTGACACATTTTAAAATTTATTTTTGCTCTTATCCTAAGAAAATTAGTACTGAAAATAGTGTCCCCTAAATGTGGTCAATTTGGTAAACTTTTATTAATTCTAATCATCCGCCAGTTGATTTCATTGAATTTTTAGTAGATATTCTGGGTAGATAATTGTATAATTTGAAATCAAGTAGAGTTTCCAATTTTTAATTTTCATTATTTTAGTTTATTTTTGTATTGAATTGGCTAAAAATGCTTACATGTTTGTATTGGTCTGCTTGGGCTGCCATAACAAAACCCATAGACTGGGTAGTTTAAACAACAGAAATGTATTTTCTCAGAGCTCTGGAGGATGCAAGTCCAAAATCGAGGTGCCAGCAAGGTGGTTCCTGGTGAGGTTCTCTACTTCACTTGCAGGCAATCTCACACAACATTTTTTCGGTGCATGCATGCAGAGTGAAAAAGCATCTCTTCCTTTTCTCATAATGACACCAGCACTGTTGGATTAGGGGCCCATCCTAATGTCCTCATTTAGCCTTAATTGCCTCCTTAAAAGCCCTGTTTCCAAATACAGTCACATTGGGGTCTAGGGCTTCAACCTATGAATTGTGGGGAAAACACAAATTAGTTCGTAACCATGTTGTTGAATAGTAACAGCACGGACTTTTAAAATCTTTTTCCATTTCTAAGTTAGTATTTAAAATAATATTTTTATGTTTTTCTCCTGAATATCTGAAAAAATAGTGTAGGCAAAATATGCAGAAGAAACATAGGGTTGATATAAATCAGAGCTATCACAGAGGTTTACTTGATGCTTATGCATAAACACCAGTTCACTGGTAGACAGAGCGGATGTTGGAAAAGTACTTGTTGGTTGACACTTATTAAAAATACCACAACCATTTGCTATTATATGTGTGTCGTGTATCTACAATGACCATAAGTAACTGTTTTTAATACCATGTAGATAAATGGTTTCAGTTGAAAAATCATTTATTCATGTTTTTTCCTTTCATTCAGTAAAGACTTGCTGTTAGGCAGTGGGTGGATTTTAATGTAAATGGCATAATCCCTGCCTGGTATTTAAAGACCTTGGGTTAGTCTCCTAGAACCAAAGTGGTAAATACTGTAATAAATAGAAATCTCTATTTCTTACTGGCTCAAAGAAGTAGGCAAAATATTATGGCTATAAAGTAGTGTATAATTATTGCTCTGTTATGAATTGAAAATGTTTTGGCAAAATGCCACATTTTAAGTAAAAAATAAACAGCTCCTTCTGAGCAACTCCCACTTAAAATTATTCTTTAAAAGCTCATTCATTAAAACAATTATATATTATGACTTAGGTAAAGTATTAACATGTTTGAGCCATGTGTAAACATCCAGCAGTTATTAGTAACCACCTAATCTCTAAAAGAGCAAAAATTAAAGACATGCGGCCAGGCGCAGTGGCTCACGCCTGTAATCCCAGCACTTTGGGAGGCTGAGGTGGGCAGATCACGAGGTCAGGAGTTTGAGACCAGCCTGACCAGCATGGTGAAAACTGGTCTCTACTAAAAATACAAAAATTAGCTGGGCGTGGTGGTGGGCGCCTGTAATCCCCGCTACTCAGGAGGCTGAGGCAGGAGAATCGCTTGAACTCAGGAGGCAGAGGTTGCAGTGAGCCAAGATCGCGCCACTGCAATCTAGTCTGAGTGACAGAGTGAGACTCTGTCTCAAAAAGAAAAAAAAAATAAAGATATGCATAATGAAAAAAACAAAAGATATTTGTTTCACGTATACTATGTATGTTGCCCTTTTTGCAAGAAATAGAAGACTTCAGTCTTTCTTCTTCTTTCTATCTGATGTCTAATCCCAAGGAAGCATGTTTAAAAAATTACTTATCAATTAAAATTCCATATTCTTACAGAAATGACTGGGCTCAGGTACCTTTGAGTCCAAATTTCTTCTCTGATCCTTGATAGCTGGATGACCTTGGACAAGTTTCTTCATCTTTCCTAGCCTCTGTTTCCTCATTCATAAAATTAGGGTAATAACACATTCCTAATAGATTTTCTGTGAGAATTACATGAAATAACCTATGTGAAATGCCTAAAACAGATCCCAACATGTAGAAGCTCAGTAGATGAAGTTATTTATTATTATTAAACATTGTCATGTTTTCCTGAATACTGACAATTTGAAATATTTAACTTGTTCCTTAAAATGAATCTGGAAAGACCTTAAAGAGGCTAATTTCCAGCCATGATCTAAAAAACAAACAGAGCCCCAATTGAACTTTAGATTTTTACAAATATTATACAGAAGACTCCAAATTTTGTCCTTCTTAAATGCACCAAGATAACACAACATCCTTTGTTAGAGGTGGAAAATAAACAGCTTCGTAGGAAACAAGACTTTATCAAGCAATAATTTAGAGATTTGTGTCCTTTTTTTATTTTATCTCTTTTATTAAAAAGAGAAAAAGCCATTCTTGATTCAGAAATATTTCTCAGATCATTATAGAATAACAATCAGGACTCTCCACCTTTTATTTTCATTGCTGGGTTGTAAAACATGGCTCTCTACAATGCCTACTCCAGAAAGATATTATTCTACAAATAAGGGCTCAGCATGACATTTATGAGAAAGCCGGGGTCCTCCTGTGCAAAGCTGATTGGTGATCAGCCAGTGGGTTCCGGGGCGCTGCAAATAAAGGCACTTTCTTCGCTGGGCTGATCAGATGCAGGACAGAGGGTTGCCTCTGCCTGTGGACCTTGGGGAAATGCGCGGCTCCTGTCCTAGCAGCACCTGTCTGTGGCCAGCAAGGAGAAACCAGACTCTCACAATGAAACATCTTCGTCCCCAGTTCCCTCTCATCTTGGCCATCTACTGCTTCTGCATGCTACAGATTCCCTCCTCAGGTAAGGGGAGCTTCCTCAGACTCCATCTGGCCTAAACTCTGAGGATGTCTGAGACAGACCTTGATCCCCCAGGGCAGCTCTGGAGGGAGTCAAGCTTTATTCTCCCCCGCCAGACCTTCTTGATTTCTGGCTGCAATTTGTTGGAACCTTTAGGAGAGGATCAAGAGAGCGAGATGCTGCAGCCTTTTACTAAAGGAGACTTTTCCCTGTGGGACTGTCTTTAAGCTGCTCCTGCCCTAGGGATGTCCTGAACATGTGTCGCTAAAACTGAAGGGAAAGGCACTTCCTGGTGTGAGTTAGGGGAAGATCCCACTTGTAGCCATTTCTGCTCCCTGGATTCTGAAGAGACGAGGACAGAGTTGGTAAAACTGAGCTTACAGCCCCAGAGAGTGGAAATTGATGGGCAGTTCGAGAAGGGCGCGGGAGGAGCGCACACTGGAAAAAGGAATCTTTCCCAAGCCTTTCCATTGGGTTTTAGAGAAGCAGGGTTCCAGAGTGTACCGGAAGCCGCTACCTCCCGGGGCCAGTGAGCTGTCCGAGGTGCTGACCGGGTGCGGGCATCGCCTCACCGACTCTGAGAACTAGCTTCTAGGGAACAGGGGTGGAGTGAGGGTCTGTGGTTGGAATCTGTTACCACCATCTTCATAGGATGCAGGGAAGTGGGCGGTGGCAGAACAACTACGGTTGGAAACACATACCATTTTACATTTTTCCATTAGAATTTTGACTTAGGGGAGTAGAAAATCTTTGGTAATATATTGACAGAGAAAACATATTTCAAACAATATGTTTGTTTGTCATGTCCTACAATGTAATCACAAAACTGGGCCTTGCAAAGGACCATGAAGGTCATCTGGTTTAACCTCTCACAGGGTGCAGGGATCCCTTCTGTAGCTTCCCGATTCTATTTAACTACTTCAATGACCCCAACTCACTGCCAGCTATGACAGCCAGGTTCTGCCTCTTTGCTCCAGTAGAGTCCTGTTTATATTACATTTTTGTAAATATGTTATTACCTTTTATGTATCTTTCTATATGTTTATACTCACCTCCCTATTTTTTCCTGTTTGACTTTATGTTCCCTGAGGGTAAGTCTTTACGTTTTATTAGCAAAGAACCTCTCCATAAATCCTTATAGGATTGGTTTGCATTACTTTGCATTATTGAATGATTCCAATCACCAAAAACTTCTTTAGGCTAAGCTTAAGTGTGATCACATGTAACTTTCTAACCGTCAGTCTTTATTCTGTTATTTGGGGGAAACACAGGATAAGACTAATATCTCTTACTTATTGAAGTTCTCAAAATAGTTGAAAGCAGTTAACATATACTTCCTAATTTTCCTGTTTCCAGAGAAAACTATGCTCAGTGCCTTTACCTCATATCTTATCATTTCAAGTCAGGCTATTATCTTTTAAGGTTTAGGCACTGTTATTTGAATATAACATAACATTGCCTTTGCTTTATCTTGGCTCAGAGAGAACGCAGGGAACAAAATACCATACAATTTTCTTTTGTCTTGTTTTTAAACATAAACTGCTCTTGAGCCATACATTCCCTGTTCCACACATTAAAAATCTAAGTGCCAGGTTTTATATTTATCCATCTAATTTCATCTTGTTAGTTTTGACCTATCCAATTGATTCTTTCGACTGCACTATAGCTATCCCACCAAGTGTTGTATCACAGGCAAGTGAGAAGAGGAGTTCATTGAAGTTAGACAAAAGGTTGACAGGGTCCAGCTGCATGCCAGCAGCCTTCCCCAGAGCCCATCCCTAGAGAGTCTGTAGCAGCAGAGAGACGGGTATCCATGTGTCTTCAAAGTTCAAAGGTGATTCTGATGTCCATCCTTTGTTGACACCATTTTCTGAGATGCCATCCTCATGAATTCTATCAAAATACAAACTAAGTTGTTACCTTGGATTTTTTTCCTCCTCTTTGCTGACTTGCTAATAGTTGTACTGAACACTCATGGTAAATTAACAACCATGCTATTTTAAATTAATCTTTGTATAAATCTCAGATTTGCTAGTGGCAAGTAGAAGTGTATTTTCTTTGTAAATCCTTTTAACAACATCAGATCAGATCTTACTTTCCCACTGACCTCTTTTGAATGGTTCTTTGGTGGTTTATTATTTTAACAGAATGTCTGTTTTTCATGATAAAGACTTTGAAGTAAATGCTATGACCTCTTTTCTCTAATTAATAATTTTATGATTTCTCACAATAGGATTTCCTCAACCTTTAGCTGATCCTTCAGATGGCTTGGATATTGTGCAGCTTGAGGTACCCAATTATTCAGTAATGTGAGATTTTTGTTTAGTCTGGACCTTGAATACATCATGTGTATAATGTTCACTTAAAACTATTTTGAGATCAGATTTTTGGCTGCAGCAGAAACTCACTGTTGCCATTTTTCATGGCCTCATTTAAGGCATCCTGAGGGTTGTGTTGAAATTCACTACCACTGTGTGAGAAAATAATGTGAGGTTCAGAAATAGGACAATTTTAGAATTTTAAATCTGTTGTAATAAAATTCTGCTGACTGAAGAATTTAAGCTTATCTTTGATTCGTTGTCTAAATTTTAAATGCATAATAGATGTACATACTTTCAGGGTACATGTGATATTCTGATACTTTCATATAGTGTGTTACAACCAAGTTGGGGGAAATGGAATATCGATGGATATTAAACATTTACCTTAAATAGTTACATTTTCTTTATGCTGGGAGCATTTGAATTATTCTCTATTAGCTATTTTGAGATATCCCATAGATTATGGTTTATACTATAGTCACTCTACTGAATTATCAAACACCAGGCCTTGTTTCTTCTATCTAATTGTATTTGATTACCCATTAATCAATCTCTCTCTTCATCCCCCTCATCCCTTTGATTTGTTTTCTTCATTTTATTTTTTAGCAGCTGGCATATTGTCTGAGTCAGTGGGCACCTCTTTCTCGCCAACCTAAGGTAAAAAAATGTGTATATATATAATATATATAAAATATATATATATGCAACAAACACACTCTTTTGCTACCTACAGGAGAATGCTGTATGTATGTGCATGCTTATGTGTGTTCAAGAATATAATTTTAGAAAAAATCAAGCAAATATCTTAAATATAAATATGTTAAATATCTTAAGTATCTTCAATATAAATTACTATAAAATATGGGTAGTTCATGTATATTCTTACAATTATTATAATCATGTATAGTTAAGCTAATTATATGTTATGATATATTGCATATTACAAATTGATATACCATGATATAGCAGTTCTCCAAAACAATAGTTATCATTTAAAAGACTTTACAGTAACTAGTTGGGCCTGGTGGCTCACACCTGTAATCCCAGCACTTTGGGAGGCCGAGCTGGGCAGATCACTTGAGGCCAGGAGCTTGAGTCCAGCCTGGCCAACAAGGTGAAACCATGTCTCTACTAAAACTACAAAAATTAGCCGGGCAAGGTGGCGCATACCTGTAATCCCAGCTACTCAGGAGAATTGCTTGAACCCGGGAGGCGGAGGTTGCAGTGAGCCGAGATCATGCCACCACACTCCAGCCTGGGTGACAGAGCAAGACTCTATCTCACCAAAATGAAAACAAAAAACTTTACAGTAACTGTAGTAACCACACAAATATTTCAATGGATATAAAGTAAGTTGATTTACTTGAAGGTACAAAAGGGTGGTAGGATAGCCCATGATGCCTAGGATAGCCTCCATAATTTCACCTTGAGCCACATCTCTTTATCCCTCACCTCCCCCAACCCACAGCACACTATGCTCCAGCCACAGTGAATCTATCAGTGAATCTATCAGTATTCCCCAAATGCACCAGGCCCTTGACGTCCTTGCACAATCTTTTCCTTAGTCAGAAATGACTTTGCCTCCTTCACAGGCTGCAGTTAACAATCCAGACTCTAAAACAAAAATACCTGGTTTCAAAATCCAGCTCTGTTTAAACTTGGTAGTTTCTTAGTTGCTCTGTGCCTCAGTTTTGTCATCTGTAGTATAGGGGTAATTGTCATAGTATCCCAGAATGCTGTTGTAAGGATTAAATGCTTCATATTTGTGAAGTGCTTTCAACAGCATCCAGAACGTGGTAAATGACAGCACTTAAGTGCTAGTTGTTGCCATTGCCTGTTAATGCAACTAATTCTCATTCTTCAAGACTCAAACATCAGTTTCTCAAATTTCATGAATACATCAGGCCCATTTCTTCTTATTTTTGGTTTACTATGCATATGTTTGAAGGCAATTGTTAGCTCTCATTTTCAAGAATAATCTTTACAGCCTTGGACCTGGAGCAAAAATTCAGGCTGAAAACTCAGAGTTCTTCATCCCTTTGTTACTTCCTCCACATGTTGCACAAAAGGGATTTCCCTATCCCTCAGGTGAAGACTGGGGGTGTCCTCTGCACCAGCAGAGGCAGTGGAAGTAGTGTGGCTGTCCCATGCTCAACCTGCAGTATTAAATTGGGTTATGAGGATCCCCAAGAGCAAGGGCCCACTAGGAATGAATTTCCTTCCATCTTCTCCATTTTTCCAAGTCTATCCCATTCATTGTTTCCAACTGCAGAAGAGCAAGGGGTCACTCAGTGAACAAAACTGCCAATATTTAAAGGCATTAATAGAGAAACTGGCTCTTCCTGGCTTGTTGCTTCCCTGAAATGTGACTTTTGGCATGTCACTTCGTCTCTTGGGGCTTTGGTTTCCTCAACTGCCCAAAGTCTGGATGTGTTGCTGGAGCTCTAAGTTCACTCCTGTTCTGGTTTCCAGAATAGGCCAAGTCTGTGACTCCAGGAGACCTTTAAATCAAGACAATTCAGAAAGCAGTCACATTCTGCAAATGATGACATCCACAAAACTCTTCATGTTTCGTGTTTCTGGTCACCACATGGGATTAGAAGACGTTTCAACTGGGAAAACTGCAATAAGTTCTTGTGAACAGGGCTCTACCATTCACTCATTCAAAATATATATTTATTGACAGCATGCCACGGACCAGGTGCTAGGGATGGGGTAGTAAAACAAACTGAGCACCTGCTCTCATGGCATTTGTATACTAGTTGGGAAAATGAATAATAAACAACATAGATCAGTAAACTTTGAAATAATTTTTTCTCTAAAAAGAAAAAAGTAGGCCGGGTGTGGTGGCTCATGCCTGTAATCCCAGAACTTTGGGAGGCTGAGACGGGCAGATCACTTGAGGTCAGGAGTTCGAGACCAGCTTGGGCAACATGGTAAAGCCCGTCTCTACTAAAAATACAAAAGTTAGCCAGGCGTGGTGGCGTGTGCCTGTAATCCCAGCTACTCAGGAGGCTGAGGCAGGAGAATCGCTTGAACCTGGGAGGTGGAGGCTGCAGTGAGCCAATATTGTACCACTGCACTCAAGCCTGGGTGATGGAGCGAGACCCTATCTCCAAAAAAAAAAAAGAAAAGAAAAGAAAAGAAAAAAGTAAAGTAAGGGGCATATGAAACGTTGAGCCGGGTATTTAGCACCAGGAAAAGCATCTTCACATTCCTCATTAATTTTTGACCTGAAAAGTAAACATAACAGTATACAGCTGATGAATGTGGTACAAAAAACAATTGTTTGCCCAATAAGTGTCCATAAACACACACACACACTGTTGTGAACAGATGCTGACAAGAAGACCAGGAGCTGTAAAAATAGCAAGTACTTTCTGCTAGTTAAAAATGGTGATTATAAGGAAATAGAGTTAATTGCCACAGAGCCTCCACTACTGGTAATGTTGGTGGATTACAGTGTGTGTCTGTGTGTGTGTGCTCATGTTTGTGCATCCACACATATGTACATGGTAGAGAGAGAGGATGCATAGGTATTGCTCTCTTCCACTGAAGAAATTCTCCACAAAGTTTGCAGAAAGATGTAATTGTATTCACAATTATTATTAAAGTATTATTAACAACTTTAATTTTTGTCTTGATTGAGGTTTCAGCAGATTCAAAAATCTTTAAGCATGAGTGAGATGTGAATGATCAGTACGAACCAGATCAGAAGATTTAAATGATTGTTCACAGTAATCATCTCTTGTGACTTTATAAAACATGGACATGAACACTTACGCTATGGTTTTGTAAGAAGTCTTCTTCCCGGCATCTCCTTGAGTCAGATAAGCGCACATGCAGCCATCATCTACGCAAGCCAGGGCTGAGGTGCGTGCACTGGCAAGGATTTAGAAACGGAAAATTGGACTTTCTGCAAGGATAGCAAAAATTCATGTAGAAAGCTTTTGGAGAAAAAGAAGCTTGACCAATATGAACTATAAAAACTGAATACTAGAATACACTCTGCGGCAAATTAAAAACTGTAATAGTTAGTTTATTCCACCTGTAGTCAGATGGTTATTTGCTTCTATGCATCAGAGAGTAGGTCTCTCCTCCCCACGCCCTGCAAACTGAAAAGATGAAATGAGATTATATTTTCACATGATGATGTATTGCTGGCAATTTTCCTTATTGTAAGATCCTGCATCAACTATAGACTCATTAAATTTACGTAATAATTTCTTTTTAGATTGCCAATTTATCATAATAGTCAGGTAAATCCACTAAGGTCCATGGTGTACCTTATACAGAAAACGTTATCCGTTACCTGCCCCTGTAAAATTTCATCTAACTTACCCTCACAATTCTCTTTCCAGGATAATCAAGACATATACAAAAGGGTGAGTACCACCTAGCCCTGTACAAGTGCATGCAGCTTCCATGTTTAGAGCAAGTGACACTCGATACTAATATCACTTTCTTTTCTTATTTAGTTTTTGTTTCACTACTCCAGAACTCAGGAGGCAACACATCCAGTTAAAACTGGGGTCAGTATTTTATTATAATCATCTGTCTGTAAAAGTGGCTCTCCTCTGCATGTCGTCCATCCTTTCTTAATATGTGCAGACAAGTAGAAAAGCTGGGGGCTCCGGACATCCTCTGGGTAGTAGCTTCCCAGGGGCTTTTCCCTGGGGCTGCAGGGATTCTCTTTCTCCCTCTGGGCTGGGGGTGGTAGGTGGCCAACTGATCTGAGAAGTTAGAGAATAAATTACTGAAAAGGAAAAATAAGTAGGAAATAACCTCTTATTATGCACTTAAACAGAGGTAAGGAAGAGCCTGGTAAACACTGTGCTCTCTTTACATTGTTTTTTCTTGCCATCTGTTTTTAAGTTTGTGCTTTGTGATGTGTATGGTACCATCCCCCAGTGGTGATCCATGGATGAACATCTTCCGTGGCTGTCGCGATGTGTATGTGCAAAGGGAATAGAAACCATCACCTCTTAATTTCTTCCTACAGATTTGAGTTACCCTCGAAAGCAGCTTGTGTAGGTGAATTTCTATGGGGTATGATTTGAGGAATATTGGAGAGGCCATAGAATATATATATATATTTGAGAAGAGTCTTGCTCTGTCGCCCAGGCTGGAGTGCAGGGGCGCCATCTCAGCTTACTGCAACCTCCGCCTCCGGGGTTCAAGTGATTGTCCTGTCTCAGCCTCCCAAGTAGCTGGGATTACAGGCATGCGCCACCATGCCTGGCTAATGTTTGTATTTTTAGTAGACATGGGGTTTCACCATGTTGGCCAGGCTGGTCTAAAACTCCTGACCTCAGGCCATCCACCTGCCTTGGCCTCCCAAAGTGCTGGGATTACAGGCGTGAGCCACCATGCCCAGCCAGAATATAACTTTTAATTCAGGTACCCTGTCATAGCAAGTAAAACTCTACCACTAGAAAGTCTCTTATTTATATGTTCAAGGCTCTCCAAGTCTTAAGAGGATCCTTAAAAAAGCAAATAACCAGGAAAAAAATGTTTCCCCTAAGAATCAATCAGTATTATAGATGTAGGAATAGGGCTCAGGTAAGGAGGGGGAATTTTTTTGTTTGTTTGTTTTTTTGACGGAGTTTCACTCTTGTTGCCCAGGCTGGAGTGCAATGGCACGATCTCAGCTCACTGCAATCTCCGCCTCCCGGCTTCAAGCCATGATCTCTTGCCTTAGCCTCCCAAGTAGCTGGGACTACAAGCACGTGCCACCACACCTGGCTAATTTCTTATTTTTAATAAAGACGGGGTTTCACCATGTTGGCCAAGCTGGTCTTGAACTGCTGACCTCAGGTGATCCACCCACATTGGCCTCCCAAATTGCTTGGCCTCCCACTGCACCTGGCCAAGGAGGGGAATATTATCAAGACCAACAAGGGCACATGAAAGGAGAAAGAACAATGGAAAACAAACAAACAAAAAAACTGTAACACAAATCAAATTTTACTCTAAACCAAAGTACACAGGGAGGATTCACAAGGACTAGATGAGGATAGGCGTGTACACCTGGGTACGCACGGCAGTCACAGACAAGATTAGGAAATCAGAAGTGCTTGGGGAGGGTTACGGGGGCTGCCCTCCACCTTTTCCCTTGGATGAGGAGCTCACCCCTGGAGAGGGAGAAAGAATACATGTGGAGCTGCTTCTAGGACAAGGCGCTCCGCTCCAGGAGCAGAGTGCTGAGGGTTAATGCAGAGAAAAGTCCGATTTACCCTAAGGGAATATTTTTAAGGGCTGTGTTGGAATTGAAACCTGTTCTCACGGCAAGCGGCTCTTTATTGAAAACATAAAATTTCAGGCTTTGGCTCAAAAATGGGTTTTACTCTGAAAATTAAACCCATTTGTAAGGGAAGTGAGTAGAAAGAAATGCGCATAGCCCTGGGCTCTCAAAATACCCCTCTGTGGATGTCCCCCTGTCTGACCCTCTCCGCGCCTGTCTGTTGCAGTTTCCTCCAGTGCATCCTCTAATGCACCTGGCTGCCAAGCTCGCCAACAGGCGGATGAAGAGAATTCTGCAGCGAGTACGTGCTTTTATTCTTCCACCATAGTTTATGCCCCTCACAGTTCATTGAATCGTGGTAAAAGCATGCTGTCACCTTGGGGCTTGCTGTCATTCTCTCCTCAAATCTTAGTCTCCACCTTGGCAGGGAGCACTGAGCAGAACTGCTGGTCCTTTGACCTCCCCGGGCCTCAGTTTCCTCCACTGAAACCCCATGAGGTGGTTTGAAGGGCCCGGGGAGAGACCCCATGGCCCAGCCTGCTTCCATCCCTCTCCTCTTCTGCTCCTTTCATCCCTAAGTTGTGTCTTGGTTTTGTACTTTTTTTTTCACTTCCCCTGTCTCTTTCTCCTGACACGAAACGCCCTGGCGATATCTTCTGCTTCCCATTGCCCTAGGTGCCCGTTGTCCATTTCTCAGAGCTTTCTTCTTTCATTTTTATTTTTTAATTTAGAAATTACCAGCTGAACCTTTTCAATGGTAATCAAAGTTTTGTTTCATGGTAGCAAAAATAAATAAACAAATAGCAAGAGAGAAAATTTATTTTGAACACCCTGCCCAGGTAGAGTGACCAGCTATCCCAGTTTGTCCAGGACTTTCCTAGTTTTAGCTCTGAAAATCCCAGGGCCCCTAGTACCTGGAAAACTGGTTGGCCATCCTGGGCACCAGCAGCAGTTTGTCTGACCCCCTGCTAACCGCAAGCCTCCAGGTCCAGTCTGATTCCATTCTTACACCAGTTTCACAGGCAATGAACAAGCTGAAGAAGCTAAAATGGCTAATCCTTTAAAAGTTTCCTAAGCTTTGCAATGTGCCCATTTCGAAGTTGGCGCTGTTAGGAGGAGCAAGCAAACTTAACGTACTTGGACACAGATGGTAACTCAGTCAAGACGACAAGCTTGCCTTCTTGAGCAGGAGCTTGCTAGAGAAGATCACGGCAGTGATCCCACCATTTGCCATGCTCTCCACCTCCTCTTTTGCACCAGACTTCTGACTATCTTAGAAGCAAGGCAGGGAGGGCAGGATCACTGCAAGACAACTGCAAGGTCATGATGTGGTTCCTGTTGAATTAACCTGTGCCTCATTTCCTTGCAGGGCTCGGGGACTGCTGCAGTGGACTTCACCAAGAAGGTACACAAGAGCCTTGGAGACTGCGACCCCCAAAGAAAGCCCTACCCGAGAAGGGTGGGGAAGTCCTTGGAGCCAGCCACCCTGCAGCCCCTCCAGACCAGTTCTGGGCAGAGCTGGTCTCCAAAGGACCCTGAGAATCTTTTGTGGCTGAGCAATTAAGTTCAGGTTTCCCTGGGGCAGACAGGAACCTTAGGGCAATGCCTCTGGCTGTTCATATTTCACCTCCAGCCCCAGAGATGAGTCCCCTGGAGCCAGCTACTACTGAGGCCTTGCTTTCTCTTGCTCAGGGGCCCACATGCCATTGTACAGACTCCAATAGAGGTACTGCCAGAGCACAAACCCCAAACACCGGTGGTTCTCAAACGTGGCCATGCATCAGAGTCACCTGGCTAAAATTCAGATTGCTTGGCCCCACCCCCAAAGATTCAGTGGGTCTGGATTGGGGCAAAGAGTTTGTATTTCTTACAAGTTCCCAGAGGTTGTTGGTGCCACTGGTCTGGGACCACCCATTTTGAAAACTGTTCCTATAGACATTTTTGAAGAACTTGTAATGCAATATGGTTGCATAATGGCTTGTGTTTCTATATGTTGCAGGATCACACTGCGACCTGGGGACGACCCTTTTTCCTTTTCAGGGTATAGCATGTTTTCTCACCTTTGCTTTCTAACCTCGATTCACTGCAGCCATCCCAATCATGGAGTGACTGCAAACAGCAGAGCCAGGACCCCTTGGTAAACTGGTGGATAATTGTGGAGACTCTCTCATCCTTCACTGGGAATCACTCCAAGTAAAAATCTCCTCCTACAATCTTGCAAAGGCAAGAGTCCAACAGGAGAGAGGCTGAGAGCACCAGAGTAGGCGTAAGGGAGTTCTTCTGACAGACAGACACAAGGTAGACCAGAATCTGAGCCCATGTTTTAGAGCATTAAGGTCTAGGATTCGTGACCCCAAAAACACATGGCAGGAGGAGCTTAGGCACCATCCTCTACTCCTTCCTGGGTGACAGAGATTCTTGCAAAGGTCACAGAGTCAGAAGAGTTATCTTTTAGATTTTGATCAGCCATTCACTAGCTGTGCTCCACCCTTGAGATTCTCAGTATTTGCACAGAAAAAATGAGCAAATCAGACTAGATCCATGCCCCCCAGAAACTGCATTCTGTGAATCACTGGCGCTAAAAAGTATTCTGCAAAAGTCAGCTAAGATTGGAAAACACTGCACCCGACATTTGTGATGTCTCACAATACACACTGGCCCATCACAGGCTGTAAGAAGTCCTGCAGAACACAACCTGTGTCACTTGGCTTAATCATTTGTTTCCCAAACATATGGACCATGGAGCTGCTTCCCACCACTCTCTCACTCCCATGGGTCTGTATGACCTACTCGTTTCCTAGAAAGTGCTTTGAGAAACAGTCCATCTCCTTGACGTCTCCAGACTGGGCAGTTCTGTGTTGGATGGTTTGTGGAACCTCCCACCACATAAGCAAAGACTAAAGGGGGGGGATGATGGGTGACAGTGTTGGGGTCCTAGGAGCAGTGAGGTTCCTGGAGCACTGTCCCAGAGGACCTACGGACTAGCGCTAGCACAGGGCGAGGGCTTCCCAGGTGAGTCCCCATGGAGGGGAGTGAAGTCCTAGTTAGAAGAATGAGGCCTTAGGGTTCAACAGAGAGAAGAGCGGAATCAAGATACAGGCTGCAGAAAGTTGTGTCTCAGTATTCATAAGTTGCTCCTTTTTTTTTCAGCCCAGGAATGGAAGAAACATTGAAGATGAGGCCCAGTAGGTAGTCCAAGATCAGCTTCATCACCCTTTTTCTCTTTCAAGCAAATTTTATGTGTCTGACTGGAGAGAGTGAGAGGCAGCCATGGGGAGGACCATTGTTCAAGAAATGAGGACCCTTCATAACCCCCAGGAACTCTGCCCCTTCCCTTTTCCTGCTCACAGGACCACAGAGACCCCCACCCCAGCCTAGCAGATGCAGGCTGTCTGGGCAATATTGCAGCCTTCACTTCCATGCCCAGCTCTTCGGAGGCATGTGGTCTCCAGCTGTCACTGCGATGGGGATGCAGGCTCATTGCAGCCCAGCTGGGCCCTCTGTGACTTCTCACCTGGCCCCCTTGATAAGGAAACACCACCCTGTCATGCTTGGATGGTGCACCAAGGAGTTCTGGAAGCTACCAGGCTCCCTACAGTGAGATCATTTCTAAGTACGGCCAGGCAAGGCTGTTTCCCCCTTCCAATGGTGCTCTGAGATCCAGAGTTTTAATCTGGAACGATTCCTTGGCCTTCAGGCCTGTGGAAGATGAAGTGAATGCTCAAGGGCAGCTCCGGGCCTCCTCTGTTTCTCATGGGGATGTGGTCCCAAGGAAATAAGGCTGCTGTCCAATGGATGCTGCCAGCAGGGGTCAGTAGTCAGGGTCCCAGCAGTCCAAGGCGTCTAAGAAAGCTGTTCCACTGCTGGGAAATGGCAGTACCCAGCAAACACAAAGCAAAGATGCTCCCTGAGGCCATAGTGCTTACACCAACCTAATGCCCTAATTAGATAGACCAAAAACAAATCTTGTAAGTACTGATTGTGGGGAAAGCAACCTGGGCATTTATGACACTTCAAACTGAGGTCTAATTGTAAAATATGTTACATAATAACCTGCCCATGGGCTTTGTCTTGATTCCGAGAATGATTTGAACTGAGCAGTGCATTTTTCTTTTCTTTTTTTAGGATTCAGTGGTGAAAGAAAGCTGGATCTGATGAGGCCTTCCAGGGATTATGTTGAACAAATATCAAATTTCTTTCCACGAACAATATTTAAAGATATTTCTCTTGCTCTATATTCACTAGATATTTAGCTTTATAAAAATAAAGTAGCATTGTGTGATACTGTGAAATATATATTTGGTCTTTGTCCATATTTCTTGACATACAAGTTCTAAAATTCTTGAAAATTTCAAAATGTTCAGTGTTTCTTTGTATGCTGATGATTGGCAGAGGCTGGCAGCCCCTAGGTGGCTTTGAGATGGGGCTGGTCACCAGGAAGACCAAGGCAGGACTAGAGGATTTGGACTTTCAGCCCAACCCCAATCTCCAGGGAGAAGAGACACTGAAAGTTCAGTTGGTCACCAATGGCCAATGTTTTAATCAGTCATGCCTATTGTGAAATTAAACAATTCAAACTTAAGGCTGTTAGAACTTTAAATGATTTGAGCCTTGAGAGAAATGTGACTGTGTGGCCTCAGTCGTGTAACATGCAGCTGCCACTTTGGCTTCTCCAATTATAGATGAACTCCCTTCCTTATTTTTTGTTCTGTAAAATGACTAAAAAAGACTGGATGACACCAGAGATAAGACCCCTCCGCTCTTAATTACTGACCTTTGTTAGAGATTAACTTCTTCCTTTATTGTCTTGCACTCAACTCAGACCAGATGACGCAGAAGACCCCATGACTATTACATCCTCAATGTGGGATGTTAAATACCCATCCCGAAAAAGAACACAGCCTATAACCAGTCCAGTTGTTGTAACTATGCACTAACCTTGTCCGGACAACGTTAAAATCCTATTGAACTTCCTGAAACCTTGCCAATATCAACAACCCTCAAACCTCTCCACTTCAGAATGCTGATTCCATTAGCCTGGAGTTGGCATTTCCAGGTGGCTATTCTCAAGCTTTGAGCTAAAATAGAATAAACTCTGTATTTAATCATATTTACTGAATCTCGTTATTTAAGGAGGACACTATGTAACCCCAAGCTTCCATAAAAACCCAAAAGGACAGGGTTTTAGATAGCTTTTAGATGGCTGGACACATGGAGGTTGCTGGAGGGTGGTATTTTCTCATCTGTATCCTTTGTAATACCTTTTATAATAAACTAGTAAATGTGTTTCCCTGAGTTCTATGAGCCACTCTAGCAAATTAGTCAAACTTCAGGAGGTGGTCATGGGAGCCCCAATTCATAGCCTGTTGGCCAGAAGCACAGGTAAAATAACCCGGGGCTTGTGGCTGGTGTTGGAAGTGGGGCATAGTCTTGGGGACTGAGCCCTGAACCTGTGGGATCTGACGCCATCTCCAGGTAGATGGTGTCGGAATTAAATTGGAGGGCACCAGCTGATATCTGCTGCAGAACTGATTGCTTGCTTGGAGGAAAACCCCACAGGCATTGGGTATGAGAGCAGAGGAAACACTGTTTTTTCCACTCACACTGACACGTTATTTTCATATCCTATTGGAAAGTCTTGGGGGATGGGAGGATCGGGTATATGATTTTTTTAATAATAGGACATATTTTTAAAATTCACCATCTTTGGCATTGGCTTAGCATGGCCTAGCTATCTATCTTGTTGTTATTGAGGACTGAGGGATGGGATTGGGATAGGCAGGATGGCTCCAGATCCTGACTCCTCTACTTTTAGCTGGGTGACCTTGGACAGGTCACTTCCCATTCCTGTGCCTCGGTTTCCTCTATGGTAAAATGGTGTTGGTATGGTAATCATAGTAACTTCTTCACATAGACTTTGTGAGGACTAAGAAGGTGGTCCATATGGGAGCATTTTGGCATGGTGGGACACAGTGAACAGTAAATAACCATTGGCTCTGATTATATTCAGATGGCTTTCATCACACAACGTGTACCAAAGGGACTCTAGGGCTGTTTCTTTATTGCTGACAGCATTAAGTTAAGGCACAGCAACCCCAGATTCTCTTAAGAAGCCACAAGGCTCATGTAATTGCCTGATGGGTTCTTCTTGCCCACTACACAGACAAAATAATTCACTGAAACAGGGGCATGGCAGTAGAGAAAGAGTTTAAGGCAGAGCAAGCCAAGTGGAAGCATCAGAGTTATTACTCAAATCAGTCTCCTCAAAGACTCAGAGTCTAGAGATTTTATGGATAATTTGGTGGGCAGGGGGCTAGGGAGTGGGTGCTGCTGGTTGGTTGAGGATGAAGTCATAGGGGTGTGGGAAAGGGTCCTCATGCTCTGAGTCAGCCTCTGGGTGGGGGACACAAGACCAGCTGAGTCATGAGTCATGGGTCTGGATGGGGTCAGTCAATTGCCAGAATGCAAAAGTCTGAAAAACATTTCAATCTGAGGTTCTACAATAGTGTCGTTATCTGTAGGAGCAATTGGGGAAGTCACAAATCTTGAGACCTCTGGCCACATGACTCCTGAGCAATAAGAAATTACAGAAATGACATTGACATTTTCGCAGAATTCATGCCCCTCATATAATCCTAATCTCATGGCAAGAAGGAGGTTAGTTTTAAGGAGAAACTATTATCCTTGCTTCAAAGTTAAACTATGGTCCTGGTGCAGTGGCTCATGCCTGTAATCCCAGCACTCTGGGAGGCCGAGGCAGGAGGATCACCTGAGGTCAGGAGTTTGAGACCAGCCTGGCCAATGTGGCAAAACCCTGCCTCTACTAAAAAATACAAAAATTAGCTGGGCGTGGTGGCACGCACCTGTAATCACAGCTACTTGGGAGGCTGAGGCATGAGAATTGCTTGAACCCAGGAGGTGGAGGTTGCAGTGAGCCAAGATTGCGCCATTGAACTCCAGCCTGGGCAACAGAACGAGACTCCATCTCAAAACAAGAATAACAACAACAACAAAAAGTTAAACTATGAACTAAATTCCTCCCACGGCTAGATTGGCCTATGCGTAGCAAAGAGTGAAGACAGCTAGCCTGTGGGGTTAGAAGCAAGATGGAGTCATCCATGCAAGATTTGTCTTACTGTCATAATCCTTGCAAAGGTGGTTTCACTCAGCCTTTCTTCTCAGCCTCCTCCTCTGTAAATATCTGTGTTTGCATTTGACTAGAAGGAGTCTAGAAGACCTCCCAAGATTATCCTATGGAGGAGATGAGGCAGAAGATGTGTGTTCAATGCAAGGAGGGACCCTAATGACATGACCTAAATCACACTGGCTATTCCTTCTTTTAACTTCTCAAGAGCTTCATCAAACTTAAAAGTCCTCCTTTTAAAATGTCAGTTAGAATTTGTTTTTGTATTTTAGCGTTTGTAAGCCTCTGTATTAAGTCCGAAGCCTATTTCTTGAATAGGATGTTTTAAGACCCCTCAGTAGATCTTGCCACACAGAGATGAGATGAGCAAACCTAGTTCTGCCTGGTATTTTTCTGAGTGCACGGGTGCAGGGGAGGGACCAAGCCACTGGCCCAGTGCTCAGCATTTGTAGGGAGCAGGTCGGGTTTGATGAACAGAGTACAGTGTTGGTGTGAGAAGCTGCTAACATCAGTCTTCAGAAACAATCTCAGGATTTGGGAGTTGACCAAAGATAGTAGTTTCTACCCCAAACAGAGCCTCAGAATCCTCTTTGCTAAACCAGTAATAATAAATCCCACCTCAATGGAGGGTCCATACCCTTGACACAAGGCCAGGGGGATGATGGTTAAAGAGAGTGGGGCAGGCCTAGGAGACCCCTGTTTCTCAGGAACACTATGTGAGCTAAAAACTCTTCCTTGGCAAAGCCTGTCTGTGATGCTAGGGAGCTGGAGACAGACTCTGCCTTCCCAGACATCACCTCACTCTTTTTTCCCACAGCAGTGTCCAGCAACACTCTACCAGTGCCAATGAATCCAGAGATGAAATGAGACTCTAATTGACAGTTTCTACACTGTGAGAACTGGGCCTCCCCACCTATGGAGCTGGGCTGCTTTTGGCCTGGTTTCCCATGAAAAGGAGCCTTATAAGGTTACTCTACCCTAGTGTCCTTTCTAATAAGTTTGAATCCAAGGCCCAGATTCAGTCACTGGATGGAGGATGCTCGCCTACTTAGTGCTGGCACTCACTTTACCAGGAGAGGCCACACCCCAGCCCATTGCACAGGGTCACGTTGTGGCCTTCAACAAGATCAGGGGTCCATGTCTGGCCAGGACAGAGCTGTGAAAGGGACTTCTTAGAACCTTGGAGTGGGCAGAGGTCTCATTGATCATTCAGCCCTGCCTTCTCATGGGCTGCCAAGGAAAAGAGCCCTGAAAGGCAAAGTGGCCTGCCCAAGGCCACACAGCAACAGGCAGCATGTCTAAGATGAAGCCTGGGTCTTTTGTTTAAAAACCTAGTTGCTTTTTCCACTGTAATATTACTATCCTGTATTATTTAATAGTTTTATAGGACTGTCATAACAAATAAACAAGACTTGGTGGCTTAAAACAAAAGCGATTTACTCTCTTACAGCTCTGGAGCCCAGAAGTCCAAAATCAAGGTGTTGGCAGGGCCACACTGTCCCTCGAAAACATCAAGGGAGAGTCTGGCCTTGCCTCGTCTACCTCTGGTGGCTCCAGCTGCTCCTCTCAACTCGTGGCAGCATCACTCCAGTCTCTGCCTTGCCCTCCCATGGCCTTCTCTCTGTGTCTGTGTCTGTGTCTTCTCCCTTTCACATCTCTTATAAAGACACTCATCACTGGATTTAGGCTCTGGCCTGATCTAGGATATTATCATCTTCAGGTCTCTCACTTAATTACCTTCGTAAAGATCTTTTTCTCAAAGAAGATCCATTCATAGATTCCATGGATTAGGTTGTGGACATATCTTTTGGGGGCCACAGCTCAAGCTGCATCTTTAGGATTACTCCTTGTTGTTCCCCTCTGGAGCTCAGAGTCCTTTTGCTGGCCCCTGTTCCAAGTGTCCTCTGCAGTCCCACATCCGGAGCCCATTCTTCCACTCTCTCTTTTCAAATAGGTCCGCTCAGTATCTCACTGGTGCAAACACTTATTCATTCATTCATTCTTTCAATATTTGAATGCCTGCTAGATACAAAGTGTATTAATCATTTATTTTTACTCTGTATTTTTGATGCTTTGCCATCTTGGGGACTTGCTGACCCTGGAGAGACTGCCCCTCCCAGGGATAATCCCTGGAAATGGCAAGCACCTTGCTTATGAATGTGCCTTTCAAATGCACACTAACCAATCCAGAGCCCATGTCCCCAACCACCTTCTCTATAAGGCTCTCACCCAGGGCCAGGTGCCAGACAACTAGGGACAGCCTCTATGCCCCTGAATTTGCTGAAGTTATTTAAACTAGCCAATGTCAAGCCCTCTTAAACTGGCTGGCTTGCTCCTTCCCATGAAAATCACAATAAAGGCTCTTGGCCATGTTTTCCTCCATTACTTCTGCCTCCCAACTGACCCTAGGACTTCCCCAAGTCCCCTCTACCCCTCTGCATGGCATGGTGGGCCCCTTCCTCTTGAGAACTTTGAGCCTGAGTATAACAATCTTTTCAATGGCAGTTGCCTCCTGATCTGTTGGCCTCACCATATCCGAATACTAATAAAACCTATAGTTTAAACCACCAATCCTGGCTGGGATAATGGAACTGCATAAGGTGTAGGTTGTGCTGTCACTCAAGCCAGTCCCGAGTGAAGCCCAATAGCTTATCGTGGGTGAGTGGGTACTCTTCTCCCTGTTATTCCCCAGAATCAGAAGGAGAAGAGACCTTGGAGACATTGGAGGACTTTGTAAATCCAAACCCATGGCCAGAGCAGATGGGCCCCCCAGTTCTGGTGGGGGTTATCCATGTTCTTCTTCAACATCTCTGGGGCAGGAGCTCACAGCTTCATGGGGCATTCACTTTGTCTTCAGACAGATAAAAACAGTGGGACTGTTCCCAGGAACCAAACTGACCTTTAGTGATCACTTTTCTTATTTCCATTTATTGAAAAATGTATTGTTTAATAATTCATTCTAGAAATTGTATCTTAACAGGGTACCCCTGGGTTCTTGGAAGAGATGTTTTGAGGTACAGGCCCTGGCCACTCCTTGCCCCAGACATCACACCCCAGAGAACCTCTCCCATATTCCAAAACGAAGACTGGCCTTGAACCAGCCTTAACACGAATTTTCAAAGGCACCTTGTTTGGGGGCAATTTCTACCTCCTCTGAATCTCCCCATAGACTGAGGATCCCTCCTGAAAGCAGCTCAAGGAGAACGTATAGAATTATATTCATACCAATGCAGTTAATACACAATTTTTCAGGAGTTGTGTGGCACAGGGAAGAAGAGTGGACCTTTTGCTCCCTCCCATTCCTGCTGTGCAACTCATCTGTATGTGACCTTAGGCTCTGGAGTCGGAAAGCCTGGGTTTAATCCTGGCTGTCAGACCTTGGTTAAATTTTCAACCTCCTTCTCCATCCTCAATTTCTATCACTTGTAATACTGTAAGAAGATTGCTACTGTTGGGAGACAATCCTCTATGGGTTTCCTGCATTTCTGCACACCTTGGGAGCAGAGACACTGATTTCCCTTTCTTCCTGTCTTTTCAAGGTTGTTTGTGCAGAGAATTGCCTTGGAAGATACAGACAATGTCTCCTTCCAGAGTAAAGGGCAAGGCATATTTACTGCCCATTAATCTGTTTGTTTGTTTGCTCGCTTGCTTTTTCTCTAGCTGCGTTTAAGATTTTTCTCTGATCTTTGGTTTTCAAAAGTTTTACTTCTATGGCTAATCTGTCTGGGCGTGACTTTGCTTGGAGTTCATAGGATGTCATATCTCTATTGCCTGATATATTTTGTCAGCTTTAAAAAATTCTCTGCCATTATTTCTGTAAATATTGATATTGATACTTTCTTTTTCTCCAATTACATTTATATTAGTTCTGTTCACTGCAATCTATCCATCCCCCACACTGTCTTGACTGCCTGGTGCTCATGATGAATATTTTCCTTTGATTTAACTTCCAGTTCACTAATTTCTATTTGGCTGTATATCTTATATTACTAGGACCACTGCTGTATTACTAATTTTGCTATTATATTTTTCTGTTACAGAATTTCTATTTGTTCATTTTATAATTTCTAGATTTCTGATTAAATTTTTCATCTTTTTTTCTCCTTTAACATAGAAAATTTTAGAGTCAGTTTCTGATAACTATATTATCTCCATCTCATTTATGTCAGTTTCTACTGTCTGCTATTTCTCTTATTTTTATTTATTATCCACTCTTACTCTTACAGTTCTTTAGGGTCCTAACTGAAATAGTTGAGAGTTTGTCATGGGTTCTCCCATTGCACACACTAGTCTGTAATTTTTACCCCTTCATCCCATGGGAGTGACATAAATTGCTGCCCAATTTTCAATATCACAACTACTTTTCCTGAAATCTTCAGACATCCCTAGAAGAGATGTACCAGCCCCAAAGACTCGGCTTTCCTTTCTGGGCCTATATGTCAATCAGATCTTGGTCCCATAAGTCTCCACTGCCACATTACTCTTTGTAATATCTAGGTACCAGAGAAAGTCTTGCAAAGTCCTTGAAGGCACAAGGACAAGAGTGTTCACATGGTTTGTTAAGCAAAAGGGTTATTAAGAACTCAGATGTCCTTTAACAAGACAAGAGATGAATAAATGCTGTGTTATTCATAGAAATCAAATGTATAGAGTAGTGACAATGAATGAACCATTTGCATGAAGTTAGACGAGCCTTAAAATCATGATGTTGAGTGAAACAAGCAGGATGCTTTTTACAGCAAGATAACATTTATATAAGTTCAGCACCTTGGTGAGGATAAACATCAAATTTAGGAGATCAGTGACTCCTGGGAAGACTGATACAAACCAGAAAGGCTACAGAGGGGCTTCAACTATACTGGAAATTTTTTTTCTTAAAGTGGTGGCAGGTACCTTGGATGTCAATTGTGTAAAAAGTAAGAATTTATATATGAAGAAAATAATTTATAAGAAAACACAGGAAGAGGCCAGGCACGGTGGCTCATGACTGTAATCCCAGCACTTTGGGAGGCTGAGGCGGGAGGATCACAAGGTCAGGAGATCGAGACCATCCTGGCCAACGTGGTGAAACCCTGTCTCTACTAAAATACAAAAAAAAAAAAATTATCCAGGCATGCGCCTGTAGTCCCAGCTACTCAGGAGGCTGAGGCAGGGGAATCGCTTGAACCTGGGAGGTGGAGGTTGCAGTGAGCTGAGATCGCACCACTGCACTCCAGCCTGGTGACAGAGCGAGACTCTGTCTCAAAAAAAAAAAAAGAAAACACAGGAAGAGATTGTGTCCAGGAGAATCAAGGAGAGAGGTGGTTCTTGAAGTGGTCCTTTGAGGATCCATAGGATGCCCATCTATGGTGATGGAAGAGAGAGTGTCCCTAACAAAGAGGATAACACAAAGATAGGGAAGTGGCACTATACAGGGTATGCTCCAGGGACAAGTATACTGGTCTGACCAGAGGGCAGAGGGCATAGCAGAGGGGTCTTCATGCCTTCTTCCACTACAAACCTCCTTCACCCTAACCCAAACACACATACACACACACAACCAAGAAACAGACTGACTGGGTTCAAATTCCACCTTTGCCTCTTACTATCATCATTCTGTGCCTCAGTTTCCTCACCATTAATATGAGCATAATAAGAGAAACCACCTTGCAGGGTTGATTTTTGTTGTTGTTGTTCGTTTGTTTGTTTGTTTGAGATGGAATCTCCCTCTGTCACCCAGGTTGGAGTGCAATGGCACAATTTCAGCTCACTGCAAACTCTGCCTCCCAGGTTCAAGCAATTCTTGTGCCTCAGCCTCCCAAATAGCTAGGATTACAGGTGCATGCCACCACTCCTGGCTAATTTTTGTATTTTTAGTAGAGATGGGTTTTCGCCATGATGGCCAGGCTGGTCTCGAACTCCTGACCTCAAGTGCTCTGCCCGCCTTGGCCTCCCAAAGTGCTGGGATTACAAGCAGGAGCCACCGTGCCTGGCCAAATGAGCTAATTCTTGTTAATAATTTATTTAGACAGTGCTTGGCACCTCCTAAGTACTCAGTGCTCATTGTTGATTTTCATTATTATTATTACAGCATGAGCAAATGTTCTACTCAGGGACAATCTTCTACCTGTAGTAAGCAGGTTGCTGTGACTGGGCTCTGAAATCTCTCCCTCTTCTGCATCAAATTAGTGATTAGCCTTTGAGTACACTAGAGGTCTAAGAGCTGGGTTAGGGGCTCAGCTCTGTCATTGACAACTACCTGTGTGATCTTGGAAAACTTACTTAACTTTTCTGAGCCTCAGTTTACTCATCTGTAAGATGGGGCAAATGATAGCATCTACAACATAAGCCTGATATTATGATTAAACATGTTGCCTGTGCAATATGGCAAAACCTTGTCTCTACCAAAAATATAAAAAACTAGCCAGGGGCCAGGTCATGGTGGCTCACGCCTGTAATCCCAGCACTTTGGGTGGCCAAGGCAGGTGGATCACTTGAGGTCAGGAGTTTGAGACCAGCCAAGTCAACATGGCAAAACCTTGTCTCTACTAAAAATACAAAAATTACCTGGGCTTTGTGGTGCATGCCGCAATCCCATCTACCCAGGAGGCTGAGGCAGGAGAATCGCTTGAACCCAGGAGATGGAGGTTGCAGTGAGCCAAGATCATGCCACTGCATTCCAGCCTGGGCAACAGAGTGAGACTCTGTTTCAATTTAAAAAAAAAGAAGAAGAAGAAACTAGCCAGGCGTGGCGCCATGTGCCTGTAGTCTGTTCTACTTGGGAGGCTGAGGTGGGAGGATTGCTTGAGCCTCAGAGGCAGAGGTTGCAGTGAGCTGAGATCATGCCACTGCACTCCAGCCTCGGTGACAGTGAGACCCCAACTCAAAAAAAAAAAAAAGAATGAATATAAGTTCTCAGTAAGTGTGCTGTATGTGCAATTACAAACATATCCACACACACTAATGCCGCATCACAGATATTTTGCCTTGAGTTTCCATTTCTGGAAGCCTGGAATAGTTATGTTTCCTGAGTATGTACTCTTTCAGGCATGGTAGTGGGTACTCCCACAGTCCTGCTAAGTAGTATTAGAGTAATGCTAGTTACTGCCACATAAACCATGAGATCTGAGTGACTTACCCCAGCAGAGTTTTATTTCCATCACTCACATGGTCTCCTGCAGGCATGTCTGGTTATTCAGAGTCTGGATCCTTCTGCCTTATAGGCTCTGCTCAAGATTGGCTCCAGGGCCAGTGAGTTCTCAACAGTGTAGTGAGAGGATAGGGAGAGAAGGCAGTATGTCAGGAAAGAGAATTTCTATGGACCAGGCTATTTTTTTTTTTTTTTTTTGAGACGGAGTTTCTCTCCGTTGCCCAGGCTGGAGTGCAGTGACACGATTCGGCTCACTGCAAGCTCTGCCTCCTGGATTCACACCATTCTCCTGCCTCAGCCTCCCCAGTAGCTGGGACTACAGACGCCCGCCACCACGCCTGGCTAATTTTTCTGTATTTTTAGTAGAGACAGGGTTTCACCGTGTTAGCCAGGATGGTCTCGATCTCCTGACATCGTGATCTACCCACCTCGGCCTCCCAAAGTGCTGGGATTACAGGCGTGAGCCACCACATCCGGCCCAGGCTATTTCTTTTACTAGAACACAGTCTATAACTGTGTCTGACTGCAAATGAAGCTGGAAATGCAATCTACCTGTGTGACCTGGAAGGAGAGGCCAAGCTGGCAGAGAGCTAGCTAGTCTCTGCTGTAGTGGGAGTATTATCCCTAGGGGATAAGAAATCTTAGACTTACAGAAATTACATACTTGCTCAAGGTCTTTCACTAAATGGCAGAGTCAGACTTCAAACCCAGGTCCCACTGGCTTCAATATCTGTAGCTTGTCACCATCTAAGCTGTCTCACAGGGGCACAGAATTATCCCTGGGCTGAGTCCCGCAATCAGATGGGATGAAGGTACAGGGCCCAGTTGGATGTGAAATCACAAAGCCACAATCCCTATCATCAGAGTCATTGAATTGTTAGGTGGAGGTGATGTACCTTGTGTAAGAGCACAACAAGGCAAGGGTTTGCCACAGCCAGGTAAAGCCAGGGTGGCATCTAATGTGGGGCTGAAAAGAAGTCCCAGTGGGCAGCATATTTGGGGGAGGTTAAGAAGGGACCCTCCTCCACTTTTGCTGAGGGTTTCAGATTATTTCCCTACCCAACATTCTTCAGAAAGTCTGGCTTCCTGAGTCTTTCTAAAGGTATTTACCTTGTGTAAGATAAGAAAGAAAACAAGCATGCATGCCCTGAACCAACCCCTTTGGAGAGTTGGAAAAATTCCACTTGTGAACAATTTTATTTGTACTCAATTCTCTGATTCCTTTGCTAACTCTTGGTATTTCAGTTTACTATTAAGCCCATCAACTTGCCTCAAGAGATTAAGTCACAATCAATAGGAACTGAAGGAAAAGATGGTAGGAGTTATTTTATTTAGATAGTTCATCTCTGTCTTCTGGATGTTGGTGAAATGGAATTTAGGAAATTGTTCTAATAAAGCAAAGCTCAGGGGAGGAAGCTTTCAGCACATGGCAGCAACACAGATGCTGGGTCACTGGGCCGCCAGCTGGTAGACCACGCGGCTGCAGACTCAGAAGGGGAGGTGGCTGAGGGAAGCACTCCCATTTGTAAGCAGGACCTTAAGCAGGTGAAGAAGAGTGAGAAGTGTTTGTGGGAAGGAGAGCTACAGGAGAGTAATTTTACCCTCGATTGGCACTTACATGATGGACAGGATTGTAAAGTGTACCTTTTTATCAGGGGATAAGATCCCCTCTTATAACTGAACCCAGGTTTGGCCGCTCGCCACTCAAAAGGCAAACTCAAGAGACAAGAGTTGGTGAGAGGAAAAGCAGGTTTGTTCAGGAGCTGACAACCTGAAGAGATGGTGGGCTAGTGTCACAAAGACCATCTCAAGTTTCCCAAGCTGGCCAGAGGGTTTTTATAGGAGGGAGGATATGGAGAAGCTTTGTGCATGGGTTGACTATATGTGGGTCAGTATATCTAGTCTTGATGACCATCTTGAGCAATGAACCGTCTGCTGGTCTGGCTGGCACCAGCTTGACTGCAACAGGAATACACATTAACTGCTCAGCATTCTTCCCAAGGTGAGATATTCTGCAACCTTAATTCTGTGCTTAGTTTTTCAAGGCCAGTTTTTGGAGTTCTTTAAGCAGAGCATATAAATAGCTTTGCTATTCATAAAATGAAGAGGAAAAAAAAGGAAAACAAAGAAGAATAATTGTTTTTCAAGATAGGGTGGTAGTTTCTGTTACACTCTCACTCCGCTAGAAAACAGAGACATTTTGGTAATGAGATTTGTATTATCCAGAACAAAAGATCCAATAATATGGTGGGTTAAAGAACAAATAAGTTTTTCTCTCTAGCTTGCAGTCTGTATGTAGATGGCCCAGATTGGTGGAGCAGCTCTATTCTTTAAGCCGTTCAGGAGAGCAGGGCCCTGGAAATCATTGCCTCACTCTACCCTGTATCATGAAGGCTGGGTTTCCACCAGTCTGTGCTCCAGCTTGGTGACATGCATGCAGAATGACTTAAGGCCCAGGCCTTGAAAGGGCAAACATTACTTCCCTCCCATGGAGATAAATCAGCAATAGGGTCACACTCAGGAAGTGTCCTAACTGGGTGGCCATGTCCAACTACAACCCTGTTGCCTTAGATTTAGAAGAAGAGAGAGGGTCTAAAGGAGATGGGTTCATGGCCCAGTGACTGTAAGAAGAGTTGGAGATGTGGAGCTGCCCTGGGAAGCCAAAGTGAGGGGCTGTGTCTGCTGAAGAGATCCTGGGTGAGGGAAGACAAACTAAGCAGTCAAGAGATTCCATTCCTGAACATTCTTGTGACTATTCTCCGAAAGGGTGAGAAGGGATGACTGGAACTTTCAGTAAAGAACTGTTTTGAAATTATTTTGGGGCTGGGCATGGTGGCTCACACCTGTAATCCCAGCACTTTGGGAGGCCGAGGCAGGTGGATCACTTGAGATCAAGCGTTCAAGACCAACCTGGCCAACATGGTGAAGCCTGTCTCTACTAAAAATACAAAATTAGCCAGGCATAGTGGCACACACACCTGTAATCCCAGCTACTTGGGAGGCTGAGACAGGAGAATTGCTTGAACCTGGGAGGCGGAGCTTGCAGTGAGCCAAGATCACGCCACTGCACTCCAGACTGCGCGACAGAGCAAGACTCTCCAAAAAAAAAAAAAAAGAAATTATTCTTGATCCTGAGTATGTGAGTGACTCATTTACAATTACATGAACTGTTCTTCCGTCTTCCACCATGGGGAGGGGCCATGGTGCTGGGGCTGCGCTTCTCTACTCCAGCTTAGTGAGGAGGAGATTCTCAGCAAGGGCTCTGTGGACCCACACGAGGTCGATTTCCCTGAACGTTCTCCTCTGGTAACCTAGACTTTACTCTTGCCCCCGTACTACTCGTATAATTTCTGATCTGAGTCTGTCTTCATTTCCACACATTTAAACACCATGAGGGCAGGAATCCCAACGTTCTAGGTCAGTGCAGTGCACAGAGTTCTTAACACATGCTCAACACATAGTAGGTACTCAGTTAATAACTACAAATTGAATTTCTATGAGGCCCTCTGAATTGCTGCCAAACAGGAGAATGGCTTGGATTGACACGAAGGAAGAGGCTGAGGTCTTATGCAGGTCTTATGCAGGAAACACTCCAGGGTTTCAGAGCCACCTCAGGGCTTTAGGCAGAGCATCTGACCTTCCCAGGTCTTGCCTGCAGCAGACTCAGCACTCCAACCAGCCAAGCACTACTGGGAGCTCAGGCTGACAGCCCAGCCTAGCACCTGAGTCACTGGGATTCCTCAGAACAGACCCATCCCATGGACCCATGCAGTGCCCACGAACACGGTCACTGCACATGCTGCCAGCTGCTACGGCCTGCACTGAAGAGGAGATTAGCACTATCCCCTCCCCACCCTGGAATCCCTATCCACCCTCCCACCGCCTCCCTCTCCTCCACCACCCTCAGATCAGGAGGAAGTCTCTCTTCATCTCTGCAGTCTCATCTCTGGACACTGCGTCTCATTTCCTTTCTGTTCCCTGAGAACTTCCCTGGGAAGGAGATGGGGTTGGAGAGGCTGCCCAGTCTCTACCACACCTTGAAGGGAGATCTTCCTCACTGCCTTAAGTATTTCCAGATCAAGTGTCCTTCATCCTCCCCTAAATGTCCACTTCTTGGGGGCTCATTTCTTCTGGTTAATCCATCCTACATCCCCTCAGTTCTGTCATCTAAGGCCATCCTGGCTGTACTCCCTCTTTTCTTGAGTGATGTGGCAATTTGTTCACGGTCCACCTCTCTTCATGGCCTGTGCCATCCAGGTTAGCCTCCATGACCTGTGGATACACCTCTGATACTATGGCCTTGGACTTCTTGATCTCACCAATAGAGCCTTTCCCCGCTTCATTCTGGTACCCACTGGCTGTCTTCCCAACCTCAGGGCAAGCCTCTTGAAGACAGGGGCTGCACCTAATTCATCTTTAAGTTCTGAGGACTTAGAACAGTGTTCACCTGAGAGAAGGCTCTTGATAAATGTTTGAGTGAATGGATGAATAGATGAACATGTGAAAATGAGTGCCTAGTCCACATTCGAGGTATTGAAGTAATATACTAGCTTAATAATTCAGACAGACAAATTAATCAAGTCATAAAGCTCCTAACAATAGTTTGCCTTAAGTATGTGTGCAAGTTCCTCAGGTGGAGAATATTAGTATTATTAATAATTTTAGCGATGGTAATTTGATTAAATGAAAGATTACTGTGCTTGATTCATGGCTGAGAATATTTGGTCTTTATGTGGGATTGTTACAAGAAATACCTAATGATGTGGGGAGGTGGGGTAGGGACTTATTTGAAATGAAATAAGAAGCAATCCTTGAAAATTTAGTCTTTAGAACAGAGCTGAGAGTCATCTGCCACAGTTAGAAATGGTTTGAGGATATGCTTCTGTGGCTCACAAATGGTTGCACCAAGAATCAAGTCCTGTGGGTTCCTTTCTGTCACCTGAGATCTAAAACTGGTAATCAAGTCAAATAAATATATTAAAAACAAACATACTAACAAAAAACATCACCACTAACCCCTTCTTCAAATACAGGACAAAGGGGTTATTTTTCTTCTGCTAAAGTTTAAGCAGACAAAGGCCATTTAGGGATGAGGCTGTAGTCCAAAAAAACAACATTTTTCAATTTAATGTAGCTAGGGTGGGCACTCTGGAGGAGCCAGAAAATTGCTGCTTGGTAAGTGGGAGAAGATTTGTTTGTTTGCTTTTTCCTACTTTTATTTTCAATTCAGGGATATATGTGCAAGTTTGTTACATGGGTACATTGCACGATGCTGAGGTTTAGGGTACAAATGATTCACTCACCTAAGTATTGAGCAGTGTTCCCGATAGTTAGTTTTTTCAACCCTTGCCCCCTCCTTCCCTCTTCTAGTAGTCCCCAGTTTCTATTGTTACCATCTTTATATCCATGTATACCCAATGTTTAGTTCCCACTTATAAGTGAGAACATGTGACATTTGGTTTCTGTTCCTGCATTAAATTGCTTAGGATAATGGTCTCCAACTGCATCCGTGTTGCTGCAAAGGACATGATTTCATTCTTTTTTATAGCTGCATAGTATTCCATGGGGCATACATACCACCTTTTTTTTATCCAGTCCACCCTTAATGGACACCTAGGTTGATTTCACGTTTTTGTTATTGTGAATAGCACAGCAATGAACATGTGAGTGCATGTGTCTTTTTGGTAGAATGATTTGTTTTCTTTAGGATATATACCCAGTAATGAGATTGCTGGGCTGAATGATAGCTGTTTTTAGTTCTTTGAGAAATCTCCAACTGCTTTCCACAGTGGCTGTGCTAATGTACATTCTCACCAACAATTTGTAAGTGTTCCCTTTTCTCCACAGCTTCACCAGCATCTGCTGTTTTTTGACTTTTTAATAATAGCCATTCTGACTGGTGTGAGATGGTGTCTCATTGTGGTTTTGATTTGCATTTTTCTGATTAAGGATGTTGAGCATTTTCTCAGATGTTTGTTGGCCACTCGTATGTCTTCTTTTGAGAAGTGTCTGTTCATGTCTTTTGCCCATTTTTTAATGGAGTTATTTGGTTTTTACTCATTCCATTGTTTAAGTTCCTTGTAGATTCTGGATATTAGACCTTCATTGGATGCATAGTTTGTGAATATTTTCTCCCATTTTGTGGGTTGTCTGTTTACTCCCAATAGTTTCTTTTGCTATGCAGAAGCTCTTTAGTTTAATTAGGTTGAGAGGGAGGAGATTTGTAAAGTCTAAGCTCCCACTGTAGACTCTGATTGAGGGTCTGAAGAAGCAGGATCAGTCCTGTGCCAGCTGCTGTTTCTTGTCACTCAAGAGGGAGTTGTTATGGCATTTTCCAGCTGCAGCATGACCTTGGGAGAAAATGGCATTATTTGTGATCATTGCAACTGGCTTTATCTGAGCCTATTCTCCCAGCTGGATTAACGGCTGAGCTGCTCTTACTTTTTTCAGTTCAAACTTCTTTTTACTCTTTAAGTCCTGCATAGTTTTAACTCTTTCAGTTAACTGGATTTAGTCAAATGTTAAATATTCCCTTTCAAATCATGTTAAAGCTAAATGTCCACATCTCCCTCTGCCACTGATCATGAACCACACACAGGATCAAAGGCCCTGCGTATCCTAATTAGGCCATATGCAGAATAACTGTAGGGTGGTTCATTAAAACAATTGGAACGAATAAAATTCCAACTAAAATCAGAGGTGACTTATTTCCAGCAAAAGTGGAACACCTACCTGCTGCATCATGACCAGCTTCTCATGACTGATTATCTCTAATAAGGTCCTAAAGCATTCACTAAGAGAAAGTACTTATGTGCTCTTTCTTTCTCATTTCTTAAAAAAGAACCTAGAAAATCACTTAGAAGTTGGGCATATTAGAAGCCCAACTATTAGAGCTCATAAAAAAAAAACACTCTACTTCAGTGGTTCTCCAATGTTAACCTGCTTCTGAAACATCTACAGAGGTCACTAAAACCCAGAGTGCTACATTCCACTCATAAAGATTCTGATTCATTAGCTCTGGAGTGGGACTTAAGAATCTGCATTAAAAACAAGGTCCTAGGTGATGCTGATGATGCTTGTGAAAGCACCACACTCTGGGAATCACTTCTCTAACTCAGATCCTCTTCAGTATTTCTAACTTCCACACTTTTGCACTTTCTGTTTTCCTGCTTGAAATGCCCTCCCTGCTCTCCACTTAATGATTGCTTGCCTTAATTTAAATCACACATGACACATCCTTCTTTGGCCATTGTATTAGTTATCTATTGCTACATAACAAAAGGCCTCAGGGAAGGACCTCCAGAATGGTAGTGTGAGGTAACCAGGAAAACCACTCCTTGAGAAACGTCTATTTATTTGGTCAAAATCAGCAAACACAAACACTTAAAATCTCTGGAGATTGAGCAAAAAGTTTATAATAAATTGAGAAGAATTAATTCCGTAAAATCTGTGGAAACTCAGTAAGAACAGTGGAAGCTGATGGTATTCAAGCTAGGGACTGCATCTATCTCCCTACAGCCCTGTCTTGTGGGAGAACTCTTCCAGTGGGCCCAGCAACCAAGTGGCAGTTCACATAACCCTAGCTCCCTTGGTAGGAAGAGCTCTTCAAGGAGGTTTTGGTAGATAGTGAACTTTAGCAGATTGCATTTTTTAAAAATCGTGCTGCAGAAAGCCTATCTCAAGTGGGTGGTGGTGGCTGGGTGGCACCTATTCCTTTACCCTCAATTCCCACTATGTAGAGAGGATCCTGGCAGGGCAGCTGTTGAAAAGAGTAACCTCATTTCCAACTGAGCTCTCTAATGTGGCAGAGCTGCTCTGGTGGGCTCAGCAGATGCATGGCAACTGCTATCACTCCCAGATTCCTAGGGCTGGAGATCTATTATGAGCAGATTTGGAACAACCAGTGAATTCCAGCACATCTCATTTTCCAGGACTCTGTGCAGCAGAAGATCTAATAGCAACAGCATGGGCACTAGTTTTCAGCACTCTCTCCTCAACCCGTGACACACATCTTCTCCATAGGGAGGACCCAGATTGGAAAGGCAGAGTTCTCCACCCCTCTCTCTAGCTCCTGCTTTATAACATGTATAGCACAGAGGGAAGTCAGAGAAAGCCTCAAAGACAGGCAACATCTTGCCTTTTCTAAAGGGACTTACTTCAATTGGATCAGACTATGAAGCAATTTAAGCTCCAGGGTGTTGTCAAAAACAATAATCACATAGTCAGTTTAATGAGATCCACCAGAAACTTAATGAGAAGATCAGGAAAGGAGACAGTAAAACATACTACATTTGAAACCACAGTAATCCCCAGTGGACAGAAAGACTATATTACATGCCCAAGTAACACCTGAGGAATTACATCAGACTCCATAGATTGTGGAAAAACTGGACTTCATTGAACTAGGCCAGCCAAGTTGCTGAACAAGTAAGCAAGAACAATTCGGGTTGGGGGAGAGATCAATATCCAAAGTGGCTACAATGTAACATCTGAACTGTCCCGTTTTCAATAAAAATTATAAGAAATGCAAAGAAACAGAAAAATGTGACACATACACAAGGGGAAAGAAAACAGGAAATAAAAACTGTCTTTGAGAAGGTCCAGACGCTGGAACTGGCAGATAAAGAACTTCAAAATAACAATTATAAATATGTTCAAAGATATAAAGGAAAGCATGCTTAAAGATTAAAGGAAGGTCTGAGGCCAATGTCTCACTAAATAGGAAATATCGCCCAGGCATGGTGGGTCAGGTCTGTAATCCCAGCACTTTGGGAGGCTGAGGTGGGCAGATCACAAGGTCAAGAGATCAAAACCATCCTGGCCAACATGTTGAAACCTCATCTCTACTAAAAATACAAAACTTAGCTGGGCGTGGTGGTGTACACCTGTAGTGCCAGCTACTTGGGAGGCTGAGGCAGGATAATCACTTGAACCTGGGAGGTGAAGGTTGCAGCGAGACAAGATTGCGCCACTGCGCTCCAGCCTGGCAACACAGCAAGACTCCATCTAAAATATATACATATGTATATATATGTATATGTATATACATATATGCCAATATAGATTTTTTCTTGAAACCCAAATAGAAATCCTGGAGTTCAAAAGTACAATAACTGAAATGAAAAAATCATCAGAGGGGCTCAAAAATAGATTTATGCTGACAGAAAAAAGAATCAGTGCACTTTAAGATTGATTGACATAAATTATGTGATTTGGTGAATAAAGGCAATAAAATCGTGACAAAAAATAAAAAGACTAAAAGAAATATAGGAGACCATTAAACACATCAACATATGTGAAATGGAAGTACCAAAAGAGTGGGGGGAAAGGAGGAGAAAAAATGTTCACAAAAATATTGCCAAAAATTTCCAAAATTTAATGGAAAGCATTAACCTACACAGCTAAGCAGCTCAATGAACTCCAAGTGAGATAAAAATCAAGGATCTCTATCAACCCTGTTAAGCATATTCACAATGTTAAAACACAAAGACAAAGAAGAAAACCTTGAAATTAGCAAGAAAAAAAAACGAATCATCATGTACAAAGAAAACCCAAGATTGTCAGCTGATTCATTGTCGAAACAATGAAGGTGGAAGCCAATGGGATGGCATAGTCAAAGTGCTGAAAGAAAAATCAGGTCTAAGAGAACTACAAAACACTGCTGAAAGAAATCATCAATGACACAAACAAATGGAAATACATCCCATGCTCATGGATGGGTAGAATCAATATTGTGAAGATGACCATACTGTCAAAAGCAATCTACAGACTGAATACAATTCCCATCAAAATACTATCGTCATTCTTCACAGAACTAGAAAAAAAAACTCTAAAATTCATATAGAACCAAAAAAGAGAACCTGCATAGCCAAAGCAAGACTAAGCAAAAAGAACAAATCTGGAGGTAGCACATTACCTGACTTCAAACTATACTACAAAACTATAGTTACCAATAAAATGGGCATGTATAAAAATGGGCATGTAGACGAATGGAACAGAATAGAGAACCCAGAAATAAAGCCAAATATGTACAGCCAACTGATATTTGACAAAGCAAACAAAAACATGAAGTGAGGAAAAACACCCCATTCAACAAATGGTACTGGGATAATTTGCAAGCCACAAGTAGAAGAATAAAACTGGATCCTTAATTCTCGTTTTATACAAAAATAAGCTCAAGATGGATTAAAGAATTAAATCTGAGACCTGAAACCATAAAAATTCTAGATAACATTGGAAAACCTCTTCTAAACATTGGCTTGGGCGAAGAGTTCATGACCAAGAATCCAAAAGCAAATACAACAAAAACAAAAATAAATAGATGCGGTCTAATTAAACTGAAAAGCTTCTGCACAGCAAAATAAATAATCAGCAGAATAAACAGACAATCCAGAGTGGGGAAAATATTCACAAACTATGCATCCAACAAAGGATTAATATCCAGAATCTACAAGAAACTCAAACAAATCAGCAAGAAAAAAAACAAATAATCCCATCAAAAAGTGGGCAAAGGTCATGAATAGACAATTCTCAAAGGAAGATATACAAATGGCCAACAAACATATGAAAAAATGCTCAACATCCCCAATTACCAGGGAAATGCAAATTAAAACAATTTTAATTAGATAAAATGAGATACCACCTTGCTCCTGCAAAAATGGCCATAATTTAAAAATCAAAAAATAATAGATATTGACATGGGTGTGCTGAAAAGGGAACACTTTTACACTGCTGGTGGGAATGTAAACTACAACCACTGTGGAAAACATTATGGAGATTCCTTAAAGAACTAAAAGTGGAACTACCATTCCACCTAGCAATCCCACTATTGGGCATCTATCTAAAGGAAAATAAGTCATTATTATAGGAAAAAGACATTTACGCACACATGTTTATAACAGCACTAATTTGCAATTGTAAAAATACGAAACCAGCCTAAATGCCCATCAATAAATGAGTGGATAATGAAAATGTGGTGTATATACATACCATGGAATACTACTCAGCCATAAAAAGAAACAAAATAATGGCATTCACAGCAACCTGAATGGATTTGGAGACCATTATTCTAAGAGAAGTACCTCAGAAATGAAAAACTAAATATTGTATGTTGTCACCTGTAAGCGGAAGCTAAGCTATGAGGATGCAAAGGCATAAGAATGATATAATGGACTTTGTGGACTTCAGGAGAAGAATGGGAGTAGGGTGAGGGATAAAAGATTACACATTGGGTATAGTGTATACTGCTCAGATGACAGGTGCACCAATATCTTAGAAATCAGCACTAAAGAACTTATCCATGTAACTAAAGTAAGAATGATGATGATGATGATGATGATGATGATGATGATGATATCAGCAAGGAATCCTATGTCTAGAAAAACTATTTTTCAAAGATAGATATAAAATAGGCAGAGCACAGAGGATTTTTAGGTCAGTGAAACTATTCTGGATGATATTACAATTGTGAATACATGTCATTATACATTTATCAAAACCCATAGAATGTACAACACCAAGAGTGAACTGTAATGCAAACTATGGACTTTGGGTGATAATGATGTGTCAATGTAGGTTCACCAGTTGTAACAAATGTACCACTGTGGTGCAGAATACCAATAGTGAGGGAAGTTGTGCATTTGGGGACACAGGGGTATATGAGAACTATCTCTAATTTCCATTCAATTTTTCTGTGAACCTAAAACTGCCTAGAAAATAACGTTTATTAATTTTTTTAAATGCAGGTAAAATAAAGAGATTCTAAAATAAACAAAAACTGAGAGAATTTCTTCTGATCAGACCCATCTTACAAGATACATTGATATGGTTTGGATCTGTGTCCCTGCCCAAATTTAATAACAAATCATAATCCCAAATGTTAGAGGTGGGGCCTGGTGGGAGGTAATTGGATCATGGGGGTGGTTTCTCATGAATGGTTTAGCACCATCTCCTTGGTGCTCTTCCAGGGATAGTGCGTGAGTTCTTACGAGATCTGGTAATTTAAGCGTGTAGCACCTTCCCAACTTCTCTTGCTCCTGCTCCTGCTATGTAAGACATGTCTGTTTCCCCTTCCCCTTTTGCCATGATTGTAAGTTTCCTGAGGCCTTCCCAGAAGATGAGCAGATATCTGCCCAGCATCATGCTTCCTATACAGCTTGTGGAACATGAGCCAATTAAATCTCTTTATCAATTACCCAGTCTCAGTATTTCTTTATAGCAATGCAAGAACAGACTAATACATACATTACAGTACATTCTTCAGGCTGAAAGCAAGGGAAACAGACTGAAATTCAAACTCAGACTAAAAAAACAGAGTACTGTTAAAGGTAACTATGTAGGTAATTACAAAATAGAGTATGTTAGAATAGTTCTCCTTTATTCTTTTAACTTATTTAAAGACAATTACATCAAATAATATTATATAATAGTACCAACAAGCCTATAGCATATAGAAACATAATATATTTAATAATAATAGCACAAAAGAGATCAATGGGAATAAAGCTGTATTATTGTAAGGAATGATACTAGATGCTAACTGGAATCCACAGGAAGAAATTAAGAGAATAAGAAATGGAAAATAAGAAGTTCAATATAATGAGCTCTATATATACATTCTCACTCTCCTTTCTATTCCTTTCTACTTAGTTTTTAAAAAGGCATTAAATTACACAGGGAAATAATTATAAAAATGTATGGCTGAGTCTATAACATATATATAGATTCAATACGTCTAAAAATAATAGCACAAAAGGGAGAAAGAGGAAATAGAAATATATAGAAGCAAATTTTCTAAATGTCACTGAAATATAGTTGTCAGAAATCTGAGGTAAGTCTGTTAAGATATATACTGTAAACAACTACCGAGAGACACTTACCTAGAGTGATCACAAAGAAAACAACTAAAGGAATTAAAATGGTTACTATAAAATATTCTCTTGGCTGGGCATGGGAGCTCACACCTGTAATCCCAACACTTCGGGAAGTCAAGGCAGGTGGATCGTTCGAGGCCAGGAGTTTGGGTGGGACCAGCCTGCCCAACAAGGCAAAACTCCATCTCTACTAAAATTACAAAAATTAGCTGGGCATGATGGTGCATGCCTGTAATCCCAACTGCTCAGGAGGCTGAGGTGGGAGAATCATTTGAATCCAGGAGGCAAAGTTGCAGTGAGCCAAGCTCGTGCCACTGCATTCCACCCCACCCTGGGCGACAGAGCAAGACTATGTATCAAGACATAGTCTTTCTTTCAAAAGAAAGACTTTTGAAAGACTTTTTGCTTTCAAAAGAAAGACTTTTGAAAGACTTTTTGCTTTCAAAAGAAAGACATATTGCTTTCTTTCAAAAGAAAGCAATAAAGGAAGACCTGAAAAACTAAAAAGACATGAGATATATAGAAACAAAAAGCAAAAAGGTAGAGGTAAATCCAACCATATTAATAATGATATTCAATTCAAATAGATTAAACAATTTCATCCAACACAGAGATTGTCAAATAGTATTTTTAAAAATTCAACTATATGCTAGCTACAGGAGACACACACTAGACTCAAAGATACACATAATTTAAAAGTAAGAGGTTGGAAAATGGCATATCATGCAAACAGCCACTGTAAGAGAGCTGGAATGATTACACTAATTATCAGACAAAACAGACTTTAAGAAAAAAAGTATTAGTAGAGAAAAAGTGGCTGTTTTATAATGAAAAGTGTTAATCCATCAGGAAGCTATAGCAAATGTAAAGACATATGCATCTAACAACACAGTTCCAAAATACATGAAGCAAAAATGGACAAAATTGAAGGGATAAATAGACATTTCAACAGCAATAGAGATTTTAATATTCCACTTTTAATAATGAATGAAACAACTAAGCAGAATATCAACAAGGATATAGGAGACTTGAGTAACACTTTAAACAATATAGACATAAAAGAGGTCCATAGACATTCCACCCTCTAACAGTAAAATCACATTCTTCACATGGAACAATCTCCAGGGTAGACCACACGTTAGTTCAAAAAACAAGTCTCAGTAACTTTAAAGGAATTCCTATTATACAAGGTATGTTTTCTGACCATAATGGAATTAAACTAGAAATTCATAATAGAAGGAAATTTTAGAAATTCACAAATATGTAAAAACTAAATAACATACTCCTAAGTAACTGATGATTCAAAGAAATTTGAATAGACATATAATGAATAAAGAGATTGGATTAATAAATTTAAAATGTTGGCTGGACGCAGTGGCTCACGCCTGTAATCCTAGCACTTTGGGAGGCCGAGGCGGGTGGATCACGAGGTCAGGAGTTCAAGACCATCCTGGCCAACATGGTAAAACCCCGTCTCTACTAAAAGTACAAAAAAAATTAGCTGGGCGTTGTGGTGCACGACTGTAATCCCAGTTACTTGGGAGGCTGGGGCAGGAAAATCGCTTGAACCTGGGAGTCAGAAGTTGCAGTGAGCTGAAATCATGCCACTGCACTCCCACCTGGTGACAAAGCAAAACTCCATCTCAAAATAAAATAAAATAAATTTAAAACTTCCCACCAAAAAAAACACAGGTCCAGATGGCTTCACTGGGGAATTCTATCAAACATCTAAATAAGAATAAAAGTCATTCACAGACTCTTCCAAAAAATATAAGAAGAGAGAACACCTCCCAATTCATTCTATGACACCACTATTACCTTGATACCCAAACCAGACAAAGATATCACAAGAAAAGAAAACTACAGACTAATATCCCTTATGATTACAGATTTTTAAAATTTCCATAAGATGGTAGAAAACCAAATCCAGGTCTATCTAAATAGGATTATACACCATGATCAATGAGATTTATCCCTGGAATGCAAGGTTGGTTTACCATCACAAAATCAATCAATATCCACCATCCTATTAATAAAGGACAAAAGTCACAAGATCAATTTCATCAATTCAGGAAAAGAGCATTTTACAAGATCCAATATCCTCCTATGATTAAAAGCTATCAGCGATGTAAGTAATTAAAAGAAATTTCCTCAAAAAAAGACATCTACAAAAAACTCACAGCTATGCAATGGGGAAATAATGAATACTTCTCTTTAAAGTGAGGAACAACACAATAATATCTATCTTCAACATTTCTATTCAACATCAAACTGGAGGATCTAGCCAGGGCAAGTGAGCAAGAAAAAGAAATAAAAAACATCCATTTTTCTCGTTCCAGAACAAGACAGCATAGAATCACACTTTCTCCCCTCTAAATGCTACTAGATGCCCTGGAAATTATGATAGGCAATGCTAAAGGGACTTTGAATGTTGGAAAGAACAAGATAGACTGGCTAGGAACTATATGACTTGAGGAAGTGACACCATGGAGAAGTCCCTAGGTTTTATTTTTATTTCTCATTTACTTCTGGACTGGACACTGGAGAAACCTACCCAGAAATGTGCATAGGCATAAACATAAATTCTGAGAAAAGCCTTAACTCTACCCAAAGGATCAGGAAATAAGAAGTCTAACAAAGACCTAGTGAGAAGCCTCCATCCTCATTCTGTAACCAGGGCACTGGTAAGCTGGCCAAGCCACCAACAGCAGTAGCAAAGTCCTGGGCCATACAGCCACATCTACACCACCAGAACACTGGTGGGCAGCTCAATCCATCAAGAAGATATTGCAATCCTAAATGTGTATACATCAAAAAACAGAGCTTCAAAATATATAAAGTAAAAACTGAGAGCTAAAAGAAGACAGACGAATCCATGATTATAGTTGGGAAATTTAACACCCACTCAGAAATTGATAGAATTACTTAACAGAAAATCAGTAAGAGTATAGGGAAACCGAACACGACAGCGAGTGGGAGAAGCGAGGTCTAGTAGAGGGAGCACTATGTCTGTGGAAGTCTCCGAGGCAGCCTCTGTGGAGGAGCAGAAGGAAATGGAAGATACAGTGACTAGTCCAGAGAAAGTTGAAGCAGCAAAATTAAAAGCAAGATATCCTCATCTGGGACAAATGCCTGGAGGTTCAGATTTCTTAAGGAAACGATTGCAGAAAGGGCAAAAATATTTTGATTCTGGGGATTACAACATGGCTAAAGCAAAAATGAAGAACGAGCAACTTCCTACTGCAGCTCTGGATAAGATGGAGGTCACGGGTGACCACATTCCCACTCCAGAGGACCTTCCTCAACAGAAACCATCCATTGTTGCTAGCAAGCTGGCTGGTTGAAAGAACTGAACTGCATGAATCTGCTAATTCCCATTATTTCTCCTTATTATGTTACTTATCTACTTTTTATTTCCTTTCATTACCCCATCATTTGAGACTGACAGCTTTGCAGGTGAGCAGTAGTGTGTGCTGCTATTGTGGGATATACATGTGTAGAGTTTTTGATTAGTTTAACAGTGCACTGGTGAAGAGGACGTGTTAGAGCAACATAAGTAAGTAATCTACTTGAAAATAATTGTATATATTACCTAACTCCTAGTGTAGTACTGGTTCTAACAAGTAACAAGCAAGTTTTAAAATTTTAATGTTTTGGCTTTCATTGCTTCATCTTAATTATAGCTTTGTATGTTACTCTTATTTAATATAATCTCTATTGTATTGATTTCTTCTGTATTTTGGATTTTGTAAAACAGAAGTTTAAGACCACAAGTTAGAAGAAAGGTCACATATTTCAAACACAACTAGATGGGGATCCAAAAGATTTCTATCTCTGTGCTTGAACTAGAATCGCCTTAAACCTGTTTCAGTTTTAACAGTAGAATTTTACTTGGGCAATATTTGCCCATTCTGGTGTAACTTATGTGACTCTAGTGCTTAACAGCTGCCATTGAAGCTAATATTCTTATTCAGTTCTGTAAAGTTAAAATACCTTTTGTTGTTGAAGATGTGAATAAACTATGCATGTGCATTGACTGTTGGATTCACTTTTGTGTCATTTTTGTAAATACAATATTTTTGCACAAAAAATTAAAAAAAGAATATAGGGAAACTGAAAAACATCATCAATCAATAGAATCTAATTGATGTTTATAGAACATGCCATTCAACAGTAGCAGGGTGTGAAACACATGAAATATTCACCAAGACTGACCATATTTTGAGTCATAAAACAAACCTGAACAAATTTAAAAGACATGAAATCATACAGAATAAATTCTCTGACCATAATGGAATCAAACTAGAAATAAATAATAGAAAAACATACACAAAAATTATCAAACACTTGAAAATTAAACAACATACCTCTTAATAGTCCAAAGGTCAAAGACAAAATTTCAAAGAAAATAAAAAAGTGTATAGAGGCAAGGCATGTTAGCTCACTCCTGTAATTCCAGCATCCTTGGAGGTCGAGGCAGGAGGACTGATTGAGCCCAGGAGTTCAAGACCAGCCTAGGAAACAAAGTGAGACCTTGTCTGTAGACAAAAATCAAAAAATTAGCCGGGTGTGGTGGTGTGGGCCTGTGGTCCCAGCTACATGTGAGGCGGAGGCAGGAGGATCACTTGAGCTCAGGAGGTCAAGGCTGCAGTGAGCCAAGGTCGTACCACTGCACTCCAGCCCGGGTGGCAGAGCAAGACCTTGTCTCAAAAAATAAACACATAAATAAAAATGTTAAAAGTACATAGAACTGAGTGAAAATGAAAACACAATATATCAAAATTTCTGAGATGCATGTAAAGTAATGCTAAGAGAAAATTAACACACTAAGTGCTTAGATTAGAGAAAGATCTCAGATTAATAATTTCAGCTTTTACTTCAAGAGACTAGGCAAAGAAGAGAAAAATAAGCCCAAATCAAGCAGAAGGAAGGGAATAATAAAGATTATGGCAGAAATCCATGAAATTGAAAACAGAAAAACATAGAAAATTAGTGAAACAAAAAGCTGGCTCTCCTTAAAAAAATTCATTGAGATCGATAAACTTCTAGCAATATTAAAAAACTCTAGCCTGGGAATTGGATTTTTTAGAAAATTCCCTAAGGGATTCCAATGTGCATCCAAAGTTGAGACCTACTGGTAAGGTCTTCAGGCCTGTTGACTTGCTCCTTGGCCTGATGAGAGAAGAGATTTGCATACACAAAAAACATTGTATATATCCAACGGTTTCACCATTAAGAAAATACTGAGCCTGGCCAGGTGCGGTGGCTCACGCCTGTAATCTCAGCACTTTGGGAGGCTGAGGAGAGGGAATATCTTGAGATCAGGAGTTCGAGACCATCCTGGCTAACATGGTGAAACCCCGTCTCTACTAAAAACACAAAGATTTGCTGCACGTGGTGGCACGCGCCTGTAGTCCCAGCTACTCGGGACTTGAGAGGCTGAGGCAGGAGAATCGCTTGAACCCAGGAGGCGGAGGTTGCAGTGAGCTGAGATCACACCACTGCACTGCAGCCTGGCAACAGAGCAAGACTCCATCTCAAAAAAAAAAAAAAAAAAAAAAAAGAAAATACTGAGCCTTCCCCATAGACATGATACCAATTCATTTCTATATTGCATGGTAACACAGTTTATTTCTCCCTGGCCTGCATTTTTTTATTGTAAAATGCAGATGATAATACTTATCTTGAATGACTATTGTGAAGATTGAATAAGTGATATGTACAAAATGTCCAGCCCAGTGCCTGACAGATAAATGTTTTTGGCTGCCTAGTAGTGGAAACCCCAACACAATGGACCATTGTTGTCTCACAGAAGAGCAGCCCTGAAGGTTAACCTCAAAGATGCAGGATCTTCCCAGCTCTGGGCTCCTCCATCCTCAGCAGGTCAAGACTTAACTCTTAGGTTTGCAAAACATCATCAAAAGCAGCCAGGACAATACTGGCCTGAAGAACAAATCTTTCCTCCCTTGTGCTGCCTGCATCAAAATCTTGCCCCATACTACCCAGCTGTCTGTCTCATTGGTTAGAATGGAATCCACCTTATTTTTAAATCATTCCCTAGGAAGGGGGATGATGTCACCATAAATAGCTTAAAAGAGAGGGAGACTTTTAAAAAAATATGATAGTCTCAGAGATTGGGAGTGAATTGTTTGGGGGTTGGGACCTGGCCATAGGTGAATTTTAAAGCTCTGAGGAGATTTTAACATACATCCATGGCCGAGAACCACTGGCTTTCATGCCTATTAATGCCATCATGGCTCAGCTGGTGAAAGAGACTGCAGTGAACTGCCTGCACTAGCCGCCACAGTGGCTTCATGTTAGAGCCTCCCATCCTGGAAGAGTAGATATTGACTTAGAGCTTTGCTACTCAAAGTGAAGTTCATGGACCAGCAACATCAGCATCACCACAGAGCTTGTTTGAAATGCAGAATCTTGGCCAGGCGTGGTGGCTCACACCTGTCATCCCAGCACTTTGGGAAGCCGAGGAGGTGGATCACTTGAGCCTAAGAGTTTGAGACCAGCCTGGGCAATATAGTGAGACCTCATCTTTACAAACAATTAAAAAATTAGCCGAGTGTGGTGGCATGCACCTGGTCTCAGCCACTTGGAAGGCTGAGGTGGAAGGATCTCTTGGGCCTGGGAGATTAAGGCTACAATGAACTATGATTGCACCAGTACACACCAGCCTAGGCGACAGGGTGAGAAACTGTCTCAAAGCAACAACAACGGAAATCCAGATACTTGATCCCCAACCCAGATCTACTGAAATCAGAGTCTGAATTTTCACAAAATCTTCAAATGATTCTCATGGGCATTTAAAGATGAGAATCACTGGTATAAAAGACACTTTTGTAGGATTTTGGTGTTGCATCTCACTTGTCTGAACCTTGCAATTACAACACAAATCATTTCTACATCTTACCTCCCATAACATCCTGGGCTCATCCGACCATGACTCCTAATGCCTCACTGCCTAGGGGCAGTCACTCTGACCTCTCTTAGCCTGTCTGCCTCTATCTCACTTTGAGAGGTAGACATAACCAATCCTTCTAGGCATCCAACATGAGACTCCACCAGGGGTTGGATGTCATGTGGTTATTGTCTCAATAATCATGTGACACTACCTACCACAGGTCAAAATACCTATGAGATGCTTTGAAGAGTCAGAACTGAATAGCACATTGCATTTCTCAGGGTTTTCTAGAGAGACAGAACTAATAGGATAGATGTATATATGAAGTTTATTAATGAGTATTGACTCACACAATTACAAGATGAAGTCCCACAATAGGCCATCTGCAAACTGAGGAGCAAGGAAGCCAGTCCAAGTCCGAAATCCTCAAAAGTAGGGAAGCTGGCAATGCAGCCTTCGGTCTGTGGCCGAAGGCCTGAAAGCACCTGCAAACCACTGGTGTAAGTTCAAGAGTCTATAAGGTGAAGAACTTGGAGTATGATGTTCGAGGGCAGAAAGCATCCAGCACAGGAGAAAGATGAAGGCTGGATGACTCAGCAAGTCTAGTCCTTCCAACTTCTGCTTTCTTTATTCTACAGTGCTGGCAGCTGATTAGATTCAGCGTGGGTCTGTTTCTCCTAGTCCACTGACTCAAATGTTAATCTCCTTTGGCAAGACCTCCACAGACACACCCAGGAACAATACTTTGCACCCTTCAGTCCAATCAAGGTGACACACACGGCCCTTCTCTCTAAGCTTAAAAAGTAGAAGAGCCAGATACAAAAACACAAAAACAACAACATATTTATAGCACTTTAAGCCTACAAGATGCCTTTGTCCTTGCAAAAACAGGCTCAGAGAAGGTCTTCAGTTACTCGGCACCATGCAGCTGGGTGGATGGTAAAGTTGGACTTTGGAATCAGGACTTTTTACTTCAAACTAAGATTGTCAGATAAAATATAGAATTCCCAGCCAGGTTTTTTATTATTATTATTATTATTATTATTATTATTATTATTATTATTATTATTCTTTGAGATGGAGTTTCACTCTTGTCATCCAGGCTGGAGTGCAATGGAGTAATTTCAGCTAACTGCAACCTCCACCTCCTGGGTTCAAGTGATTCTTCTGCTTCAGCCTCCCAAGTAGCTGAGATTACAGGTACCCACAACCATGTCTGGATAATTTTTGGATTTTTATTTTATTATTTTATTTTATTTTGTGACGGAGTCTCAGAGTCTCGCTCTGTTGCCCAGGCTGGAGTGCAGTGGCGTGATCTCAGCTCACTGCAACCTCTGCCTCCCCGATTCAAGTGATTCTCCTGCCTCAGCCTCCTGAGTAGCTGGGATTGCAGGTGCAGACCACCATGCCTAGCTAATTTTTTGGGGTATTTTTAATAGAGACAGGGTTTCACCATGTTGGTCAGGCTGGTCTTGAACTCCTGACCTCGTGATCCACCCGCCTTGGCCTCCCAAAGTGCTGGGATTACAGGCTTGAGCCACCATGCCTGGCCCCCAGCTAAGTTTTATTTGTTATATCTGGAAAAACTCAATTGCAATAGCTTTGCTGGGCAACATGGGCCACAGAGGAAAGGAGACTGGTAGGTGAAACTAGCTACCACCCTGCACATCCTGCTTCAGAAGAGAAAAGAAGGATTGAAAGTACAGTATCCAGATTTAACAAATAAAAGTTTAAGATGTCAGTTAAATTTGATTTTCAGGTAAACAATGAATAAGTTTTACAATATATACATATGTCTCAACTCTCACATAGGAAAGAGACTAGAAAAAGCTCTAAGGATAAATTCAAGGTTAATTTTCTTCAAACTAATTAAGTTATTATTGACCCAACCATTCACCCATTCTCCGTGTTTCCTAGAAGAATAGCTGGAGCACTAGCCCCTGATTGGCACTCTTGGTCTCAGGCTCCAAAAGGGCACATCCTCATAGGCCTAGATTTTTCCTTTTCCATGCATCCTGCTGGTCAGTGAATATCCACATATCCAACAGCCACATCCAGAAAAAAAGTAAATTCCTTCATGATTAACACTTTTTTTTTTTTAAGGTGGAGTTTCACTCTGCCAAGACTGGAGTGCAGTGCACTCATCTCACTGCAACCTCTGCCTCCCGGGTTCAAGCGATCTTCCTACCTCAGCCTCCCGAGCAGCTGGAATTACAGGCACATGCCACCACACCCAGCTAATTTTTGTATTTTTGGCAGAGATGGGGTTTCACCATGTTGCCCAGGCTGGTCTCGAACTCCTGACCTTAGGTGATCTGCCTGCCTCAGCCTCCCAAAGTGCTGGGATTATAGGCTTGAGGCACTGCTCCCGGCCAGCAGTTTAAAATGACTTTTTATGTTTAACTTTGTTTTTGATTTACTCATTTAATCATTCATTCAACATATTTAATGAGCACCTACTCTTTGCCAAGCCCTATGCATTGTGCCTGAGGAACAAACAGAAGGCCAGGACTTGCCCCAAATGAATTCCCATTTCAGGGTGGGAGACAGATGTACATGATCTTGTGATGGTGCAGAGAGAGCAGTGTCCACTATGATGGAGAGAAGCATAGTCTCAGCTTCGGTAGAGCTTCTGGAAGAGTAGACAAGCTAAGTGAGTTGACAAGGAGCTGGCCAGGCAAAGGTGGGGAAGTGGGGGCCGGCAGTGGGGAGTGCGAGAGTCGAGGAAGGTGTCCTCACAGAGCAAGTATGGAAGTAAAAAATAGGACAGGGCGAGCACAGAATCAGAAAGCCTTGGTTTGGCTTTAGTATGTCATTTACCAACTCCAATGTGCACATGGATTTTTAAGCCTTAAGGAAAGGCTGGGAGTAGAGGGTTGGGCCCCAGCATGACATTGTCTTCTGCTGACCCTATTTCTATTCTGGGTCTTAATTTTACTGCCCATAAATAATCAGGGTTCCAAATAATCTTGAAGATTTCTTAGTTCTCATGATGGATTTTGCTTCACTCCTCAGCTCATACATTTATACAGCCTCAGTGCTGAATTCAGGCTGTTTCTCCGGTTGAAGCTGGGCAAGAAGATTCTGTTTCTGCAATTACGAACAACAGTGTTATTCTTCAGGGCCACATTCTTGAGTGAAATCAAGGTACCTCCTTTACTAAAACAAGCCCCGGCTGCCTAAAAAATGCTTCTACAGTTTCAGGAAATGCAATGCAGTGAAATATACCTGCCACAATAGTCAGGACAGTTAATATACTTTGTCATTTTTCAGGTGCTAAATGGTAACCACTGTTTTTTTTGTTTGTTTGTTTGTTTCTTTGTTTGTTTATTTTTGTTTTTTTAGACAAAGTTTCAATCTTTTTGCCCAGGCTGGAGTACAGTGGAGCAATCTCGGCTCACTGCAACCTCCGCCTTCCAGTTTCAAGCAATTCTCCTGCCTCAGCCTCTCAAGTAGCAGGGATCACAGGCGCACACCACCACACCCGACTAATTTTTGTATTTTTAGTAAAGACAGGGTTTTGCCACGTTGGCCAGGCTGGTCTCGAACTCCTCACCTCGTGATCCGCCCGCCTCAGCCTCCCAAAGTGCTGGGATTACAGGCATGAGCCACTGTGCCCAGCCATTAACCAGTGTTTTCAAGAAGAAATAGCCCTTTCAACAAAAGGTCAAGTTGCTTCCTAAAAATTATGTTATTTTTTGTGTGTGAGACTAATAGCTATAATTCTGAGAAACTATTTGATACAACACAGATCTGAGTTTATGTGCTGTGAAAACAGAAACAAAACCACATAATTGAGCAGGGCCCCAAAATCCTGTGGTTTACAATTAAAAAAATGGTGTCAGAGGTCCTGTCTGATCAACGTAAATTAAATTAATGTGTTTCTGGGCCCCTGATACCTTTAGGGCCTGAAAGAAAGGTAGGATGGTAGAGTTGCAAACCTCATGTTTTAGCCTGAGAAATCATGGATTGGAACACAGCTCTGGGCAGCCATGGCATGGCCTCAGGGGTGGTATTCGACCTTCTGTGCCTCAGTTTCTTCATAGGCCAAGGAGAGATAAGATCAACTATTTTGTAGAATAACTGAAAAAATGAGAGATATTTGCAAAACACATAGAATAACTCTTGGCAGACATTCATTTCTAAGTAAAGAACAACTCATTCCTAAATTAGGATTGTATCCCTAAGTATCCAGTGAATGTAATTGTTTTTGAGTAGACCTTTGAAATTGCTATACCTCCCACCAAACTCCTGTAGCTTTAAGATAAGACATGAGCTCTGAACTTTTCTTATACTCTTAGCTGCATATAATTCCTTATGGTATCTTCAACAGTGGACAGGCTGCTTTATATTAATTCCTAGGAAATGTTCACCCAGGTTCTCTGTACATTAAGATAAACATGAATCTTCAACATCTCATTCATGTTAGAGAATAGAAAGATCTCACTAAGGCTGTGGGATGGAATGAAAATGAAAATGAATGAATTTGACCAGTCATGTAGCAGCCTGCAGAAAACATCTCCCTAAGGACAATGCTGAGCAGAACTTTCAAAGTTATAGCGTGTTTTCTTGTGTTAAGGAGTTTTTCTATGGAGAAGAGACAGAAGGAGCTCAACAATTGCTCCTTTAACTTGATTTTCTAATTTTAGTTTGTGTATCCCTAGGGCAGTTCAGGCAGAGTTCTTCATATAAATCTCTTAGCTGGAAGAAGACCTCTAGGGTCTAATTTCTCCTGGAGTTGGATGATATCTCAGCTTCATTCTTAGATTTGCTGGGAGGAAAAAGTCCCTTGGATTAAACATATGTACCCCTATAAATATAAATACCCCTGGAAGATAACTTTATCATACACATAGAAGACAATAAAAGGAATTGTATTTGGGGTAGGGTACAAACATGAGAACATGAAGGACCAGGGAGAAAGGTCACTGTGAAGATATTGAAGGGAGGCTCCAAAAGATCAGAGTTAGAGGAAGTAAACTTTTAGTCCACTACAATATTTGTGTGTCTTGGGGAAACATTTTGAAGCTGCAATTCCTACCACCTATCCTCCGATCACCAAGAAGATTCTGAGTTAAACAGCTTTGAGAAGCATCTCGCCTTGCAAAATTTGTTCTTTGGGATTTGGGGATACAGAATAAAAAGTAAATGGGGATAAGACAAGAGGCCTAAAGTTTAGGTCGGAAGGGGTGTTTTTCATGCTATTTTGAAAAGAGAGCTGTGGGTGCAGCTACAAAAAGTATGGCAATTGATGGAACAGAAAATCGGTTTTTAAATAAGTTTTCATGTCCGGGCACGGTGGCTCACGCCTGTAATCCTAGCACTTTGGGAGGCCAAGGTGGGCGGATCACTTGAGGTCAAGAGTTCGAGACCAGCCTGGCCAACATGGTGAAACCCAGTCTCTACTAAAAATACAAAAATTAGCCGGACATGGTGTTCTGTGCCTGTAATCCCAGCTACCCAGGAGGCTGAGGCAGGAGAATTGCTTGAACCTGGAAAGCAGAGGTTGTAGTAAGCCAAGATCGAGCCACTGCACTCCAGCCTAGGTGACAGAGAGAGACCCTGTCTCAAAAAATAATAATAATAATTAAATTTTAAAATAAATAGTCTTCCTGTGATCTGTGAGTTCCATGTCTAGTGTATGAGACATACAAGAAGGAGTAAAGTTATTTTTTATTTCGTTTTTGGTGGAAGAATTATGTTTCTGAGATTTTGACAGTTTTCTAGGACTGTGCTACCTTGGCAATGGCTGTATACGCATTCCAGTGATACTATGTGACTCATGACCAAGTGATTTTACATCTGTAGAGGTAGCTGTGGCAAAGAAGAAAGAAGGCAGGATCTGGGACAGGAGGCTGATCTTGACCCTGTCACTGTGGGCTGTATGAGGGAGGAAAGGGCAATCCAGTCATAGGAAACAGCCTCCTCTGCTTGTTTGGTCACTTCTCTAGCTGCAGGAACAGCAGCAACCTTCTCTCTTCAATTGGCTGTTGGCTGAGAGATCCACATCAGCTAATCAATCAGTTGTCTTATAACCCAAAATCAAGAGGTGTTGGGCTTTTGATACGACATGGTAATTTGTTTTTGTTTGTTTGTTTTTTGTTTTGTTTTGTTTTTTGAGACAGAGTCTCACTCTGTTACCCAGGCTGGAGTGCAGTGGCACCATCTTGGCTCACTGCAACTTCCACCTCCCAGGTTCAAGCAATTCTCCTGCCTCAGTCTCTTAACTGAGATTACAGGCGTGCGCCACCATGCCCAGCTAATTTTTGTATTTTTAGTAGAGACAGGGTTTCACCATGTTGGCCAGGCTGGTCTCAAACCCATGACCTCAAGTGATCCACCCTCCTCAGCTTCCCAAAGTGCAGGGATTATAGGCGTGAGCCACTGCACCTGGCAAGAGGATTTTTTTAAGGCCACAGATTGAGAGAAAATACTTGCAAGACACATATCTGATAAAAGTTTTGAAACCAAAAAATGCAGAGATCAATTAAAACTCAACAATAAGAAAACAAACAATCCAGCTGGGTGCAGTGCCTCATGCCTGTAATTCCAGCACTTTGGGAGGCTGAGGTGGGCAGATCACCTGAGGTCAGGAGTTTGAGACCAGCCTGGACAACACGATGAAACCCCGTCTCCACTAAAAATACAAAAATTAGCCAGGTGTGGTGGCATGTGCCTGTAATCCCAGCTACCGGGGAGGCTGAGACAGGCGAATCACTTGAATCCAGGAGGCGGAG